>NC_000008.11:19860102-20163132 GCF_000001405.40 Homo sapiens | reverse complement strand
GCACTCCCCAGGTGGCCAAACAGACACTAGAGGCTTGCCTTTGAACTTCTTAACCTCCAGAACCCTGAGCCAAATAAATCTCTTTCATTGATAAATCATGCACTCTGGTATTCTGTTATATTATAGCAGCAGAAAATGGACTAAGACAGAAAATGGGTAATGAGAAACCGGGCTGCTGCTATAACAAATACTTGAAAATATGGAAGCAGCTTTGGAACTGGAAAATTGGTAGAGGCTGCAATAATTTGGAGGAGCAGGCTAGAAAGAGCCTGTATTGCTGTGGTTAAGGCATTAAGGGTGATTCTGGTGAGGGCTCAGAAGAAGAGGAGAGCTATAGAGAAAGTCTGAATCTTTTTAGACATTGGTTAAGAGGTTGTGACCAGAATGTTGATAGAAATATGGACAGTGAAGGTCATTCTGACGAGGTCTCAGATAGAAATGAGGAACAAGGTATTGGACACTAGAGTAAAGGCCATCCTTGTTATACAGTTACAAAAAACTTGGCAGACTTGTATCCATAACCTAGGACTTCATGGAATGAAGAACTTAGAGGCAATAAACTAGGATATCTGGCAGAAGAAATATCTAAGCAGCAAAGCTTCAGGCTGCTTTGTGGCTGTTTTAACTGCATATATAGTGACATGTGAAAGCAAAGAAATGATTTAAAGGTGAAATTTATGGTTAAAAGAGAAACAAAACAGAAAGACTTGGAAAATTTGCTGCCTGGCCTTGGAAAGAAAGAAAAGGCATCTTTAGGAGAGCACACCAAGACTGTGGCCAAGCAACCTAAAGTGATTAGTGTGGATAAAAGTGAGCCAGGCACCACTTATTAAGACTGTGGGAGAAAGACCCAAAGGCATTTTAGAGACCTTCGAAGCTGTGCTTCCCATTACTGGCCCAGAGATGTAGGAGGGCAGAATGGTTTGGGAATAAGCCTGGGACACCCTCCATGGGCTCACTGCCCAGGACCACCTTGGGACTCTGCTCTCTGCGTTTCAGTGCAGTGCCCCTCAACTGTGCCAGCCATGGCTCAAGTGGGCCCAGATGTGGCCTGGCCTCCCACTCTGGAGGGTGCAAGTGGTAAGCCTTGGTGGTGTCTATGTGGTGCAAATTTTGCACGTGCGCAGAATGCAAGAGCTATGGGTGCATGACTTCTTCCACCTAAATTTCAAAAGATGCCATGCACAGCCACTTCCAAGATCACGGAACTGTAGGGGCACCAGCATGGTGGCCTGCAAGCACAAGACTCCAACCCATGATTGCTGCTGGGTAGACTCAGCCCGGAAAGACCACAGACATGGGGCTGCCTGATGCCTTAGGGGTCCAAACTCCACTCCAGTGTGCCCAGGATTTTGGACATGGAGTCAAAGGCAATTATTCTCCAGCTTTAAGACATAATATTGTTTTCTGTTTTGGGCTTTGGACTTTCGTGGGACCTGTTACCCCTTTCTTCTTCCCTGTTGCTTCCTTTTGAAATAAGAATGCCTGTTCTATCTTTGTTCCACCATTATTTTTGAAAGTAGGTAAATTATCCCTTGGTGTGCATAGGAGAGTGGTTCTAGGACTCCTCACGGATACCAAACTCAAAGGATGTTCAAGTCCCTTACATAGAATGGCATCGTATTTGCATATAATCTACACACGTACTTCCATGTACTATAATCATTTCTCAATGACTTGTAACACCTAATGCAATGGAAATGCTATATAAATAGTTGTTATACTGTATTATTTTCTTTTTTGTATTATTTTTATCTTGTACTGTTATTTTTATTTTTTTTCCTCATATATTTTTGATCTGCGATTAGTTGAATCCAAGGATGTGAAACCTGCAAATACAAAGGGCCAAGTATAATTTGTTTTGATTTCACACGCTCACAGCTGGAGGGAATTTGCCTCAGGATTAATCGTACCTTGAATCTCACCCATAACTAATTTAGACAAGACTCTGGATTTTGGACTTTTGAGTTTACACTGGAACCACTTAAGACTTCTGAAACTATTGGGATGGATTGAATGCATTTTGCATTGTGACAAGGACATGAATTTTGGAGGCCGGGGGTAGAATGCTATGTCCTCCAAAATTTGTGTGTTGGAAACTTAATCCCCAATGCAACAGTGTTGAGAAGTGGAACCTTTAGTAGGTGATAAAGTCCTAGGGGCACCACCTTTATGAATAGATTAAAGCAATTATCATAGGAGTGGGTTAGTCACAAAAGGGGGGAGTTTGGCCCCTTTTTCTTTTCTCTCTCAAATGCCCTTTCTCCATGTGATACCCTTCGGCTGTATTATGACCCAACAAGAAGTCCCTCACCAGATGGCCAAGCAGATGCTGGTGCCATGCACTTGCGATTCCCAGCTTCCAGCATTGTGATCCAAATACATCTTTTTTCTTTAAGAATTACCCAATCTGTGGTAATATGTTACAGCAGCAAAAATAAAACAGACTAAGACCAACTTCAGTTTTTTAATTTGTAAAAAAGTAGGTATTTTTCAGAGTCATTTTCATCTGGAATCCTAAATGGATTAGCCCAGTGCGTGGAATACAGGATACTATCAGTAAATAAAAAATTATTTGTACAATTTTACTTTAAACCATTTTGATAGTCACAAAATGTGTAATCCCTCACCCCTTAGAGATTCACTGTGAAAAACAGATGTTTTTCATGCAGGGGTCATGTATCTATAAATACATATTCTGGAGCACCTATTTTGCACAAAATACTGCTAAAATGTAAGCTATAATCAGGTCCTAAAGAACGAGCAACGTGGATTGAGAAAAATCTAATTAAGGAAATTTTACACCATTTAAAATGATGTCAAGGAGGTGTATCTAGGAGGCTGTAGGCTTCCTAGAGGTGCTTACTTCCACATACTAGATAAACAATTGAGTAGTTTTAATTTTTTTAAGCAATTAAATATAAACGAATGGGTACAGTTTGCAACAGATTGCCACCTGTCCAGGATAGCCTACACAAATACACTAAGGTGTGCTTACTTCTACTCCATAGAAGAGAATATTAAAAGCAAACAAGTTGTCAGCCAATAAATGGTTGATTGTTGACTTTTAATTTAATTGTAATTGCCATGGTATTTTTTGTTAGCCTGCACTGTTTTTTTCTAGGTATAGAGAGGGATTAAAAGGGCTGGTGAGATCCAGACAAACTCACTCTGCTGATCTCAAACAGTTCCTTATACCAGAGCCATCTGTGCTACCACGCTGGGGGTGTGGCATAGTGGAAACACTTGGAGTTAGAGTGAGATGGCCTGGACTCAAGTCCTGACATGCCACTCACGAGTTATGATGATAATAATCAAGACCAGTGCTTGTAGGGCCCTTACTCTGCGACAGGCACGATGCAAAATGTTTGATATGCACTATTTTGTTTAAACCTCACAACTGGCCTGTCTGGTAGAAATTATGATTATCCCCATATTTCAGAGATTTCTTTTCTTTTCTTTTTCTTTCTTTTTTTTTTTTTTTTTTTTTTTTTTTTTGGCAGCTGCAAGATTTAATAGAGTGAAAACAGAGCTACCATATAATGGGAGGCGGCCCAAAGGGAATTGCCACTGCTGGCTGGAATGCCTGGGGTTTATATCCCGATCATTGTCCCTCCCTCTGTGCTCTCAGGTGATAGATTATTTGATTATTTCTTTACCTCCTGCTTTTAGCCTAATTGGTATTTTAGTGAGCTCTCTTTACTATGTGATTGGTCAGGTGTGAGCTGAGTTACTAGCCCCTTGTTTAAAGGTGGGTGTGGTCACCTTCCCCAGCTAGGCTTAGGAATTCTTAATTGGCCTAGGAAATCCAGCTAGTCCTGTCTGTTAGTACCCCCTCTCAACAGGAAAACCCAAGTGCTGTTGGGGAGGTTGGCTGATGACCGCTCTAACTGCTTCCTGCCGAACTGGGGCATAGTAGGGGTCATGCAGTTGAAAGTTCCTTGAGAGGGGTGCTTTCGATGTCATCAACATTGGAGCATGGGCTAGCAGGCCAGTCCAGGGGTCTGTAGTAGATCTTAGTCACAGACTGCATCTGGGGCTCCATTTGAAGAACCATTTATAGTTTTACAGCTTCAATTCTGGAAGAGACAAACTTAACCAGGAGGTTAAGATACAGAGATTGAAATGTATAGCCTAAAGTGCAGCGGGAGGTACATCCAACAGTTAGTAGGATTTTGGCCAAGGTTCCATCGAGCCTAGTGAGGGTGGTATTAAATAGGCTTACCAGGCAAGTATGGGTACAGAGGGTCTTCAAAGGCATACAAGAATTGAGAGTCAGGATGTACAGGGATGTAGAAAAAGGCATCCTTAAGGTCCAGGACTGTGAGTCACTCTGCTTCCTCTGGTATTTGGGAAAGCAGAGTATAAGGGTTAGGTACAGCTTGGTATAGAGGGACAATAGCCTCACTGATAATCCTGAGATCTTGCACTAACCTCCACTGTCCGTTGGGTTTCTGGACTCCTAAAATTGGAGTACTGCAGGGGCTGTTGCATAGTTTTACAAGGCCTTGGGCTTTTAGGTCCTTAACAATCTTTTGGAGTCCTTGTTGGGCCTCAGGTCTAAGGGGGTACTGCCTTTGGTAGGGAAAGGAGGTGGAATCCTTTAGTTTAACTTGAACGGGACGGGCATTCTTCGCTCCTCCATATTGTCCTTCTGTTGCCCAGACTTCAGGATTAATTCCCTCCTCAAGCAGGGCACAACAAACAGGTGTTCCTTCTGTATGTTCAGGTGTATAATGGCCCCTGCTTTTGCGAGAATGTCTCTCCTTAACAAAGAAGTGGGGCCTTCAGGCATAATTAGAAAGGCATGTGAAAAGAGCAAAGTTCTCCAGTCACAACTTAGTGGCTGGGAGAAGTATCTAGTGACTGCCTGTCCTAGGACCTCTCAGATAGTGACAGATCTGGAGGACAGTTGTCAGGGACAGGAGAGTAAGACTGAGAAGGCTGCACCAGTGTCTAGGAGACAGTTAACCTCCTGGCCCTCAAAGGTCAAGCATACCCAGGGCTCTGTGAGGGTGATGACATGGGCTGGCACTTGCCCTGGGCACCCTCAGTCCTGCTGCTGGATCATCTGTTAGTGGCTTCTGACTCAGAGGACCTTCGTCCCCTGGGACAGTGGGCCTTCCAGTGATTCTCTTGACATAAGGGGCATAGATGAGGGGGTGGCTTATTTCTATTCGGACAATCTTTTTTAAAGCGTCCTTGTAGACTGCACTAGAAGCAAGCCCTATTAGGCATTTGATTTGCCCAGGCTTTCCATATTCCAGAGCCTCCAAAGTCCACTTGCCGAGGGACATGGCTAAAGGGGTGGCCTTCTTTTTCTCCCGTTCGTCCCATTCCACCTGCTCCTCCTGATCTCTATTATAAAAAACTGAGGTTGCCAAGTTCAGTAGGGTTTCTAAGTTTTGCTCTGGGCCTAAAGTGGACTTTTGAAGTTTGTTTCTAATATCTGCAGCTGACTGAGTGATAAACTTATCTTTTAAGATTAGTTGGCCTTCAATAGAGTCAGGTGACAGAGAGGTATGCTTCCTCAATGCCTCCCTTAGTGTCTCCAGAAAGGCAGTAGGATTTTCTTCCTTTCCCTGTGTTATAATGGATATCACTGAGTAATTCATAGCCTTCTTCCTAGTTTTCCTTAGTCCTTCTAGCACGCAAGTTAGCAAATGTCTGCGGCACCAATCTCCATGTTGTGATTCTGCATCATAATGAGAGTCTACACTAGGAACTGCCTACTGGCCTGTGGGGAATCGTTCTCTTTCCTCTGTTGTCACCCTATCATTGACCTGACTGAGATACCAGAGATCGCCAAACTCTCAGGCTGCAATTATAGCTGCCCTTCTTTCATTTGGGGTTAGTGTCTGATCTAGCAGTAACATTATATCTCTCCAGAATACATCTTAGGGGCGTTTTTGCCTTGGGGAAAACGTTTCCCATCTGAAAAAAGAACATGAGGATGCCAGCACCCCTAGTCATTTTCCGATGAGCATTAGTCCTAGAGTGTCCTCTATGGTCCTAATGCTTATTCCTTTCCAGGGTGTGTAACCACCCAGGGACATCTGCTTACCGGATTAGTTACGCTCACCGATGTAGCAGTCCTGCACCTGTTTTCCCGCCTTTCTTGACCACAAAGAAAGGAGTCCAGGCTGCTGGATTATGGTGGTCCATTACCAGCGTGCCCAACATTGCCTTTGCGATCAGGGGTGAGTTCTTGAGCTGGGCTGCGCAACCCAGTTGCCCCATCAAGATGCATTCCCATAAACAACAATTCTTATGCAAATTCATTTCAGAGAGGGTGTAGGTAACCCTTTGAGTCAGGATTGAGATAGAGTTTTTGCCCACTAGGGCATTTGTCCTTTTCCTTTGTAGGAATACACCCTAATTATTGATCTTAAACTTTTTGTTGCCCCGGATTAAGTCCTTTTGGGTAAGAAATATGAGAGATGGATCCTGTTTATCCTGTGTGCCTTTTTCCTAAAAGAAGAAGAGCAAGGAGAAAAAGATGGGCTTACTGGTTTTGTAAGTACTTTAAGGCTTGGCTGAATGCAAACAGCTCACACCTTTGAGCAGACCAATTATTAGGCAATTTTCCCAACTCTGCTTCTACAAGAGTTTCCTTATCAATTACTGAATACCCATTACGGTTTTTTCCCTCAGTCACCCGGGAGGAACCATCTATCTTCCTGTCCTTAAGGGGGTACCTCCTGAGTCTGGTCAGACCTTCGTATGGTAATTAAGATTAAAATCCCCTGTTAGGAAATTGGCTGGGTTAAGGGAATTTTCAGTGGTTAATGTTAAGTCATCTTTTTTTTTTTTTAACAGACTAGCCCCATACTTTAAGATTTTTGAGTTAGTAAGCTACTTTTTTTTTTTTTTTTGACTTAGGATAGTTCTGAACTGGTGAGGTGTGCTCACAATGAGGTTTCCTCTAAAAGTTATTTTTCTACTTCCTTCTGTTAGCAAAGCAGTTGCCACTACAGATTGAATGCATTTGGGGCATCCCTTTAATTTACTCAATTCACTTTGATACTGATCTATTATGTTGTCGCAGGCCCAGTTCCAGTGTTAAAGTACTGGGTCATCAGTTCTAAGGCCCTCGCCAAGGAGCTGAGGCTTGGAGATTGTATTGCACAGGGTGGGTAAGTTGGATAGAAATTGAGAGAGGAGAGTACTTACACAATGGCAGAGCAATCCTCCTAGCCATTTACAAACTTGTGGCCCTTGCAAGGGTGGTGGGGAACGGGTCCCACATAACTGCCCATGTTGAGAGCTGTATACCTAAATTGGGAGGGACACCAGGGGCAAGACTCCGTGGGTTCATAGCCTTGGTGCCTAAGGACACAGTGTAGAGCTTCCTTAGATCCCCTTTGGAGATACAACTTGCTCTAATACTTGGGAGAGGAAGTGAAAGTCTGAAGCATTAGTACCTAGGAGGCAGGGATTGGAGGAAGTAGATTCAGAGGTAAGGAGAATTCTGGGGCTACACTTTCAAGAAAGTCATGGTTGGAACCCAGGAGGTATGGGTCAGAAGAAGAGGTAGGGGTGCACACATGGGCAACTATAGAGTAGAGACTTCTGGTTGCATCATGATCTTGACTGATCAATGCCCGGAGTTTGGGATGACAGCTTTCTGCCTCTAGTCGGCCTTCGGCTTCCCCCAAGAAAATTGTGAAAGCAGAAGCTGGTTCCAGGCAGACCAATGCTCCCATCCTAGAAGGATTGGGTGTTGTTAGAAAGCCTTTTCCCAGAAAGCCTCCCAGCTGAGTCTTAAGTCCAGCAGCCACGCTAATCGTTTGTAACTGGCTGACAGGTGCTCGGTATTTTCCTCTGATTCTAAGGAAGGATAGGACAGAATAGCAAGCAAAAGTGATCCAATATTACTCACCACTTTGGAGAAGCCCTGTACAGGCCACCAGATGTTACTGGAGGGTCTTTGTTCTTAGAGCTCCCAAGATGGGGCGGGCTGCTCCTAAGATGGCAGCGAGCCTTTTGTTCTCTGACCTGGGGTTCTTGGCCTCACAGATTCCAAGGAATGGAACCTTGGGCCATGTGGTGAGTGTTATAGCTCTATTAGAAGCCGTGGGTCACAGAAGAGAACCGTGGAATGCAGTGACTAGTGTTCAGCTGGATTAGGATGAACCTGGGCACTTAGGTGTGCAGGAACAATGGCAAGCTTTTAGCCCAATCAGGAGTGGCAATGGGTGCCTTGCTGGATCAGAAGTGCAGTGGACACCCTGCCAGATCTGGAGGGGTGGAAGTCAATGGTGGGTCTGTGATGGCAGCGCTCAGCCGTGGTGGACGGCGAATGAAAGCTCAGCTCGAGCCAGAACAAACACGGACCAGAAGAGTGTACAGTTGCAAGATCTAATAGAGTGAAAACAGAGCTCCCAAAGGGGGTTGCCCTCAGAGATTTCTTGATCTTACCAAATTTCCCAGTGCTCTTTCAAATCCTGGACTTGTCATCAGCAAGCATCCTATGCCCTCATCCTTTTCTCTGAACATGTCTTTCATCTTCTTGCCCTACTGAGACCCAGATGTTTTCTGTGAACATTGTTTTCCTGCAACATCTAGATGGAAGTTCATGTTCCACACCTTGCTCTCCTTTGTTGCTTCCGAGTCATTTCTTCTCTATTCTCCTTCAAAGATCTCAGCTCCTTTGAATGTCATGTCGTTAGATTACACCACCGAACCCTTGTTTGTTGCAAACATCTAGTGACCTCTTAGTTGTCCCTCCTCATTCATTAAAGCTGTCAACATCTGGTCCATGTTCTTTTCACCTCTACTCCTGTCACCATTTTTGGTGACTTCAATATCCAGGTGGATAACTGTGGATCTTGGCCTCCTAATTTTTTAATCTACTCTTTTGCAATGATCCTTTCCTCCTTCTCACCTTAACCAATTTAATCCTATTTATGCCCTCACTTTGTGTATTAGTTCATTTTGCATGGCTATAAAGGAATATCTGAGGCTGGGTAATTTATAAAGAAAAGAGGTTTATTTGGCTTATGGTTCTACATGCTGTACAAGAAGCCTGGCACCAGCATCTGCCTCTGGTGAGGGCCTCAGGAGGCCCAGCTCTTTTAACAACCAGCTCTTGTGTGAACTTACAGAGCAAGAAGTCACTCATTACCGTGAGGATGGGGACAGCACCACGCCATTCACGAGGGATTCATTCCCATGACCCAAACACCTCCCACTCAGCCCCACCTTTACCACTGGAGATGAAGTTATAACGTGAAATTTCAAGAGGACAAATATCAAGCAATATCACCTTGATGTCAGTATTAATTATATTTCCTCTGAAATCTCAATTCCAAACAATCCAGTTCTCATCTTACATATTCCCTTCTCAGGTGTTCTAATAGTCCCATATCAACAATTTTGGACCAAACTGGGATCACCAATTCACTGTCCTGAGTAATTTTTCTTCCATCACTACTCCTGTCCTCACTTCTTTCTTTTTTTTTTTGAGACAGAGTCTTGCTCTGTCGCCCAGGCTGGAGTGCAGTGGCTCACTGCAAGCTCCGCCTCTCAGGTTCATGCCATTCTCCTGCCTCAGCCTCCTGAGTAGCTGGGACTACAGGTACCTGCCACCATGCCCAGCTAATTTTTTGTATTTTTTAGTAGAGATGGGGTTTCACTGTGTTAGCTAGGATGGTCTTGATCTCCTGACCTTGTGATCCACCCGCCTCTGCCTCCCAAAGTGCTGGGATTACAGGCGTGAGCCACAGCGCCCAGCCTGTCCTCACTTCTTTCTTTCCTCAACTTGGATTCAATGGCTCATGATGGATGTCACTCTTCTGAAACTCCTCACTCCCTCTGGGCTTGTCACTTGCCAAAAACTTCACTCTAGCTAAGCTATCTTGTTGCCTACTCCTTGTCTGTAACTGAGCCATGGCATGGGGCTGCAAAAAAAACGCACAACCACGCTGTTGGTCTCACCTTATATTTATGGCCACAAACCTAAAGTGGGTTTCACATTGTCCAACAATCTTTCTCTAAGCCCCTAGTTATGTCCTCCTTCTTCTTTTCCAAAATGACTATTTTATATTTCTTCATTTTAGCCCCATATGCACTCCCGTCCCTTCACCATCATCATTCTCAGTGGTTGACTTTGCCTCCTACTCATTGAGAAAACAGAAGCTATGATAAAATGGAAGCAATGAGAATGGAACTGTCGTGTTTCCATCACTAAGTGTACCCAATATCCTGCATCTGAACCCACATTCCCAGTCTTCTCTTTAATTATGGTTGGAGCATCCCAGCCCTGATCAAAGGCCAGACTCCTCTTCTCGATTCCATCTCCCCTCACCTACTTCATTGGCTACTCCTCATCTCCTGTGCTATCTCTGCCTTCTTTGCTAATGTCTAAAGATAGGAGTCCCCCAAGGCTCAGTCCTTGGATCTCTATTCTTTATTTGTTCTTTCATAGGCAATCCCATCCATTTGCATGGCTTTAAGTATCTAACTGCCTGACAGCTCTGCTTGAATATCTACCAGTCACTTCAAACCTCTCACGTTCCCCCCATGCTCTTGCACTTCAACCAGTCTTCCCTATCTCCAGCTACCCAATCGATTAAGACAAAAACCTAGGTTATCCCTGATTTCTCACTTCCCCTCCTCACTCCCGCTATGTCTTTACCCAATCAAACAGAAAATGTCACCAACTTACCTCCAAAACCTACCATTTTGTTCACTTCTCTCCACCATGACTTCTAATCTGAGGCACCATCACTTTTCTCTTGGATTCTGCAAATAGTCTGACTTCCACTCTTGTCCCATGAACCCATTCTTCTAGGGGATTTTAGAAAATATAAATCCAATTATGTCATTTCCTTCCAAAGCTTCCATTGCCCTTGGAATAACCAGATTCATTTCTAGGACCTTCATTTTCTCACCCTCCACTTTCCTCTTATATTTCAGGCACACAGATATCCTTTCTATTCTTAGAGCAAACTAAATGATTTCTTTAAGACATCTTAATTTCCATTAGGTGCTTTTTATTTTCTGCTTGAAGTGCTCTCTTTTGGTTATTAAGGTCTCAGTTTGAATGTCACTTCCCCAAAGAAGCCTTCCCCAACCCTGAAATCCCAGATAGCCCTTCTGAGTTGCTCTGCTATATCACCACATTAAATTTCATGCACATAACTCAACACTTTTCAAAATTATCTTTTTTGTGTATTTGTTTACTTGTTCATTGTATGTCTCCCTCCCCTGGAGTGTAAGCTAGCTGAGGGCTAGAATTTTGTTTGTCTTATTCACCGCTGTATTCCCAGCCCCCAGAATACCTGACACATGGTCAAAGTTTGTTAAAATGAATGAATGAATGAATGAATGAATGGAAGAGACTCAGACAGGTTAAGTAAATTGTCCAAAGTCACAGAGCTAACAAGTCATCAAGCCATGGTTTGAATGCAAAATTTGGAGCTTTGTGTGGCTCCAAAGCCCATGTTTCCTGAACACTTCCCTCTACTGTCACAAAAAGCCATGTGTTCAGGACTTCAATTTACAAAATACTTTTGCATGCATTACCTAATTTGCTCCACATTGTAACCCGGTATGATATAATCATAGCTTTGCTTTTTCCAGATGTGGAAACCAAGGCTCAGAAAGGTTTAGTAATTAATCCAAGATCCCTCTCAGAGAAATAGAAGGGCTGGTAAGTAGCAAGGCAGGAATTCACTTCCCAGGAATTATGTATGGGTATGTGGCACCCAACCACACCACCTCTGAAGCTCACATTCTCACGCTGATAATCAAGGGTATTTTATACATGAGAACGGCTCATCAGGGCCATTCATTAGGAATCTAAGTGGGGAGCTGGAAGCACATTAAATGTACTGAGGCTAGGCCAGGTGTGGGGGCTCACATCTGTAATCCCAGCACTTTGGGAGGCCAAGGCAGGCAGGATTTCATGACCAGCCTGGGCAACATGACGAGACTCCATCTCTACAAAACAAACAAACAAACAAACAAACAAAAAAAAAACAAAAAAAAACAACTAGGTGTGGTGGTGTTCATCTGTAATCCCAGCCACTTGGGAGGCTGAGCTGGGAGGATCACTTGATCCCAGGAGGTCGAGGCTGCAGTGGGCTGAGATTGTACCACTGCACTCCAGCCTGGGTGACAGAGTGAGGCCCTGTCTCAAAAAAAGAAAGAAAACAAAAAGAAAAGTACTGAGGCTAAACAAAGCCTTGCTCCTGAAGAAAGGAGAGGTGTGGGGGTCCTATGGCAACTACTGTGGGTTTGCACAAAGGTCCCCAGATCATAAAACAAAGTGGTTTGGGGATCTTGGAAGGTTACAGGGGTGGACTTCAGTGTCTTGTACGAGACAAGGCATTTTAGAGTAAATTGGACATGTCCTAAGGTAAGGATCTGTGTCCTTCCACAGGTCTAGCTTTCTTGCCTGCCAGTGTGTCCTACCTCATTGGCACCAACCTCTTTGGTGTGTTGGCCAACAAGATGGGTCGGTATGTAGCCTCGGGATCTGGGACGAACAGTAGAAATGTAAGATGGAAGAGCGCCCGTTCCTGATCTTGGAATGATGAACAGCTTCCATACGGTTGAAAGTTTAGGATGAGTACACACCGATAAAAACTTCCCACTGGGAGGATGGGCAGTGAGTGAGTGGTGAGGGTGGTATGGAGAATGGATTGTCCTGAGCTCTGAGCTGATTGTTATAGAAGAGGCAGTGGATACATGAGGGGCACCCCTTACTTTCCATCCATTTGCTGTCCAGTTGAGGAGATAAAATAACCACAACAGAGAACAGCTATGAAAAATGCAGTACTTTGGGAAAGTAGTTTTCAAATTATGTTCTGTGGAATCCTAAGGAGTTCTATAGAGGCACCCCAGAGGCCACTGAGGAGGAAGGGTTGGGGGCCAAGAGCTATGAGTCTCCATTCTGTCCCTTCACTACAATAAGGACAGCTTTAATTTTATCTTTGGAGTTTAGCATCAAGATTTTAGAAGCACTGCCATAGGACATCAGAGAAGGAAAGAAGTTTGGTACTTTCTGTGTTTTTTGAGACAGACCTCAAGGACCAAATAAAATAGGACAGGTAGGAGGCAGTCTGAGCTGGGCAACAGCATGAGTTAAGTTTGAGGGCTACTTCTAAGGAACAAGTGCCTCCTGAGTCAGCTGATTCCTCCTGTAAGGGAAGGAAGAGTGTGTCCCACGGCACCTCCTCTGCCTTTCTATAGAAAAAGGGATGGAGCCAGGGGAGACAAGGAAAGGGCAGGGAGAGAGCTCATTTGGGTACAAACTGGTCATGTAGGGATGCTGTCCTCAGGTCCTAAGGGGTTGCTGGGATTAGGGCTGGTGGGACAGGTCAGCATGGCGGTGATGGGGTACAGGTGGAGGGGAGCTCTCCCCTAGTGGTGTTTGATGATGGCTTTTTTCTTCCAGGTGGCTGTGTTCCCTAATCGGGATGCTGGTAGTAGGTACCAGCTTGCTCTGTGTAAGTATAAGAAGACCTGGGGGAGGGGAAGGAGAGAGAGAGCGAGAGACAGACAGACAGAGAGAGAGAGAGAGAGAGAGAGAGAGGGAGAGAGAGAGAGAGAAAGACACAGACATTTAAAGACTAATTTCCTTTAAGATGAGCAGAGATGGCTTGGCAAGGACTGTCAGAAAGACTGTTTCTGAATAGGCAGGAATTTAGCACGGGGGAAGAGGCCACCAGCTGCAGTGGCTTTCCTTTGAGGGGAAGTGGGAAAGGAGAGGAAGAGGGCTGTAGGGCAGCTGGAGCCGGAGGTCTGAGGCTGTACATGTGGGCATATGAAGTGATACATGTTGGTATCCATTTCTGGGGATGGCAAAATGGTGCGTTTTATGACTTCATTTACTCATCCCACCCTGACAGAGCCTCATAAATCCCCAGGGAACCATCATCTATGTCCCAGTCTCTGGCACCAGAGGCTTGATAGAAGAAGAAAGAAAGAAGGACTTTTCCATTTCCAAGAATCCCCCTCAAGTTCTCAAAGCCTTCATTTCCTCCTCTCCCCAGTGGGGATGAGAAACACACAAACCTCCTAGGCCTGAGGGAGAGAAGAACAGGGCTACAAGGCACTGTAAACTGTGCTCAAGACCAGCTGGAGGTCCTGAGCAGGAGCATGGGATCCGGGTTCCATGGCAGGTTTTGCCACTTTCTATGCATGTGACTTTGAGCAGGTTACTTCATCTCCGTGTGCTCAGCATCCTCATCTATGTAGAGAGGGTTCTGATGGTGTCCACAGGGTTGTCAAGGTAATCCAAATAAACCACAGTGTCTGGCACATGGTGAGCCCATAGTGAATCTCAGCCAATACTATTGATAATTTATAAACATTTCTTGAGGCATGAACCCTAAAAATTGTTATCAGCCAGCAGCATCTAAACGGTATGCTAAACCCTTAAGGGGTGAGTGTCCTGGGGTAGCAGGTTTGAATGGCAGGTACCCAGAGAGGGAGGTAAGGAACCTGAAAAAGAGGGAAGAAGGGGTTTTTGTTGGGGGATTGGGAGGGCAATGGGAATGAGTCTCACAAGCTTCCTGACAGGGGACCCAAGCCACACCACCTGCCCCCTCTAGCTTACAGCTAACTGGTTGTTGGGGCCTCTTCTCTATCTTCTTTTTCCAACAGCTACCAAGTTAGAAGTCTAAATGAAACCTTTCAGTGATGTCCATAATGGAAAACAGAGGCAACTTTATTCCATGAAGAATGAGACCAGGAGTGTATGTTTAGGTGAAGAGGGGTAGAGGAAGGGGAGAAAGTATCCATGGAACAGAGGAAGACCCTCGTTAGAGCATAATGGAGCCAAGTCTGAGGTCCAAACTTGATCTTGCCACTCATTAGATCTGTAACTCTGGATAGAGCAATAAATAAACACAACAGCGCTGGTCAAGTTTTCATATCCTTAAAATGGAGGTATAGATTCTTTTCCATGAGAAAGTCTGAGAGTGCAGGAGGATGATGTATGTGGCCAATAGTGCACTCTGAATAAATGCATTTCATGTGAAAACTCTTTGAACCTTGCTCCCACCTGACCCATCTGGAGTCCTGATGACTCTTCCTCCTTCCCCATGCAGGTTCCTCTGGCTCACAATATTTTTGGTCTCATTGGCCCCAATGCAGGGCTTGGCCTTGCCATAGGTAAGAAGTGCCCTCAAAGAAAACAATAAGCCCCTGCATGTTGGCTTTGGGTCTGATGCCTTTCCTCCCCCTTTTCTCATCAGAGGAGGTAGGTGCAGAGGCAGAAGGATCAGGAGGGCAGCTGGCAGGGTTGTGGAGAGATGAGCTCGTAATTCCCACCTGGAACAGGTGTTAGTCCGAGGCAGAAGACAGCAGACAAAGCAAATGGACTAAATGGAGGAGGAGAGGCGGGGTGGTACTAACTGTGGGTGGGGCTGACTGTGTCCTGTTTGCTCTGGCCACAGGCATGGTGGATTCTTCTATGATGCCCATCATGGGGCACCTGGTGGATCTACGCCACACCTCGGTGTATGGGAGTGTCTACGCCATCGCTGATGTGGCTTTTTGCATGGGCTTTGCTATAGGTATGTTGGCAGGACCTGGTGCCCCACTTTCCCCTGTCTACTCTTTACCAGCTGGAAGTGCAGCCAGGAAGCTATCCTCCTAGGGTTCTGGAGATCTTTGACGCTGAGACATCCTCTGGGTCACCCACTGCCCCTAGCATAGTGTCCTACGTGGAGGATGCTCCATATGGAGGCTCCATAGACACTTATGACTTTGATGTATCCCTCCCAGGTCCATCCACCGGTGGTGCCATTGTAAAGGCCATCGGTTTTCCCTGGCTCATGGTCATCACTGGGGTCATCAACATCGTCTATGCTCCACTCTGCTACTACCTGCGGAGCCCCCCGGCAAAGGAAGAGAAGCTTGTAAGGAGCACCGACTGTTAAAAGAGAAATTCACTTCTGTTTCTTTCCATCATCTCTCTCATTCCCTTTCATCCTGGGCTGTTATTTCCTCCCTCTATTGCTCTGTTGATACTCTCTCTGCTTTGCCATGTTTCCCAATCCCCTTTCATCTTCATATTTCTTTTGTGCACTTCCTTAATTTCCCTTCTCTAAGTAACCACTTCCCTCTTTCTGGGGCTATCAGGAAGGGTCTTCAGTAGAGAAGGGAAATGGGGGCAGAGGACCATCAAAGACATCCTGTAGTTACTGTTCTTAGCTTGCTAGTTACTAGCAAGATGTGAGTTACCAAGTTAACTCCCTCATAAGTGGGCAGAATTCCATTGGCACATCCGTTCATCCACTCATTCACTCTAGTGCAACATTATCCTTACCAGGTCACTTTTTTTTTTTTTTTTTGATGGAGTTTCACTCTTGTTGCCCAGGGTGGAGTGTAATAGTGTGATCTCGGCTCACCACAACCTCTGCCTCCCGGGTTCAAGAGATTCTCCTGCCTTGGCATCCCAAGTAGCTGGGATTACAGGCATGTACCACCATGTCTGGCTAATTTTTTGTATTTTTAGTAGAGATGGGGTTTATCCATGTTGGTCAGCAGGTCACGTTTTTAAAAGTACAAAAACCCCAGGGAAGAGATCCATACCATAGGATTTTCTTTAATAAAGCACTTTCCTCTTACTGCAGCACAAACATCCTGAGGGCCTGATGGGTTTGGGATACCGACAGAGGCTGCTCAAGGGAACAAAAGAAGACATGAAGGTGTGATAGGGAGTGGTGGTGATTCCATTTGGCTTCCTGCTGTAACTTTCACTACCACTGTTAAATTCAGTTAAAAGCAAATGAGATACTTGTCCTGACAAGGGTTGATATACTAGGTACCCCGGGAGGCTGGTGCATGTACATGCAGAGGGTCCTATGCATGTTTCTTGAGTACTTAGCAATGCCAGCCTTGGAAGAACTAGTGGGAGGACGGAATGAGGAGATTGGTAAAAAAAAGATGTGCGGTGGTTGGCCGGGCGCGGTGGCTCACGCCTGTAATCCCAGCACTTTAGGAGGCTGAGGCGGGCGCATCACGAGGTCAGGAGATCGAGACCATTCTGGCTAACATGGTGAAACCCCGTCTCTGCTAAAAATACAAAAAATTAGCCTGGCGTGGTGATGGGCGCCTGTAGTTCCAGCTACTCTGGAGGCTGAGGCAGGAGAACGGCATGAACCCGGGAGGCGGAGCTTGCAGTGAGCCGAGATTGCGCCACTGCACTCCAGCCTGGGCAACAGAGCGAGACTCCGTCTCAAAAAAAAAAAAATGATAATAATGTGCAGTGGCTTCTCTTCTTGCCTCTCTCTGCAGGCTATTCTGAGTCAGGACTGCCCCATGGAGACCCGGATGTATGCAACCCAGAAGCCCACGAAGGAATTTCCTCTGGGGGAGGACAGTGATGAGGAGCCTGACCATGAGGAGTAGCAGCAGAAGGTGCTCCTTGAATTCATGATGCCTCAGTGACCACCTCTTTCCCTGGGACCAGATCACCATGGCTGAGCCCACGGCTCAGTGGGCTTCACATACCTCTGCCTGGGAATCTTCTTTCCTCCCCTCCCATGGACACTGTCCCTGATACTCTTCTCACCTGTGTAACTTGTAGCTCTTCCTCTATGCCTTGGTGCCGCAGTGGCCCATCTTTTATGGGAAGACAGAGTGATGCACCTTCCCGCTGCTGTGAGGTTGATTAAACTTGAGCTGTGACGGGTTCTGCAAGGGGTGACTCATTGCATAGAGGTGGTAGTGAGTAATGTGCCCCTGAAACCAGTGGGGTGACTGACAAGCCTCTTTAATCTGTTGCCTGATTTTCTCTGGCATAGTCCCAACAGATCGGAAGAGTGTTACCCTCTTTTCCTCAACGTGTTCTTTCCCGGGTTTTCCCAGCCGAGTTGAGAAAATGTTCTCAGCATTGTCTTGCTGCCAAATGCCAGCTTGAAGAGTTTTGTTTTGTTTTTTTTCATTTATTTTTTTTTTTAATAAAGTGAGTGATTTTTCTGTGGCTAAATCTAGAGCTGCTAAAAGGGCTTTACCCTCAGTGAAAAGTGTCTTCTATTTTCATTATCTTTCAGAAACAGGAGCCCATTTCTCTTCTGCTGGAGTTATTGACATTCTCCTGACCTCCCCTGTGTGTTCCTACCTTTTCTGAACCTCTTAGACTCTTAGAAATAAAAGTAGAAGAAAGACAGAAAAAATAACTGATTAGACCCAAGATTTCATGGGAAGAAGTTAAAAGAAACTGCCTTGAAATCCCTCCTGATTGTAGATTTCCTAACAGGAGGGGTGTAATGTGACATTGTTCATACTTGCTAATAAATACATTATTGCCTAATTCAGACCTGGTAAACTAGATGTTGTTTTATAGCACAAGAGAGTGTATGGGCAAATAGAGCAAATACTATAAATATTATCACACTTTCCTACCTTTTTGAAATACTTATTGGGTGATGGGATTTCAAAGAGGTGGGAGACATGGCATCCCCCTAAGTAGCTCCCCATCTGTTTGGGCAAACAGGGTGTGAACAGTGTAAAACATGATTAATGCTGCAAGTTAGTATACATTCTGTGTTCAAGTATGAACAGGTGGGATGCTCATAGGCTGGGTGGGAAATAATGGCAGAGACAGAGGTAAGAAGCAGGATGGAGAGACCCACACAGACAGGCTTTTGGGATGCCTGAATATCAGATTGGGGTTTTCAGACTTTACCTGGAATGACACCAGGGTCTGATTTTTGCACTGCTCTGTAGGAGTCTGAGGCTCCAACACAAACCCTGAATCAAAGAGCACATTCAAGCTGAACCTTTCAATGAATCTTCACCATGCAAATGATAGATACCTGACTTATGGATATGTTTTTAGGGGGCTGGCATTAACTAGACTACCTGATTTCCAAAACCAGATGTGTTATAATCATCTTTGGTCAGGATGACATCTTTCTCAGACTTTGAAGGAGCTCAAAGGTGAAATTATAAAATTGTTTGTCAAAATATATAAACTGTAAGTACACATGCAGAGTGAATGAATGACCATTGGGATACCTTACACAGGTGGCAGTGGGGTGGGGCGGGATGTGGAGCTCTGGCAATGACAGCCTGCTGACTCTGACATCCACCTGGGGCAGGGCTTATAATAAAGACTGGGCTTGCTACAGAAATGAACACATTTAAAAAATGGGAACAATTTTTTGTCAGAGAAACTGATTCCTGGCTTGCCAGCTAACATTGTTTGAACAATATGCAAAGATGTGGATAAAGGGAAGCCAGTGGACACAATTTGAGACTTTTAAAACAATTCTTGTCAAGGGTTAACACCAGGCCGGGCACAGTGGCTCATGTCTGTAATCCCAGCACTTTGGGAGGCCAAGGCAAGAGGGTCACTCGAGCTCAGGAGTTCAAGACCAGCCCGGGCAGCATGGCGAAACTCCTTCTCTACAAAAAATTTAAAAATTAGCTAGGCATGGTGGTACGTTCCTGTGGTCTCAGCTTCTCAAAGGGCTGAGGCAGGAGAATCACTTGAGCCCGGGAGGTGGAGGCTGCACTGGGCCATGATCGTGCAAATGCACTTCAACCTGGGCAATAGACTGAGACCCTGACTCAAAAAATAAGAAGTCAACACCAAACACTGTAAAGTAAGTCAGGACACTTTTTAAAATTATAGATCAGAGGTAGGTTAAAGATCATATATATAGCGTATATATGGAAGAGTATAAAAAGAAGAATTCCACAAAAATAGGAAATGGAATTAGTCTTTATTAGTGGCCTTATAAAGAAGGCCACTAATATAAAGAAGAGAATGCACGGTAAATTTCCCATATTCACAGGTCAGATGAATTTCTTGTAACAATGAAAATGCCACCCAGCAAGGATGAGCCACAAGAAGTTTTCTATGAAAGTATCATAAAATGGCACTCCACTCCACTGTGGGACAGTTGAAGAGATGCGTTTTTCCCTCATGAAAGGGAGGAGGTGCAGAGACTATAAAAATCTTTGTAGAAAGACGGGCTTTCAACCACCAATTACCATGTAGCAAAGAAGACAGTGCAACTAACGAGCTATGGTGCTCAATAAGCCAGGAAAATGTTGGAGTTTATCAGAGCATTAGAAGCAAACCAGAAGACACATCCTTTCCAAAGTACAAAAGCAGGAAAAGTGTGGCAGTTCCACATTAGGGTGGGAGCTACAGCACCTTAAATTAAGGAGGTAACTATGGAGGCTGAAGGAATGCAGAGATCACACAGGATGATGAATGGGTGGCAGGAACAGCAGTGTGGCAAGTGACAGGAAAGTTCTTATGGGGAGGGACCCAAATTCAAGGGGATGTTATTAAAGTAGCCTACACCTTTAAGGAGGCCCATTTGTGATGGCCACAGTCTCAGAACACCACTGGAGGAACTCTAAAATCACTAGAGGGCTAACTCTAGGGTGAATATTAGGAAATACTTCCCCGCTACCCACCCACTGTGTTCTTATGTATGGAATTGATTTTTCCAAGATAAAGCCTTAGCTACATAAAATAATTTTTAAAAAAATTTTAGAGACAAGGTCTTGCTCTGTCACCCAGACTGGGGTGCAGTGGTGCAATCATGGCTCACTGCAGCCTCCACCTCCTGGGCTCAAACAATCCTCCCATCTCAGCCTTTTGAGTAGCTGGGACTACAGGTGCATGCCATCACACTCAGTTTATTTATTTTTTAAATTATTTATTATTATTATTATTATTTATTATTATTATTATTATTATTTTGTAGACACAGGGTCTTGCTTTGTTGCCCAGGCTTAAAATAAATTTCCTAGTAACATTGCTCCCTACTCCTGGAGGTAGCTCTGTAATGCTTGTACGAGTCAGTCCTCTGAGGCTTACTTGAAGAAAGGGCGGTGCAGCCCTTCCACACACCTTCCCTGGATGTGTGGTTGATTCTTGGCAAGCTTTGACACCCCAGGGCTGCTGCGTTACACAATTCAGTTCTGCTGAGCTCACCCCTACAATTTCGTGTATGGGACAGGAGAACTTTCTCTGCAACAAGGCAGGAATGGAGCATGGTGGCTTTGGTACAAAGCGCTCTCTGCTGTTTCTGGGAGGTGCTGAAGAGAGAAATGGTCAAGTCACAAGGTGGTTGAGGGAGGACCAAATCAGGAATAAAGAGACATAATCCTGAGGTCCTAGCCTAGCTCTGACATTAACTAGCTGTGTGACCTGGGACAAGTCATTTCACGTCTCTGGGCTTTGGCATCAACTTCTGTAGCTCTGGCTTTCTGTGGCTCCATCTGCCACTGGCTCATTTTGGGGTGGCTTTCTGTGAGCTCAGGGGCAGGACCTGAGCGAGGAGCCAAAGACAAAGCTGAGAGGTCAGACAAAGGTGAGAACCAGCATCACCCCAGAAACACAAACGTCATTTCAGGTTTCATTTGTTGCTTTCAAGAAATTATTAGAAGCAAAGTGTGTTGTGATCCCCTCCCCTCCTCCTTGCCCTCCTTGTTGTCCTCCTTCTCCTTATCTTCTTCCTCCTCCTCTCCTCGCTCCTCTCCTCCCCTGCTGTCCCTTCTCCCCCTCCCCCCTCCTCCTCCTCCCCCTCTTCTTCCTCCTCCTCCTCCCCCCCTTGTCCTCCTCTCCTCCTCCCTGCTTCTTCTTCCCCTTTTTTCTTTCTTCTTCTGGAGAATGATGAGTACAGTGTTAGCAGAGGCATGAGCGTGGTCAAGGTCTTTTAGGATTTGTCATCCAAATCGAGTCATTATGTGGTCTCTGGAAATCATAAGGGAGAAGAGTGCAGTTTGGGGATCATACATTGCTTGTTTTGGCTATTGACCCCAGGTCAGTAATTGACAATTTTTCTTCTTTTCTTTTTCCTTTCCTTTCCTCTCCTCTCCTCTCCTCTCCTCTCCTCTCCTTTCCTTTCCTTTCCTTCTTTTTTTTTTTTTTTTGAGACAGTGTCTTGCTGTGTTGCCCAGGCTGGGGTGCAGTAGTACGATCTCGGCTCACTGCAACCTCTGCCTCTCAGGTTCAAGCAATTCTCCTGCATCAGTGTCCCAAGGGGTAGCTGGGATTACAGGCATGTGCCACCACGCCCGGCTGATTTTTTGTATTTTTAAGAGAGACAGGGTTTCACCATATTGGCCAGGCTGGTCTCAAACACCTGAGCTCAGTCAATCCACCGGCCTTGGCCTCCCAAAGCGCTGGGATTACAGGCGTGAGCCACTGCACCCAGCCAGCAATTATACCTATTAGGTAGAATTAGGGTGTGCTGAGGGGCAGCCGACCATGGTGCAGGTCACAACAGGTTGCTGAGCAAATCGTCACAGGAAAGCAGGAAGTTTTGTGTGTTCAGGTGTGACTCAACGTGCAGGTGGCCTGGTGCTCAAAGTAGGTCTGCCATGATATTCATGGAATGACAGGGAGCGGGTGGGGGAGCAGTGTTACAGTGTTGCAAACCAAAGCCCTCTGGGGAATCTCCACAACATAGAAACAATGTGACAGTGAAAACTTTGTTATTTGTAACGTGAGAATAACAATGACACAGTTGTAACAGGAGTGTAATTAAGATGAATGAGGTAATAAGAAGTAGACAAAGAACACACTTTATCAACCATAAACCCCTATTTAAGGCCAGATGCAGTGGCTCACATCTGTAATCCCAGCACTTTGGGAGGCTGAGGAGGGCGGATCATCTGAGGTCAGGAGTTCGAGACCAACCTGGCCAACATGGAAGAAACCCCATCTCTACTAAAAATACAAAAAAATTACCTGACTTTGGTGGCACACATCAGTAATCCCAGCTACTCAGGAGGTTGAGGCAGGAGAATCACTTGAACCTGGGAGGTGGAGGTTGCAGGGAGCCAAGATCACACCACTGAACTCCAGCCTTGGTGACAGAGTGAGACTGTCTCAAAAAAAACAGAAACAAAAACAAAAACAAAAACCCCACAAAACTTGTTTAAGTGCTACTTTCTATTATCAGTGAGTTCAATTCTCTTATCCTACAGAAGAGGAAACTGATGAGATGGGTCTCACTATGTTGCCCAGGCTGGCGTTGATCTCCTGGGCTCAAGAGATCCTCCCATCTTGGCCTCCCAAAGTAATGGGATTACAGGAATGATCCACTGCCACCAGCCAAAATCCATTTTTTTTGGTAACAGCTTTATTGAGATACAATTCACATGCCATACCGTTCATCCATTTAAAGTATACTATTCAGTGGCTTTAAGTATATTCACAGGACTGTGCAGCCATCACCACCATAAATTTTATATTTTCATCAGCCCAGAAAGAAATTCTGTGCCCATTAATCATCCCTGAATTTTCTTTCAACAACACCCTCCAGTCCCAGGAAACCACTAATCTTTCTTTCTCTATAGATCTGCCTATTCCAGACACTTGACATAAATGGAATCATACAATATGTGGTCTTTTGAGACTGGCTTGTTTCACTAAGCATGTTTTCAAGATTTATCAGTATACTATCACATCTGGGATTAAGTAAAAATTAAAAAAAAATTAAAGGTTCATCTATATTGTGGTATGTATCACTACCTCTTTTCTTTTTATTATTAAACGATGTCCCATTATATGAATATATTACACCTTATTTATTCATCTTATTTCATTCATCAGCTCATGGGCATTTGCGTCATGTTCACCTTTCAGCTGTTGTGAATAATGCTGCTCTAAACATTTATGTATAAGTTGTTGTGTGGGCATATGTTCTCATTTCTCCTGGGTATATACCTAGGAGTAAAATTGTTCGGTCCTGTGATAACTTGATGTTAAAACTCTGAGGAACTGCCAGACTGTTTTCCAAAGTAGCTTTCATATTTCCACAGTCAGTGGATTTCATATTTCCACAGTCGGTGGATGAAGGTTCCAATTTCTCCACATCCTTGCCAACATTTGTTATTGTCTGTCTTTTTAATTATATCCATCCTAGGGGGTGTGAAATGGTCGCTTGTGGTTTTGATTTGAATTTTTCTGATGACCAATAATGTTGAGCATCTTTTCATGTACTTATTGACCATGTATACATTTTCTTTGTGGAAATGTCTATTCAGAGCCTTTGTCCATTAAAAAAAAAAAAAATGGTTGTCTTGGCCGGGCTCGGTGGCTCACGCCTGTAATCCCAGCACTTTGGGAGGCCAAGGCAGGTGGATCACGAGGTCAGGAGTTCAAGACCAGCCTGGCCAACGTGGTGAAACCCCCTCTCTACTAGTAATACAAATATTAGCCAGGTGTGGTGGCACGTGCCTGTAGTCCCAGCTACTCGGGAGGCTGAGACAGGAGAATCGCTTGAACCCAGGAGGTGGAGGTTGCAGTGAGCCGAGATTGTGCCACTGCACTCCAGCGTGGGTGACAGAGTGAGACTCCATCTCAAAACAAACAAATAAAAAAATAACAAAGGTTGTCTTTTTATTATTGAATTGTAAGAATTTAAAAATACATATTCTACATACAAATTCCTTATCAGATATGTGGTTTACACATATTTTCTCCCATTCTGTGTGTTGTCTTTTTACTTTCTTGATGGTGACCTTTGGAGCACACACGATTTTAATTTTGATAAAGTCCATGTGTTTATTTTTTCTTATTGCTTATGCTTCTGGCATGACGTCTAACAACCCATTGCCTACCCCATGGTCATGAATATGTACACTTACGCTTTCCTCTAAGAGTTTTTAGGTTTAGCTCTTACATTTTCATATTTGATCCATTTGTATTTATTTTTTATATGGTGGGAGGTAGAGGCCCAATTTCATTCTTTTACGCGTAGATATCCAGTTGTCGCAGAACGACTTAGTGAAAAGACGATTCTTTCCCCATTGCGTTTACTTGCATCCTTTCTGAAAGTCAATTGACTGTAAATGTGAAAATTTATTTCTGGATTCTCAGTTCAGTTCTATTCACCTATCTGTCAGTCTTTCTGCTATTATTTCATGTCTTAATGTAACTTTCTAATAAGTGTTAAAATTACGTCGTTAAAAAGTAATAATGCCTCAAGCATATGACAGAAAACAGCAGGCTTTTGTGTCATCTTTTCCAACTCCTGAATCCTGTCCTCCACTTTCACACTTTTATCTATTTTATTATTTTTACTTTTTTGCATCTACAAAATCTGCTTACTCAGTTCTTTCTTGATTTGCCATTTTTTTTTTTTTTTGACATAACCTACCGTCTTAATTTAATGGTAGATGGAGATTGAATATCTTTACTGGCCTCTTCCTGTCCTTCAACCTTCAAGCTTAATTATTTCATGATTTAGTCACTTAATAGGTATTTGCTCTATAATGACCATATTAGCAATGCTTGTTGCAGAATGTGGTATCTGCAGGGATGGTGTCTGATTTCACTTCCTTGCTCTATATTTTGCTGTTGTTGAAGCTGATGAAGTCTGCTTTGTTGTTTCTGAAGTTCCTTTGTTTACTTCATTTTCCAGATTACTCTCACCCATTGTTCTCAAGTCCACTAACTGATTTATGAAGACCCCTGACTATTTGTTTCTGATCATAGCAGGTCATCTGTCGGTACGTTTTGTTTCCAGCCCTGTGTCCTCTGGATTCATTCTCAGAGCCACCTGCATGGGCTTTGGGCTGGGTTTTCTTGTGTTGCTCTCCTAAACTGGACTCCAGTTTCCTGAATTCACTTTCTTGTTCTTGGTGCATTTTCATCTTCTGTTGGAGTATGTCCTCCAATAATTCCTCAGATAGCTGCAAGGGTGGCATATAATTTGAGACATCAGATGTGTGTGAAAATGTCCTGCTTGATTGATAATTGCCTGGGTGCAGAATTCTGAGCTGAATATTATTTTCCCTCATATTTCCAATGCTGTTCTTTCATCTAGTCTCAGCATTGCTGTTGAGAAGCCCTGTGCCATTTGATTCTCCGTGTTTTGAATGAGATCTGTGGTTGCTTTTAGCTACTGGGATCTTATTCCAGGTCTTTAGAAATTTCACAATAATGAGTATTTGTTGGGGTCTTTTTTATTCACTGTGCTGCACACCCAGTGGGGCCTCTCAATCTGGAAACTCATATTGTCTGTTCTGGGAATTTTATTGTGCTATATCTTTGATTGTGCTATATCTTTGCTTTCTTTCAGAAATCCTATTGGTTGGATGTTGGATTGATTAATCTTCCCTTTTCCTCCTATTCTATCATTTTAACTTATTTTATTCCACTCTCTAAGAGACTGTCTCAGTTCTACATTCAGCTGTTCTTCAGAATTTTTTTTCATCTATCATAATTTAATTTACAACAGCTCTCTGAGTTTTCTCATGGCCTCCTAATCTCATTTTATGGTTGAGATATTTTTTCTCTCTCTGAGGGCGGGTCAAGCTATTTTTTCTCCCTGCATTTATGTTTCCTCAGTTCCAATCTTTTTTTCTTTTTTTTTTTTTTTTTGAGATGGAGTCTCGCTCTGTCGCCCAGGCTGGAGTGCAGTGGCGTGATCTCAGCTCACTGCAACCTCTGCCTCCAGATTCAAGGAATTCTCTGCCTCACCTCCCGAGTGGCTCGGATTACAGTTGCCTGCCACCAGGCCTGGCTAATTTTTGCATTTTTTTTTTAGTAGACACGGGGTTTCATCATGTTGGCCAGGCTGTTCCTGAACTCCTAACCTCATGACCCACCCGCCTTGGCCTCCCAAAGTGCTGGGATTAGAGGCATGAGCCACTGCGTCCAGCCCTCAGTTCCAATCTTTGCTTGTTTTGAGCTGTTTCACTATGGAGACTTTCTTCAAATATCTTGCGTGCATTGTAAGGCTTCTGGAAGTCTACATGAAAGACTGGGGCTTGTGAACTCTTAGGGTGACTGGTAGGTGTTGGCTCTTTTATTGGAGAACTCCCCGATATCAGTGTCTGTAGGACTTCTCTCGTAATTCCTCCAGTGGAGACTTCCTCGTGGTGGTGAGGATGGGTAGAGTCAACCTTCTTGGAACAAAGTGACTAATGGGGGCTCAGGGTGGGGAGCAGACTCTCAGCCAGGTCACTCTCATGGTGTTAAGTGTGGCCCCGCTCCCCTGCCTCCGTGGCGAGTCCTCACTTTGTACCCTCTGGGCTTTAAGTTTTCCACATAATAAATCTTTCCACCTGGGTGGTGATGGGGCTATTGGCTACCTTCAGGGCATGGTGGATGGGACTGAGGTGTCCTTCCTTTCACTTTTTCTTTTTTCTCATGAATCTGCCTTTTTTTTCCCCCAGCCCCATATCTTACATCACCTTCAATTCCTATGTCTTGCGTTCTGTGGCACAAGTTGACTATTATTATTGGCATCTCCTTGTGTGTAATTTGGTATTCAGTCAGCTTACTTTTGCTAATGTTCTTATCAGTTTTCACCCAACATTTTCATTCCAACAATGTCTAAAAAGCATTTCGATCTTTCACGGGCTATTGTTTACTTCCCCAAGTTATTTCCTTTTAAACCTTTTCATATAGTAGTTACCAGAGCTTACAAGAGTCTTTATTCAAATCTTTCCAGCTCATTTAAAGGAAAATGGGGGGGAAATTCCTCACAGTTTTAATTTGCTCATAAGGACATTGGAAGGAACCAGTTTTGAGCTCCTTCACTGCAGAAGAGAGTTTGGCCTATGGGCCTGTGGGCCTGTGCTTGTCATGCTTGCAAGAAGAGGCTAGAGTTAAGGGCTGTCTTTCTGTAACTGGCATGACAACTCTTCTTAGCGAGTAGCTGGGGCGGAGCCCTGGCCGAACTGCTTGTGGCATGCATAGTATGCTTGCCATACAAAGGTGTGGGAGCTGATGTGGGAATTCCCACTCTTGTTGACGCTCCACACCTGAAGCACTTTCCAGAAATTATGGTAGCGAACCCTACTCACCCCTCAACTCAACTCTGGCTGTCTCTCAGTCCATCCTGGTCTCCAGCCCCTGCCACTTTGAGCCAAGGGGTTTCTTTTGGAAATCACATCCACCCACTCACTGCTCACAGGCTTTGCCTTCACCTGGGTTGAATCACAGATTAGTTCGCCTTCACTCTATCTGCTCACAGCTGTGGCGGCAGAAATTCTTCATAATCAGCATGTTCATGTCTCCTCCCATAATTTTCAGAACCAATACAGGTTGTGGAATGAGCAGGTAGAAGAGATGTGGCCGTCTTTAGAAAGCTGAGATAACTATTCTGACTCAAGTTATAGGATCTCCCCCACTTCACCACTGTTTTCAGTCTTTTTCTTGGGCCAGGCATGATGGCTCATGTCTGTAATCCCAGCACTTTGGGAGGCTGAGGCAGGTGGATCACCTGAGGTCAGGAGTTGGAGATAGACCTGGCCAACATGGTGAAACCCCGTCTCCACTAAAAATACAAAAATTAGCTGGGCATGGTGGTGCATGCCTGTAGTCCCAGCTACTCAGGAGACTGAGGCAGGATAATCGCTTGAACTCAGGGGGCAGAGGTTGCAGTGAGCCAAGATTGTGTCACTACCTCCAGCATCTCAAAAAAAAAAAAGTCTTTTTCTTTTTTTTTCTGCTTCTCCTTTTCCTCCTCCTCCTTCTTCTTCCTCCTCTCCCCTCTTTTTAAAGGTTGTGTATGTAAAGTGCATAAATTTTAAGTGTGTGCTTGATAAATTTATGTGTTTGGGTAACTACCACTCAGAACAAAATATAGAGCACTCTCAGCACTCCAGAAGCCTCCTTCCATCCCTTCTCTGTCAATACTTACCACCTCCAGAGGGAACCTCTGTTCTGACTTCTCTCCCCATCAATTACTTTTGCCTATTCCTGACCTTAATAAATGCTTCTCCCCTTACTCGGGTCTCTCCTCATTTTTCTCATTAGGATTGTATAATTTTCTCTACCTGAATTTCTTGAAGGGGAGTCTGTGACATGTTGGTCCTCTTAAATGCATCGTTTCACTTCATCCCCCTGGGGTGGGCATTGTGGTCCCCATTTTACAGATGAGAACAGCCCGCGAGGTTAAATAATCAGCTTGAGGTCACTTAGTCACTTACACTTACACAACAAGCAGCAGAGCCCAGATTTGACTCAGGTGGGTCTGACTCCACAGTCTGAGGCCTTTCCTTAACAAATCAATCTTTTAACACCTTTTGCTCATGAACAAAATTTAACACAAGGCTTTTTTTTTTTTTTTTTTTTTTTTTTTGCAACAGTGAATTTTATTACTAATGTTTGATTGGGCTGTAGAAACTTTTCTGCATATTTTAAGAAATGTGCTATGTTACCTTCACCTTCTTCCACCTTGATTCTCCTTCCTCCTGAGCCACCTACCAAATTCTGTCTCAACTCTCAAAATGAAATTGGCCTCTGATTTCTAGTATTTGTGACTGACTTGAAAAACCACAAGTAAAGACCAATTCCCAGTATTTCCAGAAGAGGGCGGTAGAGCCCACACTAAATTGCTCAGACACCGAACTAGTAGATTGGATCGGCCTGGACCAAATTCTGAGACTTGAGACTTGATGTACTTTACTTTCTATTAAACAAAGTAATAGGGCCTTACACACACTGGCTTTGGCTTACACATTTTAAGTAAAGTTTATGATATAGTTAGGCTCTGTGTCCCCATCCAAATTTTATCTTGAATTGGAATTCCCAAGTTTTGAGGGAGGAACCTGGTGGGAGGTGATTGGATCATGAGGGCAGTTTCCCCCATGCTGTTCTCGTGATTTGAAGGAGTTCTCATGAGACCTGATGGTTTTATAAAAGTGTTTGGCAAGTTCCTCCTTCGCTCCCTTTTCTCTCTCCTGCCGCTGTGTGAAGAGGATCCTTGCTTCCCCTTCGTCTTATGCCATAACTGTAAGTTTCCTGAGGCCTTCCCAGCCATGCAGAACTCTGAGTCAATTAAACCTCTTCTCTTTATAAATCGCCCAGTCTTTGGTATGTCTTTACAGCAGTGTGGAAAGGAACTCATACAGTTTATTTGCTGTATTCCCTTCTCCCTTCCCTGCTTTTCCCTTGTCCACATCCTTGTCTTCCTTTCCAACTCCAGGCTTCCTGAGACAAAGGTAGTTTCCTTTCACTCTGTCTTGCCTCTGAACTTCTCCTAGCTCTCATAATAAGTGGGTGAAAATTCTGTTTTCTTCAGGCTCTGTTTTTTTTCCCTAAGAATAATCCTAAAAAGTAGCTTACTGGATGTGTCAATGACTTACCTCAAAGTGACGACATTCTAATGGCTGACTTCAGTGCAACAAGCATTGCCTACCATGTGGCTGATACTAATCAGATCTATATGGGATTCTGTAAAGAAAAAAAAAATTAAAAATAATAATAAGCACTTACTGTGTGGTATGATGTGCTTCTTCTAGCTACTCAGGAGGCTGAGGCAAGATGATCACTCAAGCCCAGGAGTTAGAGGCTACAGTGAACTATGATGGTAGTATTGCACTCCAACCTGGCCAATAGAGTGAGACCCTGCCTCCTAAAACAAAAACCAAAAAAACACGCCAGAGTCACTTACCCAGACAGCCATAGCCACTGCCAGTGTCATTCTTACTATTCAGGGTGTAGGAATGGTATCTCCCAAGGCCAGACTGTGGGCTCAAGGGTACTTCTGTGCCACATACGTCTCTTGCCCTCCTCAGAACTTTCCACAATATGTGAGCTGGAAAATCTTGGTTGATTGGAACTTGGAGAGGGAATCCCACTGAGAGTACTCGCTAGCTGTCATTTCCCTAATATGGGTTTAGTGTCTTCATCTATGAAACAGGGAGTTGGTCTTTACCAGCCCAACTATTCTAGGATTCTGCAAATCCTGCTTTTACCTTTTATTAGGGCCTTGGAGAGAAACACCAAGCTGGAATCAGCCAGAGTTCCTTAGGTGGACCAGTGGAATGTTTTACTTACCTGTGACTGGCAAGTCTGTTCACTTCCTGTTTTCTAAGACTTTTGAATATGGATATTTTTTCATGGGACTCCTCAGATCAGTGCTCAGTAGTGAAAGAGAGACAGAGTTTGGGCTGCGGAGATCCCTGGGAAGTTTCCACCACTTCAGATAAAGCTTTAGTTTCCTGATGGCACCAGACTTGGGCCTCTGTCTGACTCTTCAGAAACAAAAGAAGAATTGCAAATAGCATCACTGCAAGGCTGCAGAGAAGGGGAGAACGTGCCTTCTACATTCTTTGAGAGTCAGAAACCAGCAGGGCTTTCCTTGGCATAGGACTGAATTAAAGAAAAAATTCGGGGCCGGGCGCGGCGGCTCATGCCTGTAATCTCAGCACTTTGGGAGGCCGAGGTGGGCAGATCACGAGGTCAGGAGATGGAGACTATCCTGGCTAACACGGTGAAACCCCGTCTGTGCTAAAAAAAAATACAAAAAATTAGCTGGGTGTGGTGGCGGGCGCCTGTAGTCCCAGCTACTCGGGAGGCTGAGGCAGGAGAATGGCGTGAACCCAGGAGGCGGAGCTTACAGTGAGCTGAGATCGCGCCACTGCACTCCAGCCTGGGCGACAGAGCGAGACTCCATCTCAAAAAAAAAAAAAAAAAAAAAAAAAAAAACGAAAAAGAGAAAATTCTGTGTTCAAATGAATGACTTGAGTAGCTCTGTTGATGAAATACAATTACGTCCTGTAAATCCTATGTGAAATGTTATCCTACACTTGATTCAATTCCTTAACATCACTTTCATTCCATTACACAACCTAACTTTTCATCGTTGATCAGACCTGAAATGAGGTTTAATGTTGGGCATGGAAGACCATTGAAAGACGTGAGGGTCAGAGATTAGGCATTAAGAGCACTGGGCACACGTCGTGGGTATTAAACACCTGAAAAATAATTAGTTCTGGCATGTTCATTTTCTAAAATAACCATGTCATACTGGATGGAGGTCTTGCTTCAAAATCAAAGACCTAGTTTGGATTTTGCCTGCCCTAGGAGGCTCTAGGAAGACGTCTTCTCCTCTCTGAATCTTATTTCACGGAGGGTAGTAAGACTTGGGAACTATATTTACCCTTCCTTCCCCAGGGTTGCTGCAAGGATCAGAGGAGGGGAAGTGTGTGCTCGTAATTGTAAAAACCAGACAATATGCCAGTTATGAATGCTAGTCTGCAGGTCACTGTACCCATGGAGTGAGTGGCAAGACAACTATTTTGCTGGTTTTCTGCTTATCCTGGTGTAGAATTCAAATGGAGCCTGAGATGATAGAACAGAGAACATCAGTGTCTGCTGTGGGTCTTAGGCTCTGCCTGTGATGCTTCTTTCTCCTACAAAGGCTACTATAGTTGTAGCTCGAATCCATCAATCAAATGGACCATAGATATTTACAGCCAAGCTATTAAGCCCAGTTTAGATGGGAGGCGTAGACAAGGCACGGCCAGCCCATCCTCCAGAGGCTGGGAGGACCTAGGCAGGCAGTGCAGGAGACGCACAGTATATGGTGGGGACAGGCAAACCCTAGAGGGATTACAGAGAGTGATGATCAGAGTGAGGGGGCAGGGAGGTCTTTATAGACAACTGGGGTCCCAGAAAGTGGGTCCTCAAGGTTGGGAGGGAATCAAATGACTAGATGACAGGTGGAGTCATTCAGAGCGAGGGGCCGCAGTAATCAAAGGCCACGAATTGGGGCAGTGACTGAGGAGCTGGTGCAGGAGGAGGCAGCAAGGCTGGGAGGGTGGGATGGGCTGGATTCTAGAAGCAGATAGCTTTTGGGCCAGGGTCTATGAACTGTCTCCTAAGGCATCAAAACAAAAGGAAAAAAGGCCTGAAAGACTGGCATGGCTGTCACACAGGATGAATGGGGAGCAGGGAGGCCCATGTGGGACCCAGTGGTAATCCTGGCAGGCTTCCTCCCCTTTCAGAGCCCCAGCCATGGGTTCTCAGTGTCTGTCTGCTACAAGGCACCATCAGTTTTTGGGGTTGTAAGCTCTTGTCCATTCCCTTGGTTTCAGCCTCCTACTGTCCCTCACCAGCAAGCCACTCATTGTCCCTGTAGCTGCCCTGTGGCTCTTTCTGTCTTCCTGACAGCCTCACAGAGGGTGGCCCTGGGGCCACGGCTCAGCCCTGGTGGCCTCTGAGCTGTGTCTGTCAGGCAGACACACAGGTACCAGATCGACGGCAGAGCAGGCCAGTTAGTGCCTGGTCCTCCTGCCTGTATGGGACCCGGCCTGCGTTGAACTATGATCTTCAACACTCACAACCACAAGCCACCACCTCAGCCCAGCACCCACTTGTGGCCACAGCGAGCTCTAAAGACTGATTTCGGTGCGTGTGGCCTGTTCACATTCCGGCTGGAGCTATGAGTCCTGGAAAGTCCTCAGCCCACTTCAACTCACCCTGGATCCCAGCCCTGCTCACCCCTTGCCAAGGAATACCCAACCCTTGCTCACCAGGCCATCTGGTATATGCAGAAGAGAACCCAGGCTTCAGGGTCAGAAAACTGAGCTGCGATTTCTTGCTGCTCCACTTATTCTCTCTGTGACTTCAAGAGGGCATCACCCCTGGGCCTCGCTTTGCTACGTGTGTGCAGTAGAAGGTTTGGATGACACCTGTACCAGAGCCCTGGGTCCGAATGGAGTGATGTGTGTGAAGCCACGTTGCATACTCTAGAGTTCTGCGCAAATGGCATGTCCCAGGCTCTCAAGAACTTTGGGAAGATTGACTTCCTTCCCAGAACATCTTTGTGAATTGAGCTGGGACTTCTGGAGGCAGGATTGTAGCCCAGAGGCGTGATGGCTGCTGGGAAGGAGAACAGAGTGAAGAGAATATCGGCTTCTCGGTATCACTGGTGTTGATAGATCCAAGGTTTGCTTTAGGATGCCAGGACTGCAGGAGGTAAAGGGACATGTTCACTACAAACCCCTCAATTAGTCACAACAAGTCCCGCTTGCAGAGGGAAACGGCACAGCCTGACCCATCTGATTAGCATGTGTTGATATGGGCCAAGGTATGAGATTAACATTTTATCTGCAAAGCTTCTGTGACCTCCTGCTTGCAGTTGTGAAGTCAGGACTCAACTCACAGTGTCTTGCTCAAGGTCCACATAAACATATTATGCTCACATTTGGGCATGGCCCTGCTTGGCAGAGCTGAAGCTGCGTACGTGAGGCATATGTATGTATGATCCAGCTGCTGTCTGATGCTTGCAGAATTGGTAAAGAGGTTGCCGAGATAGAAGAGCCAGCATCTGTTCTCACCTGTCTAAAAGTCCACTTGAGATCAGATTGTAGCAAGTGAAATGTTTGGACAATGATTCGGATAGCTTTCTTTGTAGCCTGGGGCAAGTCACTTAACCTCTCTAGACATGTTTTTCCATTCCTCATAGAAGAACAGGAAATTCTACTTTCAAAGGGAATCATGGCCTCTTAGCTCTGGAAGAAAACTGAGCGGGGTATGTTAGGCCAACCTTCTTTGGTCCCAAACCTCCCTTCTACCACAGCCTGGAAAAAAGGGCCTATCCTATCACTTTTACTTACATACCTCCTCCCACAGGGACCTCACTACCTCTCCTGAAGCCCATTCTTATGTGAGAAAGCTCTGATAGTTAACAAGCTACTTCTCATTTTCAGAAGAAGGTTTGGTAGCCAGGTTGATCAGGGAATGTTCAGCACTGGTTTGGGGAGTCGAGACGCCCCTGAGCTGGCCTGCCTCTCAGCAGTCAGGGCCATACTACTGCCAAGGGGGGTGATACAGTAGCAGCAACCGCTGCTCTCACTGGTTCTGTTGTCTGCCTGGACCAGCTGCCCTCATCTCTCATCCTCCACACCCCAGCTTACACTGTTTCTGCAGACTGAAATGAGTTTCCCTTACACTAGACAGAAAGCTTGCTATCTTTCTTCAAGATCTAGCTTAAATGCGTCATCTTCCATGAAGTCTTCCTAGATTTATCCAGGCCACACAATTCCTCGCCTGCATCCCCAGAACACTGAGCTCTTGCCTCTGTTATAGCAGGAGAACATAACATAGCAGTTGTATTGTTACAAATCATCCCTCAGTACATTCTCTGCTCTTCCAGGCTAATTACTGGGTCTCATATCCATGCTGGCATCCTCAGTATCTGTTGCAGGCCACAGCATATAGTGTGAATTCAATATTTGTGCTGACCCATCTAGACATAGACATAAATAAAAGTATATACATACATATTTTACTTCCTCCCTTCCTTCCCTCCCTCCCTCTCTCCCTCCCTCCATCCCTCTTTTCCCTCCCTTCCTCCCTCCCCTCTCCTCCCCTCCCCTCCTCTCCCTTCCTCCCTCCCTCCCTTCCTTCTCTCTCTTTTCTCTTTTCTTTCTCTCTCTTTCTCATTTTATTTTTTTCCTGCTACAAGCTCTTGCATGTGGAAGACAGAGTGAAATGCCCTTGGAATAACTGTAGTTTGTAGGAGAAGGGTCGTTGTCTACTGGAGGTTCAGAATTTCTCATAAAACACTTTAAAATGATGTGTGTTGGATGCGTTTAAAAGTAGCACAGTTAGTGCATTTATACTAAGCATATCAATGTACTGAGTAAAAGCAAATTAGAAAATTTAATTTGCTAAAAAGAACATCTGGATATCTAAGTAAAAGAGGTAAGGCTGTTATTTGACTCTGACCTGCATTCTTACTTCCATCGTCCTGCCCCAGTCAATAAACTCTTTTGGCCGGGTGCGGTAGCTCACACCTGAAATCCCAACACTTTGGGAGGCTGAGGCAGGTGGATCACCCGAGGTCAGAAGTTCAAGACCAGCCTGACCGACATGGTGAAACTCCGTCTCTACTAAAAATACTCAAAAATTAGCCAGGCATGGTGGCAGGCACCGGTACTCCCAGCTACTTGGGGGGCTGAGGCAGGAGAATCGCTTGAACCTGGGAGGCAGAGGTTGCATTGAGCCGAGATCGTACCGTTGCACTCCAGCCTGGGCGACAAGAGCAAAAATCCACCTCAAAAAAATTTAAATTTAAAAATAAATAAAAACCCTATTGATTTCTAGCATCTGCAGGACTTTCCACTGAGAATGAATGATGGATGCCCTAAACTGTATAATACCCAGAGGTGTCTGCCCAGGTAGGATTTTTGAGGTGAGCCAGAGAGGGCTGCCTTTGAAACCCTTCACCCACAGCCCCGCCTTTGCACCTCTGGACCCAGAGGCATGTGAGGCTTGGTCTTTGAGGAATAGCTTGTAGTTTCGAGGCCCTAAGGGCCCCTATACTTCATCACCTTTAGCTCCCTTCCTGTTCCTGGAAGCCCGGGGTGTGCTGTGGTGACACAGCCAGCGGGCGCCCCGTCCTCTCCACAGTCCTGGGCCCCGAGGGCTGAGTGCTCCTCCTGCTCCTAAGAAGACTTCAATGCAGCTTTCACCCTTCCCAGATGGTGTGGATCTTGAACTTTTCTAGAGCTTCGGGTAGGGGAATTTCATTAGTCTCTACATATGGGAACCTGATGGGCAGAAACTGCCACCATGGTTCATTTAACAGTGACATCTGAAATAAGTTCTCTGCGTCCTTTAACATTGACATGTGGAATAAGTTCTCTGCATCTCTTTTGTTTCAGGATTGTTATATGATCCATAGCGTGTCTCTCAGGGCTCTCTCTCATGCATGCTGGAGCCTCAGGTGTGGGGAAGCATACACGTGACAGGTTATCCTCTCTGTCACCCTGCCCATATTAGCTGTGGCTGCTCTCTGGGTCTGGTTAAGATCTTTGGTTGGTCTAGGTCAGAGATGCTCACCCAGGCCCCCAGAGCTCTAGACTGTCCCTGGAGATAGGTGGGCAGAGTTTGGGGTTACCCCGCTTCACATGTTCACCTAAAATGTTGTTTAAAGGAATGATTATGCTGCTTGAAGAACAAAGACAAAACACTGGGAACCACTGCCGCAGAGGGTCTCTGGGGTCCTCCACATTTCCAGCAGCCAAAGCCTCCTTCACTCTCAGTCAGTGAAGCCCCAGGGTAATAATTATTTTCATTTGTTTCACTTGTTGGACACCCAGCAAATGCATCCAGCAAGACTGCATTTGAACCAAGTTTTCTGAGGATAAAAATCATTAAAAAACATTTAAAGCTCACATTTAACACAGCTCTCAGCCCCCTTGGGAACCATTTCTGTATGTAGTTATGCATCTCTGTTCTTTTCATACAGTTCCCTCCCTCCTGGAAGCCAAGTAGTAAAACAGTCCATAATTAGTGGGTGGAGGAGCTTCTAGTTGGAGACAAGGCGTGTGTATTAGTCCGTTTTCTGCTGCTTATAGCAGAATGCCTGAAAGTGGGTTGTTTATAAGGAATTTATTTCTTACAGCTCTGGAGGCCGAGAAATCCAAGGTGCTGCATCTGGTGAGAGGCTTCTTGGTGGTGGGGACTAAACAGTGTCCTGCGGTGGTGTAGGGTGTCACATGGAGAGGGACTGAGTGTGCTAATGTGCCAGCTCAGGTCTTAGTTCGTCTTTATACCACACTGATCCCTTAACCCATTAGTTCATGAATGGATTAATCTACTCCTGAGGGCAGAGCTTTCATGATCCCACTACCTCTGAAAGGACACTGCCACACTAGTGATGAAGTTTTGATGTGAGTTCGGGAGGGGACATTGAAACCACAGCACCATCCAGTCAATGCTGTTCTTAATTCATCTCTGGGCTAAGGAAGCCTCCCCGCTGGGAACCTGTCTCTAATGTCTCCAGGCAGAGCTAGTGATATGGTTTGGCTCTGCGTTCATGTTCAGTTGTAATCCCCCGTGTTGGAGGTGGGTCCTGGTGGGAGGTGGTTGGATCACTGGAGTGGTTAGCATCATCCTCCTTCGTCACCATAGTGAGTGGGTTCTCATGAGACCTTTCATCCTGCTCTGGACATGTGAGATGTGCCTGCTTCCTCTTTGCCTTCTGCCATGACTGTGTTTCCTGAGGCCTCCTTAGAGGCAGAAGCCACTGTGCTTTCTGTCCAGCCTGCAGAACATGAGCCAATTAAACCTCTTTTCTTATAAATTACCCAGTCTTGGATATTTCTTTTTCTTTCTTCCTTTTTTTTTTTTTTTGTTTTGAGACAGAGTCTCACTCTGTTGCTTAGTCTGGAGTGCAGTGGCACAATCTCAACTCACTGCAACCTCTGCCTCCAAGGTTCAAGCGATTCTTCTGCCTCAGCCCCCTGAGTGGCTGGGATTACAGAGGTGTGCCACCACACCCAGCTAATTTTTGTATTTTAAGTAGAGACAGCGTTTCACCATGCTGGCTAGGCTGGTCTCGAACTCCTGACCTCGAGTGATCCCCCCGCCTCAGCCTCCCAAAGTGCTGAGATTACAGGCATGAGCCACTGCACCCAGCCTCAGATATTTCTTTATAGCAGTGAGAGAACTAATACAGATAGTGCTTTTCCCTCAGTGCTCCCACAGTGTCTCTGCCTTATATAAGGTGCACGATGCCAAAGGCTGTTTCCAAGTCCGTTTCCCTTGAAAGAGTGAGAGCTCCACGAGGGAGGGAACATACTATTCATTCTTTACTCTGGCACTTGGAATGTGGCAATCAGTGATGGTGGAATGACAGTTCAACAGAAATGTCCCCAGCCCAATCCCCACAACTTGTGAATATGATCCCTATGTGGCAAAAGCGCGTTGCAGATGTGATTCAGGTTAAGAATCTTGAGATAAGAAGGTGATCTTGAGGTACTCCTGCAGGTCCAATCTAATCAAACGAATCCTTCAAAGAGGAGAAGCTTCCCCAGCTGAGGTCGTGGTCAGGGGACAACACGACAGCTGAAGAAGGGCCAGGAAGATCTGCCGTTTTGCTGACTTTGAAGGTGAAGAAAGGAGCCATGAGCCAAGGCACGCAGTGACCTCTGGGAGCTGGAAAGGCAAGTAAATGAGCTCCCCCCAGAGCCCCCGCTTTCAGAAGGAACACATCCCTGCCAGCCCCTCGATTTCAGCCCAGTAAGACTGGTTTTGGGCTTCTAATCTACAGAACAGTAAGATCATAATTATGTGTTGCCTTCGGCTACTATGTTTGTCATAATTTGTTACAGTAGTGAGAGAAAACTAACACAGGTACAAAAATAGAGAAAATCCAATAACTGGATAAGAGGAAGAGAATTAGGAAAGATTCTTAGGCCAGGCACGGTGGCTCATGTCTGTAGTCTGAGCACTTTGAGAGACCAAGACTGGAGGATTGCTTCGACCCAGGAGTTTGAGACCACACTGGGCAACACAGTGAGACCCTGTCTCTACAAAATATTTTAAAAATTAGCCAGGTTTGGTGGTATGTGCCTACAGTTCCAGCTACTCAGGAGGCTGAGGTGGGAGGATCGCTTGAGCCTGGGAGGTTGAGGCTGATTGCACCACTGTACTCCAGCCTGAATGACAGAGGGAGACCCTGTCTCAGAATAATAATAATAATAATAATAAGATTCTTTTCTCATTTTATGTAGATCCACCAGGAGGAGCCCTTATCACACTATTGAAATCTGACTCCTCAGAGGCATCTAGGTTTTTAAGTATAGGGAGTTTTCTACAAGCATGCAAAACTTACTTTACAAAAAGGCTCAAGGAAAAATTGTGAAATGTTGTATTTCTGGTCAATTTTCTGCCCCCTTTCAGTTTGGAATGCACAGGCCACCCGGAGCCCGATGCAACCCTCGCACTGCCGGAACTGTGTTCTGCTCACCGGGGCTTCTCACCTCTCCTGGGGTTCCCAAGGCAGCTTTCTGGTTCTAAGCTACCAGCCTGCTTCTGTCCAATGAAACTGACCCGGTCCTTCATTGAACTCTGGCTGGTGACCCAGTAAACTACCTTCTATCTGTGCCCCTGTCTCTCTCCCTCCCTCCTTCCTGAAAGTCATTGAAAGAATGATTGCAACTCAGTAGCTCACTCACTCATTCATTTATTTCTACGGTCATCATGATTATTCATTACGCACCTATGATGTTTCAGTTACTTTACTAGAAAAACAAAGTCGGATAAAACCTGGCTATGCCTGCCCAGCAACCCCATATAATAGAGGGGCTTTGGGAGGTGGGAGGACTTAAGTATGGTGGGGGCACAAAGCGACCTACTCAGCCTTCAGCCATTCTTAGGGGAAGGGGCTGAGGGTAGAAGGGAGAAACTTGTCCAGAGGAGGTGACATTTGAGCTAGACCTTGAAGCATAGACAAGAGTAGCTTTTTCTAAATGGGAGTTGAGCAGTAAAGACAGGGAGGAATGGTGGGTGTATTGAGGGAAGATAATGGCAGTGGCAGCTGTAGGCAGGTCTGGCAAAGCACAGTCGGATTCCTGTAAAAAGAGGCTTACAGGCCGGGCGCGGTGGCTCACGCCTGTAATCCCAGCACTTTGGGAGGCCGAGGCGGGCGGATCACGAGGTCAGGAGATCGAGACCATCCCGGCTAAAACGGTGAAACCCCGTCTCTACTAAAAATACAAAAAATTAGCCGGGCGTAGTGGCGGGCGCCTGTAGTCCCAGCTACTTGGGAGGCTGAGGCAGGAGAATGGCGTGAACCCGGGAGGCGGAGCTTGCAGTGAGCCGAGATCCCGCCACTGCACTCCAGCCTGGGCGACAGAGCGAGACTCCGTCTCAAAAAAAAAAAAAAAAAAAAAAAAGAGGCTTACACACTAGCCAGGAAGCATTCAGACCTGAACTTACAGTAAGTAAGGAGGAGTCAGACAGACTTGCATTTATGTCTTAACGTGGCTGTATTTGCTGTATTTGTTCTTCTAAAACATCTCTTTGACAGCCATGTGGAGGTTGGGGAAATATTGTGAGCAGGAAGACCAGCTAGGAGCCTTCTACTTAAAAGTGACCTAAAAGGGGGCATGAGCAGATCTAATGGAGGCGGCAGGATGAATTTTAAAAGGCAGAATTTATAAGACTTTGTGGCTGGGCTCAGTGGCTCATGCCTGTAATCCCAGCACTTTGGGAGGCCAAGATGGGTGAATCACTTGAGGTCAGGAGTTCCAGACCAGCCTGACTCACATGGGGAAACCCCATCTCTACTAAAAATACAAAAATTAGCTAAGCGTAGTGGCGGGTTCCTGTAGTCCCAGCTACTTGGGAGGCTGAGGCACGAGAATCGCTTGAACCCTGGAGGTGGAGGTTGCAGTGAGCCAAGATCATGCCACTGCACTCCAGCCTGGGCAACAGAGTGAGACTCTGTCTCAAAAACAAAAACAAAAACAAAAAAAGACTTTGTAGGAATGAATGTGGAGAGTGAGGAAAAGAGGAATAGAAGGAGGTGTCAAAGCATAGAGATTCATTCCTCTACCTTGGGTGATGGTTTCTAAAGAGAGATCTTTGGCTGAGAGGGAGGTAAAGAGGGAGAAACAGAAGAAGGGATGGATTGCAAATTGGAGATCAGTCTAGCATGCAGGTAAAGAAGATGGGGAATCATCAAAATGCTATAAATAAATAAGAACAAACGAATTTGTCAGAAGGTGAGAAAGAAGACTGTTCAAGGAAATGGTGGCCTGTAGATACTGAATGCCACAGAACAGTTATGTAAGCAGAAGACTGAAAGATACCATTACAGGTGACAATTAGAAGTCACCTACTAGGCACCTTAGGAATACGTTGTTTTAGCAACTCCAGAACTTGTTATAGGAGGATAAGAAAATGCAGTGGTGCTGTGATCCCACTTTTCCAAAGAGTTGGAACATCAAAGGTAAGATTGTAAATATAAATAGAGGGGCAGGCAGAGGTGTGAAAAGTTTTTGGTTTTATTATTGTCATTATTATTTAAGAGACATGGTTGTGCTCTGTTGCCCAGGTTGGAGAGCAGTGGTGCAATCACAGCTCACTGCTGCCTCGAACTCCTGGACTCAGGCGATCTTCCCACCTCAGCCTCCCCAGTAGCTGGGACTACAGGCGCACAAAACCACACCCAGCTAATTTATTTATTTTTATTTATTTTTGTAGAGGTGGGATCTTGCTATGTTTTCCAGGCTAGTCTTGAACTCCTGGGCTCAAGCAATCTTCCTGCCTCAGCCTCCCAAAATTCTGAGATTACAGGCATAAGCCATCATGCCTAGCCAGTTTTATTATTATTATTTATTATTTATTTATGTTTTTTGAGACAGAGTTTCACTCTTGTTGCCTAGCCTGGAATGCAATGGCGGGATCTCGACTCACTGCAACCTCTGCCTCCTGGGTTCAAGCAATTCTCTTGCCTCAGCCTCCCCAGTAGGTGGGATTACAGGCATGTGTCACCACGCCCGGCTAATTTTGTATTTTCAGTAGAGATAGGGTTTCTTTATGTTGGACAGGCTGGTCTCGAACGCCTGACCTTAGGAGATCCACCTGCCTCAGCCTCCCAAAGTGCTGGGATTACAGGCATGAGCCACTGCACCCAGCCCAGTTTTATTATTTTTAGAATGGTGAGTGTTGAATGCTTTGTGGACTGAGGAGAAGCAAACAATAAACAGGGTGAGATTGAATACAGGTAAACATATTTACAATTTAAACACCCAAGAGAGTGATTTTGGTCTGAGTTCCAGGCACTGCTGGTGAGCTCCTGAGGGTTACTTTCCAGGTGGCAGCACCCCTGAAATCCCCCAGGTGGGCCACCCCCTCCTTCCCCCTGCCTGAACAGACAACTGGGTTCTGTCATGCCTTAGAGGAGGGGGTCGTGTGAGGCTTTGATTTCTGGGAAAGCCTACAAGGAGAAGTCAGACAGACCTGTATACCAACCTCAGTCCTGCAAATAGTCACTGTAGGCAAGATGACCTCTGAGCCTCAGGTTTCCCCTGGAGAAAATGAGGGTAATACAATCTATTATCTATTTTGCCATGAGGCTGGATGACATACGTATGTAAAGGCCTCCCTGCAATGCTGCCTCTGAAGTAAAGGCCTCCCTGCAATGCTGCCTCTGATGTGGCAAGCAAATTCAAGAGTCCTTATTTTCACACTCATGCCCAAGAGGAGATTCCTGACCAGGAGAGTTCTTTCTTTCCAGAGGTTATGGGCAGCCCTGCATGTGTTTGCTTGGTTTTTTGTTGTTGTTGTTGTTGTTGCTGTTGTTTGTTTGTTTGAGACAGAGTTTTGCTGTTGTCGCCCAGGCTGGAGTGCAGTGGTGTGATCTCAGCTTACTGCAACCTCTGCCTCCCAGGTTCAAGTGATTCTCTTGCCTCAGCCTCTCGAGTAGCTGGGATTACAGGCACCAGCTACCACGCCCGGCTATTTTTTGTAGTTTTAGTAAAGACGGGGTTTCACCATGTGGGTCAGGCTGGTTTCGAACTCCTGACCTCAGGTGATCTGCCCGCCTTGGCCTCCCAAAGTGCTGGGATTACAGGCGTGAGCCACTGCTCCTGGCACTTGTTTTTGTGTTTCTGTGTGTCTGTGGCTGTCCGCTGTGCTCATCAATATCTGGGCTCCTCCCAGCTGGGACAGGGAGCCTCTGTTTACTGCCCTTTGCCTGATGTTTACTACAATGTTGGACAGTTTGAGCTCTCAAACACCCAGCAGATGAACTCCCTCATTCAACAGATTTAGGAGGGAGCTGGGGAGACCAGACACAATAAAAACAGCATATTTCCCCCTAGAAGATTCCTGGCCAGCCTTCTTTCTTAGAAAGCCCTCCCTGGTGAGTCAGTGCATTGGCCCGCCCTGACCTCCCAGAAGATTGGACAGAAGATTATCTTGGCACAGGCACGGCAGACAATTTCTCTGCCTGCACAGATTTCCTGGTACCCAGCAATATTTGGCTAACCTGAACTTTTATTTTTCTAACTGAAACACCATACTGTTGATTTTAGGAACATTGCTTTTACCTTCTCTAAGAGGACAAGGTCTCTAAATCTTTCCCTATTGAAGAATTTGATTTTGGTTCATCCAGGTCATTGTGGCTAGGGCTAAGGGTGTAGCGAGGTCTGAGCTTCCAAAATGCTGGTTATGCAGGGAGCAGATGGGGAGGGAGATGAGTTAGCAGGGCTCTCTCCTGCTCTGAGAGTCATCTCTGAGCCCCCCAACCCCCATAGCACCTGGCCAGTGGCTTGGACAGAGAAGGTGCTCAGAAAATGTTGGATAAGCAAGTGAATACGTGGGGATATGAATGGATAGATTTGACTTGTTTACTCAAGAGGCAAAGAAGAACATGAAGGAGCAATGGAAATGGGCTTGGAAGGAGTGATACTGGTAGGTCACCATGTTGAGGACAGGACAGGGTGAATACTGGCTGGCATGTGTGTTTCGGTGTTGTTGTATTAGTCCATTCTTGCACTGTTATAAAGAAATACCTGAGACTGGGTAATTTATAAATAAAAGAGGTTGAATTGGCTTACTCTATTGTAGGCTATACAGGAAGCATGGCTGGGGAGGCCTCAGGAAACTTACAATCATGGTGGAAGGTGAAGGGGAAGCAGGCACGTCTTACATGGCCAGAGCAGGGGGAAGAGAGAGAAGGGGGAGGTGCTACACCCTTTTAAACAACCGGATCTCATGAGAACTCACTCACTATCATGAGAACAGGAAAGGGGAAATCTGCCCCCCTGATCCAATCATCTCCCACCAGGGCCCTTCTCCAACTTTGGAGATTACGATTCGACATGAGATTTAGGTGGGGACACAAATCCAAACCATAACAAGTGTATACCTAAAGCTCAGTAGTCTTGAAGCTGGCACATCTAGCCTTGTGAAATTCCACATGCCTGTATCACTCTCACTCCGTGCCCATTGATAGGATATAGGAAAAGTGGATTTTAAAATATTGAGAAAACAATTCCTAGAGAGAGTTCTTGCAGGGCCTATCTCTGCTTGAAGGGGCCAAGTGAGGAATGAGCCCAACACAATCACCGATCAGGCTTGCTCAGGTGGGGCGTGTAAACCCAGCTTTCCAGACTTGGTGTTGAGAACCAAGGCGTCCTGCTGATATTTTCTGTGAATCTATTGAATTGGCCATGGCGGAGGTTAAATAGAGCAAGTATAGTGTTAAAGGAAAAGGCTGTTGTGATTCAGTTCTGGGTTGTGGCTTGTTTTTTTGAGCCACTTCTGGGCTCAGCTTCATAGGTTGGGCTGCATACTTGGTGGCTGGATCAGTGGCGGTCACGGGGAAGCTGTGTCACTCAGCCAAGGACATTGGCTGTGGGTGATCTGTAGCAGGTGGCAGCAACCTGGTTTCAGAGCTTAAGATGATCCTTCAAACTGTCCCCAGCAAGTTCGCTGCACTCCCAGCACCATTAGATAAGGCAGTGTCCTTGATTTCAGGGAACTCACCTCTGATTGTATTCTTCTATAGCCTGGAGTAATTGAGACTTTTCAAAGCAGCCTGGAAAAACCTTACATCCTGGAGGAAAGAACAGGGCCCACTTTCTCTCCTCTTTCCTCCTAGAGTCTTAGGAATATTTAACCTTCAAGTAGGTAGAGATATTACTGGGGCCTCTTCACTCTGACTTTCTCAGCTGCCGATTCATTCTCTTGGTGCAGAAATTCGTTTTTACTATTATGGGTTGCTTTAGTACTAACACATAGCAACTTGCTTTGAGTATGGAAAAATATGCCAATAAATGCATGCAGACATGTCTGAGCACGTAGGGAAAATGTCGGTAGACCCAAAGGCTTTTATCATCACGAGCCATTGGGTCTTGAGGATCCTGAGTTCTCTTCTCCAGAGCCATTACTGAAGTATACTGAATCTCCAGGACAGAAGCTCCATGAGCCTCAATAAGAAAGATCAGGAACTCCCTTTCTTCCCCAGCAATTTGGGGGAGCAGCAGCTTCTCCCATTCAAGAGGCATTTCCTGGAGAGAGGTAGATTGATGGAAAACAGTCAAGTATACACATAAATATGAAACACATTTAGAGCATTTGACCCAATGTCTAGTTCTAGTTCTACAGCAGGGAGAGTAAAGAATTTAGTCAGCCCTCACTGTGGGAGAAGCCCTCATTGATCTAATCAGGGAAAATGGGAGGAGGCCCATTTGTAAGAGACACTAAAGGAGAAGATTAGGAAGTCATCAGGAGGGGTTTCAGTGGACTACGCCTTGGCCTCTGTATAATGAAACCAGTATCCTTAGAGCTTCAGGAGTGAAACTCCCCACAGTTGCAATAGAATAACTTATATTAAGTCCTGCTTTACAGTAAATAACACCTGAGTGAGATTCCAGGGAAGAGGTTTAGAGTTATCATTTAATCAAGCCAAGACTTGTCATTGAAAAATTATGTGTGCAGAGCCCTGTGTTAAATACAGCAAGGAATACAGAAATGGAAAATGTGGGGATGGGCACGCTGGCTCATTCCTATAATCCCAGCACTTTGGGAGGCCAAGACAGGCAGGTCACATGAGGCCAGGAGTTCAAGACTGGCCTGGCCAACATGGTGAAACCCTGTCTCTACTAAAAATTCAAAAATTAGCTGGGCGTTGTGGCACTCGCCTGTAATCCCATCTACTTGGTAGACTGAGGCATGAGAATTGTTTGAGCCTGGGAGGTGGAGGTAGCAGTGAGCTGAGATTGTGTCACTGAACTCCAGCCTGGGTGACAGAGCAAGACTCTGTCTCAAAAAAAGAGAAGAGAAGAAAAGAAAAAGGTGTGAATTCTGCCTTCCAGGAGCTTCAGGCTGGTAAGAGAGTAAGACCTACATAAATAACCTGTTAAAGGGCAGAGTAGTTACGACCAAGACAGAGACCCAAGCAGTGTGCTATGGAAGTAGAAGACAGGGAGAGATCTATTTCATTTAGGGAGCTCGGGTAAAGCTCATTAGAGGAAACGGCATTGAAACAGGGATCTCACAGACTTTTACCAGACTGAAGGTGGGGATTAGGGTAAAATGAGTGGGACACTTGACTGGGTTACAGCATGTACAGGAGTGCCAAAAAAAACTTCAGTAATCAAGATTAATAATACGTTAATGAAATATTTTAAAATCAAAATAAATGCAAAAAACCCCACAAGTAATAGAACATCCATTATTTCAATAAGTCCAGGATGTTTTGAATGAGCCTGCCTTCTCATACAAGGAAACTATTCTTTTTAATCAGCTCTTGGTTCCTAGTTCCCTACCAGGAGCCTTTATAAGGGTTGTCAGCAACCTGTGAGCAGATTGGGCAACCTAGAGGTTTATATATAGTCATTTTTTAAAACTGTAGAGCTTTTATTAGCTTTTACACTTGATATGGTTTGGCTGTGTCTCCACCCAAATCTCACCTTGAACTGTAATAATCCCCACCTGTCAAGAGTGAGGCAAGGTGGAGATAATTGAAACATCAGGGTGGTTTCTCCCATACTGTTCTCATGGTGGTGAATAAGTCTCACGAGATCTGATAGTTTTATAAATGGGAGTTCCCCTGCACAAGTTCTCACTTGCCTGCCACCATGTAAGATGTGACTTTGCTCCTCATTTGCCTTCCACCATGATTTGTGAGGCCTCCCAAGCCGTGTGGAACTGTGAGTCCTTTAAACCTCTTTCCTTTATAAATTACCCAATCTCAGGTATGTCTTTATTAGCAGTGTGAGAAGTGCATATGGGGGTGTGTATCTTTCCTTTTGCTTGGACTCCAACATGGCTCAACACAGCACTGGCCAAACTGGTAAAAAATGAGGCCATGTGGAAGGAGAATAGTTTGAGCAAAGGTAGGAGACACTAGCGTAGGTCCAGACCCACGGGGGTTATGAATCACATCCTTGGGAAGTTGTAATGAGAGAGAAGGCTGGAACATTTAGAAGCAGCGAGAGTGTGAAGGGCTTTGAATACCATTTTGAAGATGTTTGGAATTAATAGTGTGGATACTTCAGGTACCATAAAATGTTTCTGAACAAGGATTGTGGACACAAACACACCTAAGGCCAGTCTATGGAGCAAACACACCTGAGACCAGTCTGCGGGTAGTAGGGAGCATCTGTCGGAGAGGGTGAGTCAGGAAAGAGAATTGCTGGAGGAAGCAGCCACTGCCATCGAGCAGGAGAAATGGAAGAGTCCTCCCAACCAGGCAGAGGGCCTCAGGCTTAATAGACCGTGCTGTTCAGAGTATAGTTATAAGGACTTCTTCAGCTGCTTCTTCAATAATCTAAGAAGCTTTGCTGAGTGCTTCCTGTAGATAACAAACTAACATCCACTTGAGGACAGGAAATGCATTGTGATTCTTTTTCCCGATGAGGACACAGCAGCCCCAGTGAGTTAGGTATCCTGTCTAACAATCTCACACCCTTCTTTTCATCAGCTGCTGTGATCTCTGGGCCACGTAAATTTCTAAGTGGAGGTACAGTGAGTTCCTAAGAAGCCAGGCCTTTCCTTATCTGTGCTATTAGAGCTGTGTTGCTATAAATTTCAGAGACAGAGTCAACATCCCATCTCGGATGGAGGGGAGGAGTGGAAAACCAGCCCTCAACTTTTTTGGGGTGTTTTTCTTTCCCATGTTGTAGTAAGCATGCTAAGAAAAGATAAAGTTTTGCAGATGTGAACTGATTGGAGAAGAAAACTTGTTCTGTAAAATACACATATTGTTAAACCTCACTAATTCTGTTTTAATTTCCTGAGAAATCACAGTGGATCAGATGAAGGATGAATTGATTTATGATTGGTTATAAAGGAAGTGTGGTTCTTGCTGTTGTTAAAAACAGCAGACGTATTAAAAGAGTTTTAATTGAGCAAAGAATAATTCGAGAATCGGGCAGCCTCTGGAGCCAGAATAGACTCAGAGACTCCAGCACAGCCACGTGGTGGAAGAAGATTTATGGACAGAAGAAGGAAAGTGACTTAAAGAGAACAGATGTGAGGAACAAACAGGTGGATTCGTTACAGCTTGGCGCTTGCCTTATTTGCACACTTTGAATAGATGGCCACGTTTGATTGGCCGAAACTCAGTGACAGGCACAAAGTAGGCTACAGTCTGTTTACACCTCCATTTAGGTTATAATTCATGATGTATAGAGAAACCTTTAGGCTGATCATAAAATACGTAAGGAGGTAGCTTTAGGCCAAACTTGATTCAACACTGAATGTAATGTAATGTAAACACGATGGCAGGTTGGAGATTCAGAATACTTCAGAGGCATGAAAAGCCCACGTAAGCATTGTCAAGAGTAAGAAAAACCCATTAAAATCCAACTAAGTCAACAATTTCTATTTATACGTTAAAGACTCAAAAGGAGTTCTCTCAAATGATACGTTTAGAAAATGATTTTAGTTAGAATACAATTTTAAAAATATAAAACTAGATCTCTTGAATTATATTCAGAAACATACTTTCTCACAAATGTAGACAGGCCTTTCCTCAACTGGTCTGAAATGCTGAACTGGATTGAATGAGACAAATCCCTATTTGAGTGTCAGTTCCTGGGAAGGATGCTAAGGTGGGTACGACCTTGCTCTCCAGGAGAGGGCACTATCCTGTCGGGAATTAGAGAGTAAAACAAGAGAAAAAGAAGTTACTTAGCAAAAGACTTGAAATATTATCTGCTTTAGTCAGCTCAGGCTGCCATAACAAAATACCATAGCCTGGGATTCACGTGGAGAGATGAGTCTCAGCAGGAGTGGGCAGATGCAAGCCTACTGAGGTGACAGCATGGCCACTGGCATTTGCAGGGCCCCAAGGGACCCCAGAGGCCCTCTCAATGACTTGGGGAGGTTTTATTAATGGGCTTGGCTTCAGAAAGCTAGATCCAGTTATTTTGTTTTTGTTTTTAATTTTATATCTCCTCAAATTCCCTTTACCATGGACATAGTTTTGAGGTGGTGGCAAAAGAGGCCTTCAGGTCTGTGCTTAATGTTTGCTTTGTAGAAAAACTCACTGGAATGCATCAACTCTTGATTATAACACATGAAAAGTAGAAAATCTGTTCTGGGATGTAAGCAGACTCCAGAGATGATCAGGTGAGGCAAAGCGAAACAGGCCATGCCTGCTAACAGCTGCCCAACTTCAAGGAAATAGAAAATAGACGACAACATGATGTTGGCCAAAACTTTTCCATCACTAAGGTAGCAATAATATCCAATCAGGCACAGCATGTGGAAAATACTACAGAGTAGGCATACTGGCTACCATTGATCAGGGCGATCGTAGTATCATCAGTGGTGTGCCAGAACAGACTGGTGAAAGGTAGACCATGACAAGTTTTTCTCGAAAAAACCTTGCTAGAGCTTATTTTTTAAGAAAACAGAATAGGCTGGGCACAGTGGCTCACGTCTGTAATCCCAGTACTTTGGGAGGCCAAGGCAGGCGGATCACGAGGTCAGGAGTTCGAGACCAGCCTGGCCAACATGGTGAAACCCCATCTCTACTAAAAATACAAAAATATTAGCCAGGCATGGTGGCGGCAAGTGCTGTAATCCCAGCTACTCAGGAGGCTGAGGCAGGAGAATTGTTTGAACCTGGGAGGCGGAGGTTGCAGTGAGCCGAGAGTGCCACTGCACTCCAGCCTGGGTAACATAATGAGACTCTGTCTTCAAAACAAAACAAAACAAAAACCTATAGATTGGATGGCCTACATTCTGGAGGCTGGAAGGCTGAGAGCAAGGTGCCAGCGTGGCTGGGTTTTGGCAAGGGCCCCCTTTCTGGCCTGCAGATGGCTGCTATCACTCCACCTTCTCCTGTGGACTTTCTTTAGTATACGCTCCTGGAGAAAGGGAGAGAGAAAGCTCTCTGATATCCCTTCTTCTAAGGGCACTAAGTCCACCAGACCAGGGTCTCATCCTCCTGAACTCATTTAATCCTAATCATCTCCCAGAGGACCCATCTCCAAATATCATCCCCTTGGGTGTTAATGCTTCAATATACAAACTTGGCAAGTGGGGGACAGAAGCATTCAGCTCCTAGCATTATCAAGGTTGATAATTGCAGGAGACTGATTGAAGTGAGAAAGAGCGAAATGTTTCTGAAACAGTTAAAGGGAAGAAGTGGGCCCAGGAAAGTGCTGTGGAAGCCAGAGTTTGGGCTGTACTCCTTAGAAGGGACTGGGTTTAAGTCGGGCATCTGACTGAAAGGGAATGCATCTTGGGAAAGACAGAAGCAGGCATGTTGAGGAAAGCACAGGTATGCTAGGGACATTCAGGCCACGGACAGAGAAGGGGGAGGAATGGCAGGGTGAAAAGCCACCAGGACGGAAGTGTCAGGTTGAGCAGAAAAGAAAGCTAAGGAGCAAGAGGTGGCTGGGTCTGGGTTAAGGGACCCTCAGAGTCTCTAATGGGTCAGAGGAAGCTGGCTTTCATCCTACTGGTAGAAGGGAAGGGAGCATATAGAGGCAGTCGTCCAGGAAGATGATTGGCCAGGGCCATGAAGTGTAGATGAAGGGGGCAGCAGGAGACAGGCAGACTGGTGAAGAGGCTGCAGCAGTGTACCAAACCTAAGCAAGCCAGAGCCCAGGTCAGGGTCTTGGATCCTGCCTGCCACTGCTTTTGCCTTAAGTAGCTGGTCGTTCCTGGCTTCATTTTCTCTCTGTTGAAGATGTTGCATAATTTGGGGGCATGTGCAGAAGTCCGAGGGCCTCTTTCAAAATACTTGTCCTTTCTGGCCTAAGGAAATCATAGAATAGCAGAAAGAGTTCCAAGAAGAAGCCTCAAGCCCAGAGAGACCATGAGCACATACCAGAAGGTGTTAGAGACATAAATTATGATGAGCTAAGATTGAATGAGAGATTGTGATAAGATCACTTGCAAAAGCATTCGCTGGGGAAAATCTATGTTCTCTTGACCATCAGGAAGCATGGACACACCTAGTACTGCTATGCCTTCTACCCCACACACAGGGAAAGTGAACTAGAGGAAGCATAGGGAATTGAACTGATTTTGTAAGATTCACTTTTCCACTAAAAAATCAAAACAATGCTTGCTTTCTATCCAAACAGGATATCTCTGGATAGTTCTCTGAAAATCATTTCACAATTCACATTGCTGGGCCAAATGTTCCTAAAATATATGACTATTTCTCCTCCGAGAGCCCGGTAAAGGAACTTGATTACATTTGGCAAAGAAATCTAGAGACACATCCTTGTAGGTGAAAGAGGGCCTCATAAAACCGTATCAGCCAAACTCCCCACATAGGTCATAAGCCCAAATGAAGACAAATCCCAAGTCATTGGTAAGCAGTGTCTGCTTTAGTTTTTCCCATCAGAGTCTGTTTCTTCAGAGTCCTGGATAAGGAAAAGATATGGTGGCTTTTGGTCGGGCACGGTGGCTCACTCCTGTAATCCCAGCACTTTGGGAGGCGGAGGCAGGTGGATCACGAGGTCAGGAGATCAAGACCATCCTGGCTAACACGGTGAAACCCCATCTCTACTAAAAAATACAAAAAAAAAAAAAATTGCTGGGTGTGGTGGCAGGCATCTGTAGTCCCAGCTACTCAGGAGGCTGAGGCAGGAGAATGGCATGAACCTGGGAGGCAGAACTTGTGGTGAGCCGAGATCGTGCCACTGCACTCCAGTCTGGGCGACAGAGCAAGACTCTGTCTCCAAAAAAAAAAAAAAAAAAAAAAAGGTATGGTGGCTTTTGACCCTGGAATGTGGTCCATGGTCAAGTCAGCCTTCTTCTGCAAAGCCCCAAGACAGAAAGCTAGCTGACAAGACACCTGCAGCCCAAATCTTGGGTACAGCCCACAGCTGGGTCTATTAGAGAAATAGCATCGTAATAACCTGTTCTGTTATGCATCAAGTTGTGTTCAGACAAAGAATGAGAGTTCTGTTTCTGGCAATCTCTACGGAGGGGTCTTGAGCCACATTCAGTCTTGGGAAGAAGAACCATAGCACATTCTGGAAACTCCTGTCTTCTCAAGTGTCAAAGACAAACTTTAAACCAGAGGGAGGGTCTTCCTTTGGCCTTGAGAGAGATGGAAATTTTGTACAGAATATGTAGGTGGAAGCCTCCAATGGAAAATAATACTAATAACATCTTAAATTTATGTGGCGCCTTACAACATATAGAAACCCCCTCATTTGATCCAGTATGAACTGGCAGGTATCATTCACTCCACTTTGTAGATGAAGACACAGATATTCCAGGAGGCTCAGCATCCTGCTCGGGCCACATACCTAGTGAGTAGCAGAGTCAGAATGCAAATCCCCATCTTCTGACTCCCGTCCACAGAACTTTCTGAACACCAGAAAGAAGGCCCTGTAAAAAGAACCTATTTCCTTGTCTGAGTAAATAACCTGTAGAAATGGTGGTTATGGGCTGGGCGTGGTGGCTCACACCTGTAATCCCAGCACTTTGGGAGGCTGAGATGGGTGGATCACGAGGTCAGGAGTTCGAGACCAGGCTGACCAACATGGTGAAACCCTGTCTCTACTAAAAATACAAAAATTAGCTGGGCGTGGTGGCATGCACCTATAATACCAGCTGCTTGGGAGGCTGAGGCAGAAGAATCACTTGAACCGGGAGGCGGAGGTTGCAGTGAGCCGAGACCGCGCCATTACACTCCAGCCTGGGCAACAAGAGCGAAACTCCATCTCAAAAAAAAAAAAAAAAAAAGGTGGTTATAACAGCCATTTATAATAAATTTTTACCTGATTTTTATTCAGTTGACAATCACCATTTATGATTAAAGCCAAAAGACACTTGATTTTATGCTACTTCCAATGCAAGCAGGAGATGAGGAAATGAGACAAGCTCTAAGCTTGGTTGCAGCCAAATTCATTCATTACTTTACCACTCTATTTTTTAGCAAAAGTTATGCTGCAACTCCCCCTCTCTACTCCAAACATGCAAAAGAACCTCGAACTGTTTCTAAATCATTTACCTACATGAAAGCTCAGTCACTTTTCCCCCGGGCCCTGAGACTTTGGAGCAGGAAGGGCTGGTGGGGAGAATGTGTGGCCCTTCATCTCATTTCCCTTGCTGAGATCACAGGATTCGTTTCTGTATAGGGAGCTCTGCTTAAATCTCCAGACTGGAAACATGTTCTAGCAATCCATTCTCTAGAATAAACTTCTACCAAAAACAAATCATAGATACTCTAGAGTTGTCATAGTGACATTTTTCCGGGGATTGTATCTGTTTTCTTTTAGAATTTGCAAATGGAAGAAACTCAAAACATTCAAGTCATGCAGCTATGTCTGGACCAGGTTTTGTCTTAAAACATTTAACTCCCCATTTTGAGGTATGTTAGCATAAATACATACATATGTAGGTAAATACAATTTTAGAAAATAAAACCTAACAAACATTTGTGAGAGTTGTTGAGAATGTGGGTCAACATATGCAAATTAACTTCCTGGTGGTGTCACTAAGTTAATGGAATTGGAATCAGTGACCAATAGGCTGAATAAGAACTTAGGGCCACCCACTCCTGTGTTTCTCAGTATTTTCTCTCCATATCCCCTTAGATAAGGGGATATAATGATCTTATAATCTGCTTCTAAATTAGTTGAAAATTTAAAAAAAATTGCCATTGATGACAAATTTAATAAAAATAAAAAACAGATCAAAGCAACGGATGAAAGTTCTGCTTCGTTTTCACACCTCACGTCACCTCTATGCCTCTTGGGATAACAAAATTCTGGTCCAGTCCAGCTTTGTAGAGGAAACCAGCCAAGAGAAGGGTGGTGACGCGACAGTTAGTGTGATCAACAGAGACCTGAAATGGGAATCAGAACACCTGAGTTTCAGGTACAGATACTCACTTGAGCCTGTAGGATCTCCTAAAGGCCTTTGTTTTCTCATTCATAAAATAGCTGGGTTCTTTTAAGCCTTAATTTTGCTTCTTTTTATAAAACTACATCAAGATCAAGACAGACCATGGTTATAAAAGCTATCTGTGGAAGTAATGGACTATCTGCCAGTGAATGAAGGATGCTTACTGTTATTCTAGTAGAAGAAATGGATTAAATAATTGTTTCTCCAATAGCGGGGGGTTACTGGCCCATTTGATTTTAGAGACTCCCCTGACCATATAGTTGTTCAACTTTCTATGACCGTCTTCTGGATTCCTTTCTGTGGCTGCCAGCACTTCCCAAGCCCCTAAAACTCACCATGTTACTTTCTGTTAGGACTCCTAAAATTCTCTTAGGACTCCTAAAATACAAGGTAAAGAACGTAGAAGTGAATAAAAGTCACTTGAAAACACAAGCACTTGCGGGCTGTGGGCAAGGCCACTTGAGGCCCAGGTGAGACAAAGGCCCACACAGAATGGGGCAATGTCCCTCTTCCTGCCCTGGACCCCAGGCCTTCAGAAAACCAGGAAAACAGAATCAGCAAGGGCACCCCGTAGGATGCAGGGTTAGAGAGGCCATTTTCAGGCAGTGGCAAAGGCAGGAGCGGTGGCGAGGGCCTCTTGCAAACATGGCTGTTGGACACAGACCTCCAGGAGGAGATGCCCTCAAGAGAATAGTAGCCATGGGTGGTGCTGTGTGCCCAGCTACTAAAGAAGCTGAGTTGGAAAGATTGCTTGAGGCCAGGACTTTGAGGCTGCAGTAAGCTATGATCACACCACTGCACTCCAGCCTGGGTGACAGAGAACACGAGTCTTACTGGAGCTAATTTATTTATTTATTTGAGACAGAGTCTCACTCTGTCACTCAGGATGGAGTGCAGTGGTGTGATCTCTCCTCACTGTAACCCCAGCCTCCTGGGTTCAGGGGATTCTCCTGCCTCAGCCTCCTGAGTAGCTGGGACTATGGGTGCATGCTACCACACCTGGCTTTTTTTTTTTTTTTTTTTTTTTTTGTAGAGATGGGGTTTCACCATGTTTGCCAAACTAGTCTCGAACTTCTGGCCTCAAGTGATCTACCTGCCTCAGCCTCCCAAAGAGCTGGGATTACAGGCATGAGTTTAAAAGGGTTTTTGATTCCATGGCCACATCTGAGATGATTGGAACCCATGGAATAAAATAAGAATTCTTGAGTCTATGTCAATACAAATAAATAAATAATTAAATAAATGAAGGGAGGTCAGGTGCTGTGGCTCACATCTATAATCCCAGCAATTTGGGAGGCTGAGGCAGGCAGATCACCTGAGGTCAGGAGTTCAAGACCAGCTGGGCCAACATGATGAAACCACATCTCTACTAAAAATATAAAAATTAGCCAGGCTTGGTGGCACATGCCTGTAATCTCAGCTACACAGGAGGCTGAGGTAGGAGAATCACTTGAACCCAGGAGGTGGAGGTCAGTTGTAGTGAGCCGAGATCGCACCACTGCACTCCAGCCTGGGTGACAGAGAGACTCGGTCTCAAAATATAAAATAAAATAAATGAAGGAAAAGAAAAAGCTTTTTCTTTGGGTAGAATTTCAATGAGTAAATACAAAAGGGCTAATAAAATAGAATATCACCTTTAGGGAAACACAACAGCAATTATTGTTGCAGGTGAGAATCATCAACGTAAGCCAAACTTAATTGACAAAGATATGATGATAACGTGGTCTTTGCATGTTCTTAAAGGATCTAGTTATTAAGTACCAAAGGGAAAATATTTACTATGGAGAAACTTGGCAGACACAACCTTAATAAGGGGTCCAAGTCACCGTCACCTGTAAAGGGACAAATAAATACCATGTGTCTCCTTGTATGATGCCCTGACGAGGACAAAACAGCTCATCTGTGCTATTCTTACCCCAAATAGAAAGTGCGAACACAAATCATGAGGAAACACCAGACAATGCCAAACTGAGGAACGTTGGGCAACATAACTGATCAGTCTTCTTGAAAAGTATCAGGATCATGAAAGCCAAAAAGATTGAGGAAATGTGTCAGATTAAAGAAAACCAAGGAGAAATGACAACAAAGCACAATATGTGATTCTGGATTGGATCCTGGACAAGAAAAAAGTGACATTAGTAGATTCTATAACTGTTATTTACACCTGTGTTAACTTCATTGTGACCATTGTACTGTGGTTATATAAAATGTTAACATTTGGGGAGTTGGTGAAAGTACATTAGAATTCTTTGTGACATTTTTGCAATTTTTATGGAAGTCTGAAATTATTTCAAAATGAAAAGCTTGAAAAAGTTAAAAAAAATTTAAAAACCTCACACATACATACTCATGAGATTTCCAGGGTTCCAGAAATAACTGGGAGTTGGGTGGAAGAAGGTGAGAAGGTCTTCAGTGAGGTATGGGAAAATGAAGAGTTACCAAAGGGAGAAGCTAGTATCTATTATTTTTGGGTACTAAGTTAAATATAGCATTTTTCATTCACATCTCCTTTATGTGGCTATTTTGAGGTTAAGTAGAATGGTGAATATAAAATGCTTAGAGCAGTCCTTGGCCCACAGTACGTGCCTAATAAATTCTAGCCACTGTTTTGTCATCTCCATGGTTGCCATCCTGGTTGTAATAAGCTCTTGAGGCCTAGGGGTGCTCTGGTTACACACATATTCCACTTGGAAATGTTCACATCTGTACTTACTTTCCCTCATGTACAGACTCGGCTTGACCCAGATTTGGTTTGACTGTGTCCCCACCCAAATCTTAATGAATTGTGACTTTTCTCATACAGCCTTGCTAGTGTCCAAACAGTATGGACAGAGCCACTGTTCACCCCACCCCACCCCCTTCTCCCTCTGTGCAGCCTTGGCTCCCCACTAGGGAAATGCCAGCCTCATGAGTCCCCGTCTAATTGTGCAACACCGTTTCCACTGTCCCTCCCTCCCCACATCAGCCCTCGCCTACCTTCGGTTCCTGCCTTTTTGTCTGGGGCTGGCTTGAAGCCAGTTCAGTGCATCAGATGGCGCCTACTCAGCAGAGATGAGGGTGCCAGAAGAGCCCTGAACACTGCCCACCGTCGCCCCCAAAATAACCTCCCACACACTCCTGTTTGCTGATCTTTGAAATTCTTTAGCAGAAGATAAAGCCTTTGTCCAGGAAACAGAGAGATGTGGGGGAGGAGGCCATGGCTAAAAGAATAATGAATTTAGAGGACTTGGATTTTAGTCTTAGCACACACTTTGGCTGTTTATCACTTGCCTTTGTGAGACTCATTTAACTCTCCCAGGGTCAGGTTTGCTTGCCTAAAGGGGAGGACAGTAAAACTTGCTCTGGATGTCCCAGAGCTTTGATGGTTGAATGACTTAACACACATGAACTGCTGTGTGCATGGGAGGTGGCCTTACTGTCATGAGAGCTGATAATTGAGTGTACTCATTCCTGGGGGAGGAATTACACTGAGCTTTTAAGACTGATTAAAATCAATCAATCCAATGGGATGGAGAAGTGGATGCTGGCTACTGTACCTAGGGTTATAGTTGAAACATAAGTATGAAAATTTAAAACGACTGAAATGTTTTTAGATCATTAAACAAGACGTGTGTATTTCATAGGTGCCACTTCCAAAAAGTGCTTTGTGGTTGATCCCTTCCTCCTGCATCCCATGAAACCCAGATGAGAAACCAAGAAGATAAGATAAAAGCAATTTTTCCTCAGGTCCCAGCTTCTTGAATCTCTTGTTCGTGTTTGTGGGATGCCAGGTAATTTTCAGGCCTCAATCCCTGCAATAAGATGCTCAGAAAGGAAGCAACATGTATCAGTCAGGGACCAGCCAGGAGATAAAAACCATACAGATATTTGAATGTGGAGAGTTCACTATAAAGAATTATTCATTGGAAAAAGGTATTGAAGTAGTGGGGAATTGGTCAGTAAGGAGGGGAGAAAATCCCAAATAATGTAGGATTTGCAGCTATAGAGAGCAGTTGCTATCCCTAAGGCTGAGACCCAGACCTCTTTGAGAGCCCAGCCATGGCTCAGTGCTCAGCCACCAAGTTGCAGAGGTGCCATGGTGGCAGAACTTGCTGTTAATCTTCCTTCTGAGGTGCCAGGGAGAACTGTCCACAGGTAGGTGATAGGTCTCAGGACTCACTGCAAAGATTCCTGAGGAGGTGCTGAGGTCCTGCAGGAGCTGGGTGCAGATGTGGTCACTGACTGCTGGGCTCAGATACTGAATAGACTGTGTATGGCAAGAGTCCAGAGGGGAGAGTGCTCTGGAACCTGGAGGAGAGAAACCCCTTCTGGTGGCAGTGTTCTTCCAACATCTTCTGCTAACAAGGGTCCACATTGTGCCAGCTAGCAAAGGGGAAATACAGGGCCAGCTCCGTTGACCCAGAACAATGAAGGGTGAATTTGGAGCAGAGAGGCAATAAATTGATAACTGACACAGATCATGGCATTTTACAGGGAACATTGGGCTCTAGGCCCAGCATGGGGACATATGGCCTCAGACAGGTCTCATTCTCTGAGCCTCAACTCTCATGGCTACAAAATGGGATCTTATATACTTATCTTTCAAGGCCGGGATCAAATAAGACAGAGGGTGGAAATTGTCATGAATAACAGGAGTCACAGCTTCAATATGTATAATGACACCTATTTCACTGACAATTTTAAAGTAATTTAACAATATGAGTTAATCAAAACAACATTTATTGACTCATTTCTCACTCTTGGGAGGCGTCAATGAGAGAATATGCTCAGTGGGTTTGCCCATATTAAGTGCAAAAGTAAATGTTAGTTGTAATCAACTCATTGTTAAGTTACTTTCTCTATAACAAAATAGTGATGCATTTATTTTTCCTTTACTATGTAGTCACTCACTTTGTTTATTGAGTGCCTACCATTTGCATACATGAAGCCGAGTGTTGCGTTAGAGGCCCAGGAGCCATGATCACTTTGAGGAGTGGGGAGATAGAATGCTTTCAGGGATGTGACTCCTTGGGAAGAAATGCTGTTTATTTCTCTCAAGAGCAGAAAAGCCGCCCATGTTCTCTTGAATTATGGCTACTCTAAAGTCAGCCCCATGTGGTTTCTCTCCTGTTCCCACCCTCCCTCGTTCCCGCTGTCCCTCATTTAGTTGCTTATGAATTCTGAGCATTTACACAAAGAAGCTTTCATTTTTGAAGAAAGCTTTGCAGGCTGAATTCCTCAGAACATGTTCTGAATGGAGGGACTGAGGTTTTCCTATGTGTTTGTTTGCATGTGAATAAACAGGAAGTGTATAAACCGCTAAGGAAGAATTCCTCTGGAGGAAGTGAGTTTGGGAGCCAACTCAGGACCTCCCGGGCTTCACTGGCTCTTTTCTGCTTTTGCACCACAGATGCTGGGAGGGGAGATGCTAACTGGAATGACCGACGTGGGGGCATGTTCAGAGCCCACAGGGCCTGCATGGCCGCTTAAATTGTTTCCTTGATGGTAGTCTCTTTGCCCTTCAGTCTCTCCAGTAGAGGGACTATGCACCTCCATGCTATGGATATTTGGGACTGGATAATTCTTTGTTGTGGGCGCTGCCCTGTGCCTTGTAGGGTGTTGAGCAGCACCCCTGGCCAATGTCCACCAAATACCAGGAACACCTCCCCCTCTGCTGACCAAAATGTCTCCAGAAGTTGATATACCTTCAGGGACGAAATTGCTCCTAGTTGAGAATCAAACTGCAGCTCTTAAGAAACTTCCTAAAGCAAGCCTTTCACCTGCTTGAATGAGATCCATGTTCTTTAGCCTGGCATTCAAAAGTCTTCAATAACCTGACTCTTCCCAGAAGCCTCATCCCCGCTGTTGTCTACTCTTTCTTTGACTCCAAAAAATAGATCTGTCCAGAGTTCCCAGGGAATTTCTTTCACAGCTCTTTCATCTTCTCATCCTACTTTCTTTACATATTCTTTTCTCTCCTCTCCAGCTACCCAAGGAAGATTTGAATAAATTGAAAGATATAATTTGCAAAGAAAAACTTGATATTGTAAAAAGATCAGATCTCTTTAAAATAATCTATAATTTAGTATCATCCCAGTAAAAATGTCAAAAGAAGGGTTTTTAATAGCTAGACTAGTTTCTTCTAAACTTTTTTTATAGAAAGTAAACACGTAAGAATAACTGAAAATATTTTGAAGAGTATTAAGGTACAAATCCTACCAGTTATTCAAATATACTATAAAGATATAGTTATTTTTAAATTATGGTATGATGCTTAATTACAGATGCATAAACAAAACAAAATAAATATTCTATAAATATGACCTAATGCATGTGTGAGTCTTATATATAATATATAATAAATAAGGCATTTCAAGTCACTGGATAAATGATGGATTATTCAGTAAATGGTTGGGGAACAACAAGGTAGCCCTTTGGAAAACATAAATCCCTACCTTCTTACATTAAAGTATTTCCCAAGTAGTTCATAAGTATTAACATAAAAACTCCAACAGGTATGTAATAGTAAATTGTATCATTTTGTTAGGAGTTTTAAAATAAGAGGCAAAACCCAAGAGTCATGAGAGAAAAATATTAGTAATTTTATTGAATAAAAATGTGTGCTTCACAAAAACCACCTGTATTAGTCCATTTTCATGCTGCTGATAAAGACATACCCGAGAATGGGTAATTTATGAAGGAAAAGAGGTTTAATGTACTCACAGTTCCATGTAGCTGGGAAGGCCTCACAATCATGATGGAAGGTGAAAGGCACTTCTTACATGGCAGGGGCAAGAGAGAAAATGAGAATCAAGTGAAAGAGGTTTCCCCTTATAAAACCATCAGATCTCGTGAGACTTATTCACTACCACAAGAAAAGTATGGGTGAAACCGCCCCCATGATTCAATTAACTCCCACTGGGTCCCTCCCACAACACGTGGGAATTATGGGAGCTGCAATTCAAGATGAGATTTGGGTGGGGACACAGCCAAACCCTATCAACACTATAACAAAGCTAAAGACAAAAATAATTAACAACGGTATTATAAGACATGTGATCCAACAAAGGGTTAATTTTTATAAAGAGTTTATGAATGAGAATCAAATCAAATAGAAAAAAGCAATAGAAAATCAAATAGGATCCAATTAAATGGGAAAAAAAAGTCAAGAACTCCAGAAAATAAGAAAGTAAATATCTGAGGTTTTCAAAGTTAGCCTTGTTATAAGAAACAAATAAAAATAAGTCTCTGTTTTTATCTATCAAAATGTCAAAGGTCAAAAGGTTATTAATAAAGCTTTTATAAATGTACAGAAGTAGTATACCCTTACATTGCTACAAATTAAAGACAGAACAGTTTGCCAATAACTTTCAAAATTATAAATGCACATATCCAGTTATTCCTTGCCCAGGAATATATCCTACAGGTACACCCGCATGAAATGTGCAAAGAGGGATGTGCAAAGATATTCACTGGAGTATTGTTTAGTAATTAGTTAATAGCAAAAACCCGAAAGCCTTCAAATGTCCATAAATATGAGAAATGGTAAAGTAAATGATTGTGCAATTGATTGAACACTCTTTGGACATGAAATGCGATGCTGCCGATTTGTATGGGTCGAAATGGATTGGATTGAGTTCCTAGGTGTATTAGGAGAGAAAAAGTAAGTTGTAAAACCATGTTGGTGCAATGGGTGTGTGTGTGTGGCTGTGTTTGTCTCTGTGTGCACGTCTGTGGATAAGATAGTTCTGGAAAATGACATGCAGAATTCACTAAATTGGCTTCTGAAAATATATATAATACGTATACATGTAATATTAGCTAATATATATTATATATTATATAATATGTAACGTTATATATTATATAATATGTAACATTACATATTATAGTATATGTAATGTTATATATTACATTTAATATATAAATACCATTAGGTTTTAAAATATATGTTTTGCTCTTTTAAATTTAAAAATAATAAAACTTTTATCATTAATATTAATAAGAAAGCCTTCTTATTATCTGCCTTCACAGCACATGTCACTCATATCTCTCATTGTTAATTGTCAAGTGACATTTTGTGAGCTCACATGTTATTATCCACATAGCTCTATCAGCCAATTACATTGTTGACTGTTTTTTAACTCCTTTGCTTTCCCTATGATACTGCTGTAGAGTTGTAAAAATCATAAATTTTCAAATGATATGGGCATGGACTATGACTTCTTATTAAATATAGATGTGTTAAATTCTGAAATGATCAAATACTTCACCATATTAGGCATTTACAGATGGAAAATTGAAAGGAAAATTGTCAAGGGAAGAAAGAGAATATCAGAAAGGGAAGCCAACCAGGTGAGTTGGTTTGCACCTGTAATCTCAGCTGCTCGCGAGGCTGAGGTGGGAGGATTGCTTGAACCCAGGACTTCAAGACCAGCCTGGGAACACAGTGAGACCTCATCTCAAAAAAAAAAAAAAAAAAAAAAGTTGAAAAAAATGGAAGGCTTCCAGTTACCCTGCAAATAAGTGGGCCCTGAGAACTGAGTCACGCAATTACCAACTACTTAGTAGGAGAATTGAGATCAGAACCAAGGTCTGAAAAAACAATGATAGCAGCAAAACAGTCTCTACCCTGGAAAGACTGACAAAGGACAAATATGAAAAATAATTTTACAAGAAAATTTGTGTATACTTGTAAGATACTATCAGAAAAGTAAGCATCTTGTATTTCTGTGATCTCCTTCTGTTATTTCACGTTTCCCAAACTCACCTGTGAGAAGAATTACCCAATTCTCTGGAGAGCATAGAAATCTAGAAAATTTACATTTTTTTAAACAGGCAACTCAAGGAAATCTTATAATTAACCCACCTTACAAAACATTGCTTTATCTCACTTCACTCTCAAAACAAGCCACTGAGGTAAGTAAAATATATACTCTTTATTCCTGTTTAACAGATAAGGAGACTGAGGCTCACTGAGTTTAAGTGTCTTCCCCTTAGTCATAGAGTAACATCTCTGAACTTGTAACATTTCTTTTTTTAAATATGTATTTCTTTCTTTTGTAGTCTTCCAATAATTATTCACTTTCAGCAATTAGAAAACAAAAATATTTTATGAATGCTAGGATATCCACATCTTAATTAAGGCTGCCATTGATAAATATACCACTGGATGAAACTCCGTTCTTTAAGTACCAAGAAATGAAGGTTACTGAGGGTGGACATAAACCAGAACCTAGAAGCTTACATAGATTCTGCCCAACTCTTCCTGTTTTAGAAGAAAAACATGGAATAAAAAGGAGAAGGGGGAGTCTTGCAAGTCGGCAAGCAAATTCTGATTTGCCACTAAATCATTATTTTTTCTCCACTAGAAACCCTTTTCTAAGACAATGTGGGAGGAGGAAGTAGTTGCATGAGTCATGCTGTCACTTGTCTTAAAAGAAAAAAGTGAAAAATGATTTTCTTTTTTTTTTCTTTCTTTCTTTTTGGTTTTTTTTTTTTTTTTTTTTTTTTTGAGACTTAGTCTCGCTTTGTCACCCAGGCAGGGGTGCAGTGGCACAATCTCGGCTCACCGCAATCTCCACCTCCCAGGTTCAAACGATTCTCCTGCCTCAGCCTCCCAAGTACCTGGGACTACAGGCGCGTGCCACCATGCCCAGCTAATTTTTTGTGTTTTTAGTAGAGACAGGGTTTCACTGTATTAGCCAGGATGGTCTTGATCTCCTGACCTCGTGATCTGCCCGCCCTGGCCTCCCAAAGTGCTGGGATCACAGGCATAAGCCACCACGCCTGGCCAAAAATAATTTAGGGAGAAAAGAGGAAGCAGTGCCTTGAACCCACACGTGTCCACCAGACATAGGAAAGAGGCTACAAGCTAAGCTTTTTCAGGGTTACCTAGACTGGAGGAAACACCCTTCCATTTCCCCCCAAGGTATCTTTTGTGGCTTTTTGCCCCAACTTCAAAGTGTAGTTGAATTTTAGATATTCAAAACCATTGGGGAATTAGTTATTTCTCAGGGCTATTTTGTATTTTAATAGTTGAGAGTCTATGCCTTTGAGCACCAACATCTGAACTCATTCTTGTTGTTTGAGGATAGAAATCAATATAAAATACATTTTGGCAGCCTTGTGTACAGACTATACTGAGCAGAGTCTGACTTTTTCATAATGATTAAGGGGCATCACTAGAAATACCAGTCCTGGTAGGTTGCTATAACTATAGTGATCCCAGGCTGAGCCTGAGGAATTATATTTGAAATTTTGAGATGACCTTGTTGCCCCTAAGCTAAAACTGAATTTTTTTTATTTGCTTTGGAATGAGTTTATTTACACCAAAGGCCTTATAAAGAGCAAAAAGTTTCATTTTGTGGCACAAAATCAGAATGATTTGAAATTGATGTGCCATTTCTTTACAGCTGATTTTTTTAAAAAAATTTTAGTACCTAGTATCTTGAATTGTTAGTGATTTTTTCACAGGTCTTTTTTCTGCAATTAGACTGAAAACTCCTTAAAAGAAGGGACTGTGCACTGGGTCTTTGGGTATTACCCATAACAGTGTATTATAAAAACAGGTACCTATCAAATATTTGTTGTTTAGAATGATACTGAAAAGAGCAAGATGTCTGAGCCACCTGGAAAGGCTTTAAACCCTTGTGATGAGTGGGAAGGAGAGAAAACTGAATAAACTGCAAAAAGGATTTCCACCCTGAAAGCCATTTTCAGGGCCAGCTTGAGAAGACCCAAGGCTGGGGGAATATTAAAGACCAAAATAAATCACTAAAGAAGATCTATGTTATAGAGAGATTTTTCAGTCTTCAGAGATAGGAGTATTTAATATCATAAATGTGATGGTTAATACGCAGTGTCAACTTGATCGGATGGAAGGATACAAAGTATTGATCCCGGGTGTGTCTGTGAGGGTGTTGCCAAAAGAGATGAACATTTGAGTCAGTGGGCTGGGGAAGGCAGATCCACCCTTAATCTGGTGGACACAATCTAATCAGCTGGCAGAAAAATGTGAAAAGGAGAGACAGGCCTAGGCTCCCAGCCTAAATCTATCTCCCTTGCTGGATGCTTCCTGCCGTCGAACATCGGGCTCCAAGTTCTTCAGTTTTGGGGCTCAGACTGGCTCCCCTTGCTCCTCAGCTTGCAGACAGCCTATTGTGGGACCTTGTAATTGGGGGAGTTAATACTTAATAAACTCCCCTTTACATATATATATATATATATATAAAATCTCCTATTAGTTCTGTCCCTCTAGAGAACCCTAATACAATAAAGATGCTAATTCTCTTTAGATAGACTTACAGACTCTAGGTTGGATGCAACTACAGTGAAAATTCCCAATGAGATTTTCATGGGCCTTGACAAACTGATTTGAAAGTTAAAACAGGGAGGCATGGCCAACAATATTTGAGATGCTTCTGAATAAGAAGAATAAGGAGGGGGACTTATCCTACTAGGTATCAGAACTTATTATGAAACTAAAGTAAGAAAGTTTCATAATAATACTTCTGTCCCAGAAGTAATACTGGGACAGAGATAGGAGATAGACAAACTGAATGATGGGACAGAAGGTCATGCAATAGGGCCAATACAGAAAGCTGATATATGACAGGAGGGGATGAAATATCAGAGGCAAATAAATGCAGCTAAAATTAAATAATTATTCAGTGGTGGTGAGCGAGCATAGAATTGCATCTCTACCTTATGTTATACACAAAATGAAACTTAAAGTGATTTAAGAACTTACATGCCAGTAGGAAATCTTTAAAGGTTTTAGTAGAAAATATAGGTCAACATCTTTCCTTTCATAGAGCAAAGGATTTCTTGAACAAGACACTTAACAACTGAAAGTTTAACCAAATTAAGAAGTATGTTCATCAACACGATTTAAAGCGGGAAAAGGATCTGATGGCAACAGTTTTAGGCTTCTCAGGCCACGTGGTCTCTGTCTTATCTTCTTTTTGTTGTAGTGGTTTTGTTTTTACAACTGTTTAAAAGCATAAAAACTATCCTTACCTAAACGCCATACAGAAACAGGCCATGGATTAGATTTGACCAGCTAGTTGTAGTTTGCAGACTTCTGCTTTCAACAAAGTGAAAAAACAAGATACACACTGGGAGAAGACATTTTTTAACACATCCAGTAGTCAAAGGATTCGCTAATATCAGGAATATAAAAGATACGGCCAGCGCAGTGGCTCATGCCTGTCATCTCAGCACTTTGGGAGGCTGAGGCGGGCAGATTACTTGAGATGAGGAGTTCAAGACCAGCCTGGCCAACATGGTGAAACACTGTCTCTACTAAAAATATAAAATTTAGCTGTGGGTGGTGGTGGGTACCTATAATCCCAGCCACTTGGGAGGCTAAAGCAGGAGAATGGCTTGAATCCAGGAGGCAGAGGCTGCAGTGAAGTGAGATTGCACCACCGCACTCCAGCCTGCGGGACAGAGCCAGACTCTGTCTCAAAAAAAGAAGAATATAAAAATATAAAAGATCAACTAATTCATAAGAAAATGACAAACAATAGGAAAACATGTAAAAATCATAAACCTGCATTTCACAGGAAAGGAAGATTTTTGTTCAGTAAACATATAAAAATGCCCTCCTTAATAGCAATCAATACTTTAAGCTTTGCAGTCCATATATTCTCTGTCAGGGTTGGGGTTAAATATAATTTTACACTTATGTGATTATTAAAAATTGATACAACAGACATTACCAAGTGCTGGAGAAGATCTTTTAATCAACCAGACCTTTTTTTTTTTTTTTTTGAGATGGAGTCTCACTTTGTAGCTCAGGCTGGAGTGCAGTGGTGCGACCTCGGCTCACTGCAACCTCCGCCTCCTGGGTCCTGGTTCAAGCAATTCTCCTGCCTCAGCCTCCTGAGTAGCTGGGACTACAGGCACACACCACCATGCCCAGCTAATTTTTGTATTTTCAGTAGAGACGGGGTTTCACCATGTTGGCCAGGCTGGTCTTGAACTCCTGACCTTGTGATCCCACCAACTCGGCCTCCCAAAGTGCTGGGATTACAGGCATGAGCCACCGCTCCCAGCCCAATCAGAGCTCCTATACATTGCTGGTGAGGAGGTAAATGGGTTCAACCACTTTGGAGAACAATTTGGCATTGTCCTATAGAACTGAACTTTCACGTACCCAAGGACTCGGCCATTCCATTCCTAGGTATACAGCCAAGAGAAACTCTTGCACATATAAATCAGAAGATATGCCAAAAATGTTTATAGCTGCACTGCCTGTAGTCATTAAAAAATGGAAACATCGAAATGCCCTTTGTATTAGTTTCCTATTGTTGGTACAACAAATGACCACAAATATGGCTACTTGATACGGCACAAATGTGTTATCTTACAGTTCTAGAAGTCCAAAGGGGATCTCACTTAGCTAATATCAAGGTGTTGGCAGAGCCACGTGTGAAGGCTCCATGGGAGGGAATCTGTTTCCTCTCTTTTTCTGACTTATAGAGGCCACCCATGTTCCTCAGCTCAGGGCCACTTCCATCTTTAAAACCAGCGATGGCTGGTCCAGTCTTGGTCATCCTGCATCCCTCTGACACAGATGATTCTGCCTTCCTCTTCCACGATGGCTCTTATAATTATATTGGGCCCACTTGGATGATCCAGAATAATTAACCCATTCCAAGGTCAGCTGATTATCAACTTTAATTCCCTCTGCAATGTTAACTTCTCTTTGAAATGCACTGGCCTACATGCTGGATTTTCCCAGCTCCCATATTCCCAGGCTCCAGGGACAAGGGCATGACTTCTCCAGAGGAGCTGTCATTCCACTTTTCCACATCCATGAGAGGAGAATGTATAAATACATTTTGTGGATATGATAGAATATTATGCAGTAATAAAAGTGATGAAATGTAGCTAAGTGCAACAATATGAATTCCTCTTCATAACATAATGTTACAGAGGAAAAAAGAAGCAAGTTCTCAAACTATATAAAATAGGACGTCTTTTTTAGTAAGCCCCAAAACAGCAAGAATTAAATAATGTGGTTCACTCCCAATCAACCCTACCCCCTCTCAATAATTGTCTTCACTACTAGCCACCTAGCTGCTTAGGCCCAGGTCCTGGGGCTTGGCTAACACACATTCCAATGTATCAGTAAATCCATTTCAAAATACATCCTGAGCTTGACCACTTTCCCCATTTCTGCTGCCGTATACTTAGTTCAATCTGCCATGGTCATTTGTCACATAAATTAACCCAGTAGCTCCTTCATTTATTTTTCTGCTTCCACTCTTGACCGTTATAATAATCCACCCTTTACAGAGTGACCTTTATAATGCATAAGTTGGATTACAGCATTCCACTGTTTAAGCCTTTTAATGACTTCCAATTATAACCAGCATAAAATCCAAAATTCTTTGCAAGGCCTACAAGGCCCTGTGAAGCCTGCCCCCACCTGCCCATCCCAACTCACGTTAAGCCACCTGCTTCACTCTTCCCAGACTCACTGGCTCCCTTCTTCTTCCCCAAACAAGCTCTTTCCATCTTGGGGCCTTTGCACTCTTCAACCACATATCTCTCCCCAGGTTTTCAGGTGGCTGCCTTCTCTATTCAGATGGCAGCTTCTCAGGGACCCTTCTCTAACATCATTAAAGCATCAATTCCAGTTACTCTTTAGAATATCATTTCATTTCTTAAAAATAACTTGTGCGTTTGTTCCTGTGCATCCCACGGTAAGTAAAAGAGTAGACTTGGGAGTAAGTCTAACTGTGTGACATTGGATCCCTTAAACTTGCTAAGCCTCAGTTTTCACATCTATAAAATGGGGGAAATAACAGCATGCATCTCATAGAGTCATATGAGAATTAAATGAGTCGATATACAGAAAGTACTTAGAGTCTTGCACCCAGTAAGAAGACCCATGAGTGTTGGCTGTTCGTCATTGTCTGCCTTTCCTTCTTAGGATGCGAGGTATTCTTCATAGGTGTTGTGTAGCCTAGAGAGTGGTGAGTACTCCATGAACATCTGCTGCCTGCTGCCTGCCTGCCCCTCTGAAGTGCGGTGATTATATTTGTGGATTAGCTCCTTTAGGGATGGAGTCAAAGCAAAGTTCAAAGATGGACTAAATTTATAGAATATAACTCTATATAGAAATATACCAAAATGATAGCACCAGTTGAGTTATGGAGTTGTTACCTACACAGAACATGTTTGCAGGTAGGTAATTTTTTTCTTCTGTATTTATTAAAATAATTATGAGTAAATAAAATTTTAGGACTTTGAAAATTTAAAAAATCAATATAACTAACATTTTATAAAATGATATCCTAAAAGTATAAATTTCTTTGTTATGTGAACACATGCGTTTTTGGTTCTGTTTTATTACGATTTGTGTTGAGTCATTTCAAAATTGTGGATGACCTAGTTTCAAAAATGGAACTGGACAACTAATTTCTGTAAGAATCCCTATGGAGATGAACTTCTGTGGTTTTTATTTAAGACATTTTAAAAGCCAAAAGACATGTTCCAGAAGACAAATAGAACATAACTTTGGCTTGGAGACAAAATATAATATTTACCAAAAAGACTAAATTGTTTATGTGCAAATGTGTGTGAATCCATTGCCCCAAGAGATTCCATTTGTGGTTAATTTCCACTCATATGACTTTTCCAAATAGGATTCTCCCCTGAAGTGATGCCATTGTAGACTAATTTAGAGTGGGAGCATCCTTAGAGAGCCTCAGGGTCTCAGAGTTATCACTAGAAGATTTGGTTAGGAAAAATACATCATATGGGGCCCTCTAGGAGTTATCATCTGGATGAAACTCAGCTCAGATGAAATTCAGGGAAGCGTTAGAAAGAAAAACTATCCTAAAATGGCTAGGTAAGGGAAGATGCATTCATTTATTCATTCAACTAATATTGAACTCCTACAAAGTGCTAACTCAGCACTGTGCTGGGCACATGGGCTCCATCAGTGAACAAAACCTAGAATGATCACTGTCTTATGGGGCTTCCATTCACATGGAAGGTGGAGGGGCGATCCATGATAAGTAAATGAGATAATTCTGGGGGCGATAGGTGTCTTGAAGAATGAATCAGCTGGGTGAGAGTGACAAGAGAGAGATGTGATTCTAGAAAATGCACTCAAGGAAGCCCCTTTGACATAGTTGTCATCTTCACTGTTAGACCCTAATCAATACTCTTAATCAATAGAAGAAGCAGAAGCCTGAATCCCCGAGGATGGAGTAGAGCAGATATCCAGGGAAAAAAACATTTGGTCAGAGAGGAGAACAAGAGGGAGCTTGCTGGGGGATGGCCAGTGATCAAGTGATGTAAGTACCTCCTTGCTCCCCCAAATCACGCCCTCTAACAACACAACCGCAATCGTATCTTTTGTCAGCTTCCAGTTGTAGGAATTGCTTATGAGTGAATAGGATGAGCAGGAGAAGGTGCATGGTGGAGAAATTAGGTCAGCAAGACAGTTGCGGTAAGATTGTGGAAAGCCTTGAAGTCTCGTGCAAAGGGCTGTGAATTTTATTCACTCTGAGATGGGGAGCCCCTGGAACATATTCAGTGATAGCTTCTGGCTCATGGTTTTTGTTTTTTTTTTTTAAGTTTAAATGTTTTTAATATTTACTCTCGAGGTGTGTGAAGAATAAAAGAGAGAGGTGGAAGCAAGGAGACCATTTGGATATTGCAATAATTTAGTGATAGCTGATGGTGGCTTCTCTTAGGATGTAGCAGTAGAAATAGAATTACTCACCTTCTGGATATATTCAAAGAGAGAGTCAACAAGATTTCCTGGTTGGATGGATGTGGGATATGAGAGAAAGAGAAAAAGCAGCACAATTTCTAGGTTTTTAGCCTGATTAAACGGAAGAATGGAGTTACTGCTTTCTGAGATGGGGAAGATCAGATGGGAAACAGACACTTGGGAGATTAGTCAAGAATTCAGTGATGCCCATGCTAAGTCTGAGATGTCTATTAGACATACAAGTGCAGATGCCTAGTGGATAGCTTGCTATGTGAGTCTAGAGTTCAGTGCGGAGGTCTTGACTGGAGAGATAAAGTTGAAAGTCACCGATCTGTATTTGAGGCTATGGGATAGAATAAGATCAGCTGGGTAGTGAGTGTAAAGAGAAGTTATCTGAGGACTGAGCCCAGGGCCAGAGGAAGGATGATGAGGAACCAGCACAGGATGCTGAGACAGAGTAGGTACAGATCTAAGGGGTCAAAAGCTACCCCCAACAATAGCCAGGCCAAAAGACTGTTAAGGAAGAGAGGGAGTGATCACTTCTGCTGCGGGTAGTTGAACAAGCAAAGATCTCAGAGTGTCTGAACTTTGGATCTGGCACGTGAGGCAGTTGTGGAATTTGACAAGAGCATTGTCCATGGACTGGTGTAGATGAAAGGTTGACTGGAGCAGATGTAAAAGAAAAGGCAGGGAAGATGGATTGAGGGAAGGACCTGGAGACACTACTTACAGACTACTCTCCCTTTGATTGTTGCTGTAAGGGGGAACAGAGAAGTGGGGTGGTGGCTAGGAATGGATGTGGGAAAAAGTTATTTTAAATTACAGAATCTTTGTATATTGTTGATAATAATGATCTAGTAGTAGGAGAAATGATGATGGTAAGAAATACAAGGAATAATTACACAAGTAATGCCCTTGGGCAAGGGAGAGGGAAGAAAATCCAGCATGTAGGCCAGGCATGATGGCTCACGCCTGTAATCCCAGCACTTTGGGAGGCTGAGGCAGGCGGATCACCTGAGCTGAGGAGTTCAAGACCAGTCTGGCCAACGTGGCAAAACTCCGTCTTTACTAAAAATACAAAAATTAGCTGGGTAGTGGTGGCATGCACCTGTAATTCCAGCTACTTGAGAGGCTGAGGCAGGAGAATCGCTTGAACCCAGGAGGTGGAGGTTGCAGTGAGCTGAGATCACACCACTGCACTCCAGCCTGGGTGACAGAGCAAGGCTCCCTCTGAAAAAAAAAAAAAAAAAATCCAGTGTGTATCTGGAGTGCAGATGAAGGCGTTTATGGGAACATGGACAGGTAACTCCACTGTAACAGGCAGAGACATAGCACAGATGTGTAGAAGATTTGATGGCAAAAGCTGGCCTTGTTGGGCAGACAAGATCTAGTTTTTTCAGTGGTTTGCAACTCCAGCTACATATTAAAATCACACGGTGACATTAAAAAATACCAATGAGAAATGCAAATTAAACCACAATAAGACACACCTGTGAGTATGGATAAAATGAAAAAATACCGACAATACCAAGTTCTGATAAATATTTGGAACGACTAGAATGGCCACACATGGTTACTGGGATTGCAAAACAGTGCAGCCACTTTGGGAAACAGTTTGGCAGTTTGGTAGTTTCTTACCACTTGGCCAAACAATTTCACCCTACAGCATGGACCTGAGAGTTCTATTATAAATAACTAAAGACCAGAAGTAACCCAAATGTTCGTCCACAATCAGCACTGCTGGCTTAGTGGTATCATGGGAGATTCTCCAAAGTCCTTCAACAGATGAATGGATAAATAAACTGGTGCATCCACACAAAAGAACAATACTTGGCAGTAGAAAGGAACAAACCCTTGATCCACACAGCAGCTTGGATTGATCTCAAGTACATTACGCTGAATGCAAGAATCCAGTCTCAGAATGCCGCATGCTTCATGATTCTATTTACATCCCATTGCCAATAGACAAAATTACAGTGATGGAGAACAGACCAATGGCTGCCCAGGGTTGCAGGGGAATTGAGTATTTCACTATGAAGAGGTAGCTTGAGAGGGTAATTTGGGGTGAGGGAACAGTTCTGCATTCATGTATTAAAACTCATACAATTGTACATCAATTAAAAAGGCAATTTTAGGCCGGGCGCGGTGGCTCATGCTTATAATTCTAGCACTTTGGGAGGCCAAGGTGGACAAATTGCCTGAGTTCAGGAGTTTGAGACCACCCTGGACAACATGGTAAAACTCTATCTCTACTAAAATACAAAAATTAGCTGGGCAAGGTGGCGGGCACCTGTAGTCTCAGTTACCCTGGAGGCTGAGGCACAAGAATCTCTTGAACCCAGGAGGCGGAGGTTACAGTGAGCCAAAATTGTGCCACTGCACACGAGCATGGGTGAAAGAGCAAGACCCTGTCTCAAAAAAAAAAAAAATTGGTAGATTTTGAGTAGAGCAAATGAACCTCTATAATGTGGTTGAGTGGGCTTCATCTAATTAGTTGAAGGCCTTAAGAATGAAAGACTGATCTCCTCCAAGAAAGAGAAAAATCCTGCCAGCTGACTGCCTTTGGACTGAAGCTGCAATATTATCTTTTTCCCAGGTCTCCAGCTTGGCAGCCTATGCTGAAGATTTTGGATTTGTCAGCTTCCACAATCATGTGAGCCAGCCTGGGTGTGCTGGCTTATGCTTGTAATCCCAGCACTTTGGGAGGCCGAGGCAGGAGGATAACTTCAGCCCAGGAGTTTGAGACCAGCCTGGATAATGTAGGGAGACTTTGTCTCTATTAAAAAAAAAAAAAAAAAAAAAAAAGACTCTTACTGATAGCAAGTACCCTGAGGGAGTGTGTGGTGGGTAGACTCCAATTTTTGCTGAAGGTGGCAGTGGAGACATCCCCCTTCCCCTGTTTCCAGGGCTGCCCCAAGACAGAGGGTCCCCTCTGCTGCCTGGCTGGCCTAGCCAGAGTTCCGGCTCTTCTGGAGATCCTGCACATCTCCTGAGAGCTTTGACTCAACCCCTTTCTTGTTTGAAATGTTTTAAAAATAACCATGCTTAAACTCCACCCAGCCCCCGCCCCCACCCCTGCCCCCAAATCCTTACTCAATTATTGGGGAGGGGAGGAAGATGGATTTTTTTTAATTTTTTTTTAATTTTTAAAGTGCTTTACAGGCAGCTATAATAGGCAGCCAAAGATAAAAGGCGTGAGTTCAATCAAGACAGTGAAGGCAAAATTCAGGAAGAGTTTTAGATTAAGTGGTACTTTCCTGATGAATGACAGCAAGTTGCAGAGGGCCTTGGGCCAGACTGTCAGGGTGTGCAGGCCCTCTGGGCATGGGGGTCTGGCCAAGACAGTCCGTCTGGGGATTTGCAGGCTGACCCCCACTGGGCACAAAAAGACTAACCCTGGTGGTCTTCAGGGAGATTGTGGCAGTGAGGCTATGAGGGTTGGGGAAGGGCCAGGGGTCTTGACTGAAGCACTGGAGCTTTATCAATCTTCCCTAAGCTATTCTAACAGCTAAGCAGTCAACAAGGGAAGTGCGGGGACGTGGTGGGTGCTCACTGTGGAACAACCAACAAAGGATGTGAGACAAGAGGGAATATCCTACCCGTTTCCTCTGACAATGGGAGAGGGTGGGTTATGGAAAGATCCTCTCTATGTGGTCATCCCCAACAAGGTTAAATTTACATGCTGAATACGGTCACACATTTAAAGTACTTAAAGCAGTGCCTATGGCATAGGAAGAGCTTAATTAATAAAGGCTAAGCAGAAAGTAAAAGAGATGTCTCTGAAAATGCTTTTCCTTTCTGTGTATCAGTGTAAGAATTTTTTTTTTTTTTGAGATGGAGGCTCTAAAAACAGGAGAGCCCTGTTGCCCAGGCTGGAGTGCAGTGGCGTGATCTCAGCTCACTGCAACCTCCGCCTCCCAGGTTCAAGCGATTCTCCTGCCTCAGCCTCCCGAGTAGCTGGGACTACAGGCGGGTGCCACCATGCCTGGCTAATTTTTTGTGTCTTTAGTAGAGACACAGTTTCACTATGTTGGCCAGGCTCATCTCAAACTCCTGACCTCGTGATCCGCCTGCCTCGGCCTCCCAAAGTGCTGGGATTACAGGCGTGAACCACCATGCCTGGCCCTGTAAGAATTGTTTGTCTTCAAAGAACTAATGTAGTTGACAAAGCCAGTGCATTTACCCATCAGATCTCTTTTCCTGCATCTCCTGGACCTGGGGTAGATTCTGTGATTTGGCATATTCTCAAGATTGATGGCAAAAAGTTTCCTGCAAATACATTCCAGAAGACCCATGATCCAGAACCCATTTCCAGGGCTCTGCATGGCTGAAAACATAGGCAGAACACGTGAGGAAATGTTCCACTGAGCTCAGCTCCTTTTGGAGTCTCCAGAGTTTGGGATTTACTGGTCCAAAGGCTGTGTCTCTCTCTATCTCTTTTATTTCTTTTGCATAATTGATCCCAGCAGAATTCTGTGAGAGGAGTAGGAAGACAATATGTCTTCCGTTTACTCTGATGGGCCCCTCACACATTGAAGTTTCTTGTTGAGTGCTATGAAGCAAGAATTTATGTCTGCTTTGGAGATCTTCTAGAACACGTATTGAGAATTTACTCCTTACTGTGTGTTGGGACCTGTGCTTGCTCTCATTCCTGTAATCTCATGATCTTTATGACAATCCTGTGAGGTAGGGTAGGGGAGTCATTAAGATTTTAAAGACAAGGAAGCTTAAATTTAGAAAGCTGCTCATCTAAGGCCATGGAGTGAGTTGGTAGCAGAGCTGGGATTTGAACTCATCACCTCCCCAACAGACCTTTCTTCTCCTCTAAGTGCTGTGACCCACAGCTGTGTCCTGGAATACAGTAAGCCTCTGTGGCAGTAAATGTCCCTTGGTATCCCCCTAAGTGCTGGCTTCCTCTTGGACTGGGCCGTCCAGTGGGAAGTGAGATTATGTTAGATCTACTCCCAGCCATTCACATCAGCGGCCCCATTTGTTTCCCAAGACTCAAGGGTCCCAAGGGTTTGGAAGCACAAAGAAGTGCCTCAGGATACCCACGTCCTGGCTCCCTAGACTGATTTGTCTCCAGGCGCCAGTGTCCTGACCCCTGGTATATCTGCATTCCTCATCTTCTTCTGTCTGTTGCAGGGACAGGAAGTGGGGAAATCACTGACCTTTGACTTAAGAGGAAACACGGAGAGAATAACAAGCAAATGCAAGATGACTGTTAATCAGATGATCCTGCCATCTCCAGATGGCTATCTCCATGCTGGGGGCAAAGGAAGGGAGCCTGCCGGGCCAGTCTGTTTTTTGAGGCGTGGCTTCTCTGTGGCTTTTGTGTGGGTTCCTTGGTCTGAGTACCAAGAAGCTGTTGCTTCCTGGGATGTTTAAAAATCAATCAAATATGGAACTTAAACACGTAATTCATCCAGGGAACCAAAGTGGCAAAGGTGGGGCTAAGAATTAGAACTGGGTTTCTTGTCTCTTTATTCAGTGCTCTTTCTGATAACAGTATAAAGGACAATTTCTGGAAATATTAAATTTCTATTTCGAAAACAATGTGAAGTTTTCTAAATAACAGGTGGAGATACTGCCCCCTGTCTATGAAGTTCCCAAAGCTGGGTCAAATTTGGAAGACATAATTTCTTACACTGATACATAGAAATAAAAAGTGTCTTCAGAGATATAATCCCTTTAATTTCCTCCCCAACCTTTATAACCTCTTACGGTGGGCTAGGCACTGCTTTAGCAATATAAACTGAGTTAAGGCATTTAATCATGTATGTAGTTTTAATCATGACCACATTAAAGATATTGCTGGAAAATCATAGCATTGGCTAACGCTCATGTCCAGATGCTGACAGAAGTGTTTTGCACATGTTACCTTATTTAACCAAAACTCCTCCTCTGAGCTCTAGACCCAAATCACCACCCACCACTTCAATATCTCCTGTTGAGTGTCTCAACAACACATTGAGTTAAACATGTCCTAACGGAAGTGTGTGCTGCCCCGCCCCATCCCAGACCCTCCCAGTGTCCCCTGTGGCAGTGAACAGCATCTATTAAACAATACCTAGACTGAGGAGTTGCCCTTGACTCCTCCCTCTCCCTTGCACCCCATTTCTGATCCATCACCAAATTCTGTGGATTTTATGGAACCCTATGTTTCTCTCAGGCCTATCCACACTTCTCTACCTGACTACTCTATTCCAAAATACCATCATTTCTTACTTAGATTTTGACGGAAGCCTCCTAACTGGTCTACCCATATCTACTCTTGTGCTCCTTGAAGTGTTTTCTAAATTGCATCCAAGATAATTTCCTTAATAAGACAAATATTAACATATTCTCTTTTTAAACACACATTAACAAGTCCCCACTGCTCTTAGGATAAAGACAAAACTCAGTATGGTGAGGAGGGCTCTGTATGGGGCTGCTGCCTCCCCTGCCCCCTTGGTTTCTATGGCATTCTCCTGCCTCTGCAGCTATACTGTACTTCTTTTAGTCTTGTTCCATATAATAGTCCCAACAGTCACAGGACCTTTGCACATACTGCTTCTCCTTGTCTAGTTAAATCTCTCGTCATTCATATCTCGGCCTTCCCTAGCCTTTAAGATTAATGAAAATCTCTCCCATTCCATCTTTTCATAGCATCAAGGACCTCTCACTTATAAGATTTGTCATAATTATTATTTTTATGTATTTATGTGGTTCATATCTTTCTTCCATAAGGGCAAGTGTATCTATAATTGCTCAAAATTGTATTCCCAGTGCCAAGAATAGTACCTAACCTATAGTAGATGCTCATTTTATAGGTGTTATCTGATAGACGAATGAAATGAATAAACAGATTTGCCCAGCATGGTAGAAATCTTATTATGCTGTCACTTGTATTTCAGTAAATTTTATACTGATTATAGAAAGCCTTCCTTCTGTAATATAAATATAATGGGGTCACAAGCTCAAATGCTACCAGGGTCAGGCAGGTACTGAAAATGACAGGGTAGCCCCCATCTAAAGGAGGCAACCATGGGGAATTATAGGCTTAGAGATTTTTCAAGAGAAACTATATATTTGAATTTTTTTCGCAAACTTTTCTTGTGGGTTGAAAAAATATTGGAGTGGTCAGAAAGATGAAGAAACGGAATGGGGAAATTTTGTTAAATGTTGCTTACAAGGTATAGTGGGTTGATTAACACCTCCCAAAAATTCATGTCTACCCAGAACCTCAGGATGTGACGTTATTTGGAAATAGGGCCTTTGTAGAAGTAATTAGTTAAAGATTGAGGTGAGGTCATATTGGATTAGGGTGGGCCTAAATCCAGTGACTGCTCTTCCCATAAGAAAAGGTGAGGACACAGAGAGCTTTACAAAGTCCGTGTGAAGAGAGGCAGAGATTGGAGAGATGTTTCCACAAGCCAAGCGTCAACCGGAAAACTAACAGAGCAGATTTTTTAAAACTAGGACTGAACATTAGTTGGATAAGACTTGGGTACATGGAAGTCATTAGAGGCCTTTGCTGGTGGCATGGTGGCATTCCAGAGGAGAGGTTTGAAAAGTGAAGAGGGACTGAGAAAGTGAAAGTCATTGTCTATTCCTGCCCTGACCCACCCATCCCCCCACACACCAGTCCCTGCTGTGAAAAGAGGCTTCTTGGTAAACCTGATGTCTAGGGGGTATTGCCTGCCTGCAGGTCTGTCTGAAACACACAGAGATGAGGGACTTCCAGTCCTTGGCCATCTCCCTGTGAACATGTGAGACAGGCTGGGTGCAGGACCAAGGAGAAGTTTGGCTCTGCTCAGGGACCATGACATGGCTCAGGTGAGAGAAGTGAAAGAACCTGGTAGCAGGAGGAGTTGGGGGAGCTGGGGACAGAGAGCAGCTGGGGAAACAAACGTGACTGCGGAGGCCGTGCCAGCCAGCATACCGCCAGAGAGCCCTAGGCACCGTCCTGATAGATATCAAGGTCAGGCAGGTTTAAGAAAAGCGCATCAGGAGGCCCAGCCAGTCAGCAGGAAAGCTGGCAAAGATTCCAAGCAGTGGTGATAAGAGAGGAGTCACGTGGATGTACCTTGTCGTTCTAAGGTACCTATTCTTGGCTGGACTCTGGCAGCAGAGGCATGTGGACTGGGATGTGGTGCCTTTAGAGAGGAGTCTGGGTCTAAGGAGATAGTGCTGGAGGAAGTCACCACTGCCCCAGGGGACCCCTGCGGTAAACTGATCGAACGGCAATGGGAGTTTATAGACTGTACAAATGACACTGCCAGCCATCAGAGATGGTGGAGCTCGGTGGAACATGACTGCTTTCCATCCCTTAGCCTGGACATCCCTGGTAAAGGTTAGGACCCAAGGATCAACATGATTGGCTAAACTTAAAGCAGTCATTCCAGCACTGGATGCTTTTAACAAGGTCTCTGTCTTGCCCTAAGCCTTAATCTGTCTTGGATAAAATTTGTGCTTTAGTTTGAAATTTGTGGACAGTGTGACTCAAGTGTCTGGGCCTCAGCTGGGATGGTTGGACCTCTCTTTCCCTCTGTGGGATTTCTTATAGACAGGGAGCCTATCCCAGGCCTCTTTGCAGCTTGGTGGTCTCAGGTTTCAAAAGGGTAAAAGTGGAAGTTGCAAGATCTCTAGAGGCCTTTCCCTGGTTTGTGCAATGTTGAACTTCTCCCTCTGTGAGATTTCTTATACTCAGAGGCTACCCAGAACCTTTTCAGAGTTTAGCGCTTTCAGATTTCAAAAGGATAAAGATGGAAGCTGCAAGGTCTCTTGAAGCCTTGCCCTGGTACTCACACTATGTCACCTCCCCACATTCTATTGGTTAAAGCAAGTCATAGCCCTGTTTCAAAGGGTGGGGAAATAGACCCAATTTTGATGGGAGGAGCTACAAAGAAACTGTGACCATTTGTCATCTACCACATCAAACCACTGTGTTCCTGGACTTGAAATCAGGTGCAGAATGATGTAAAAATCATGGGAAAATTGCTGGAGTTAATTCACCACGTAGGAGACATTTGGAGAAGACAGTATATTAACTAGTTCCTGCTACCCAGACCCTGGATGCCCTTTCCTGTGCTTTCCAACCCTGTTTCTTTGGCTTCTCCTTGGATTCTGTGAACTCTACTATATCTTTCTAAAAAATTCCTTTTGTAATTGACTTGGATAGATTGGTTCTGTTGCCTGCATTTAGTGAACCCTAGTATAAATTCTCCTTCATGGAGGTACTGTAGGGATCAAGTGAGATAATGTAAATAAGGCACTTAGTAGGGTCTAGGTCCATAAAAAGCACTTAAGACATTTAGTTATTATAATTATATTAAAGTGATTTGAACTTTCGGAAGGGTGACTAGAAAGAAAGGTATAAGTAAAGAAGTATGACATTAAAGAGTCTTGATCTAGGCCAGGTGCGGAGGTCGACACCTGTAATCTCAGCACTTTAGGAGGCTGAGATGGGTTAATCACTTGAGGCCAGGAGTTCAAGACCAGCCTGGCCGATAAAGCAAACCCCCATCTCTACCAAAAATTAAAAAAAAATTAGCCAGGGATGTAGTCCCAGCTACTCAGGAGGCTGAGGCACAAGAATCGCTTGAGCCCGGGAGGCAGAGGTTGCAGTGAGCCAAGATCACACCACTGTACTCCAGCCTGTGTGACAGAGCGAGGAAAAAAAAAAGTCTTGCTCTGTCTCCCAGGGACACTATGAGCATTGGCGGTGACGCTTGTCTGGCACCACATGCGGGCCACGACTTTTTTTTTTTTTTTTTTTTTGAGATGAAGTCTTGCTCTGTCACCCAGGCTGAAGTGCAGTGGCACGATCTTGGCTCACTACAACCTCTGCCGTCCGGGTTCAAGTGATTCTCCTGCCTCAGCCTCCCTAGTAGCTGGGATTATAGGCACATGCCACCATGTTTGGCTAATTTTTGTATTTTTAGTAAAGATGGGGTTTCAGCATCTTGGTCAGGCTGGTCTTGAACTCCTGACCTCGTGATCCACCCGTCTCGGCCTCTCAAAGTACTGGGATTACAGGTGTGAGCCACCGCGCCCGGCCAGGACTCTTTTTTATGACTTCTACAGACAGGCACAAAGAACCTCAGTCCAGTCATTGGGAGGCTTTACTGTTATTTTTATGTGATTTCATAGTAAATTTACTGTCTAGAAAAGAGAATAGTGCCTGCCCAGAGACTGCCACTTTCTATATCACAGTTCCTTCAGAGTGCTAAAAAAGACATTAAAGCAAATACTAGGAACATATTAACAATAGTGATCCAGACCAGGTATGCTGTTCTTGTTCTCCTGCCGATGAGATTTTATTCTCTGGCAGATTCACTCTTTGGGAGATCTGGTCTTTAAAAATCTGAAACAGAATCAGTAACATGGGAATGTAGTATATGATTATTAAAATAGCATCTCAACATCAGTGGGGGAAAGTACTACTCAATAAGTGATGATTGTGGGAATCATTTAGGGGTAAATGCCTCAACCACACACTAGGATTAACTCCACATAAATCCAATATTAAGATTTTTTTTCAAAGATTAATTAAAGGACTAGAGGAAAATACGGAAGAATTATTTTTTATGTCTTTGTAGTAGAAAAGCCTTTCTCAGTATGACTCATAATCAGTAAGACCTAAAAGACTGATAAATTTGGCAACACACAAATTTATTTGTTTGTTTGTTTGTTTGTTTATTTATTTATTTATTTATTTGAGATGGAGTCTCGCTCTGTCGCCCAGGCTGGAGTGCAGTGGCACAATTTCTGCTCACTGCAAGCTCCTCCTCCCGGGTTCATGCCATTCTCCTGCCTCAGCCTTCCGAGTAGCTGGGACTACAGGCACCCTCCACCACGCCCGGCTACTTTTTTTTCTGTGTTTTTACTAGAGGCGGGATTTCACCGTGTTAGCTAGGATGGTCTCGATCTCCTGACCTCATGATTCACCCGCCTCGGCCTCCCAAAGTGCTGGGATTACAGGCGTGAGCCACCGTGCCCGGCCCAACACACAAATTTAAAGAGTTGTTCATGATAAAACACACACACGTACATGTCATAGCCAAAGCTAGTTGATAAGTGACAAACCGAGAACAAATATTTTACAAACCATGTCACAGACCCAAGGTAAATCCCCTGAATACACAAAAAATCTCTAAAAATCAAAAAGAAAAAACAACCTAATGGAAAAATAAGAGGCAATTTAGAAAAAAGGAAATAATAAATAATTTCTACACATTGTCCATTTAGGAATAAACTTGTTAAACACACATATGGAAACATGCACAACTTAAAACTATACTGAGATAGCATTTTCACCTCTCATATTGGTAAAATCTTCAGGATTTGATAACACTCATAGTTGGCAAGGCTGTGATGAGGAAATTGGTACTTTCAGACATTTCTGTTGGGAGGGTAAATTAGCACAACCCTGTCAGAGGCCAATTTGTCAATAAATACTAAAATTGTAAATACCTACGCTTTCTGCCTGGGAATTATAGTTTTAGGAATTTCTACTACAAATACACTCACATACATATGGAATAACTTGTAACAACAAAGTTAAGAAGTAATTTAAATTTCTATCAATAGGGGACTGTTAAATTATGGAATATATATACAATGGAACTCATTCAATGGTTACAAAAAGAAACAAAAGAAAAGGAAATGAGAAAACTTTCTATGTACTGATGTGGAAGTTCCTTTAAGATTTCAAGGGAGTAAGTATGGAACAATGGGTATAGTGTGACATCATTTGTGGTTAAAAGGCGGAAAGGAGGGGATAATGTATTTTGAAATGGACAAATGCCTTTGTCTTCATATTTATCCAAAAGATCTGGGAGCTCACAAAAAACAACAAAAACCTAGTAACAGGAGGCAGTGGGAATTTGGAAGATGGGGAAGGGACATCTTTTACTGTTATTTTTGCTTCTCCAACTTCTTGAATGTATTGTTTAGCTAAGAAATAGTAAACATTTTGAAATCAAACAAACAAGAAAACAAATTAGGTTATTGTCTTTTAAGGAAGACTCAGGAATTCAAGTCCTTCAATGTATTGAAGCTATAATGAGAATAATTATGACTCTTACAGTGTAAGCCTATACATTTTACAAAATATCTTCTCCTCCGTGATAGCTCTAAACTGCACGATTGCTCCCTTAATTCTTAAAATGACTTATGAACCTGGTTTTGTTATCCCCATTTAGGAACCGAGAAAATTGAGCCTCTGAAGTTCAGCAATCCCCAGATCTCATAGGCTGACACAGAGCTGGAGCATAAGCCGGAGTCTCCTGGCTCCAGACTGACCTCCAACCATGACATGCTGCCACTGGGCACTTGGCCTCAGCTGGTGGCTGGGTGGCTGTACTCTGCACATTCCCATTGCCTGGTGGAATATATAGTACATACTGATTCTCTGGGGTGATAACACAGCATCTCCCCCACTTATCCACGGGGGATATGTTCCAAGACCTCCAGTGGAGGCCTGAAATCACAGATAGTACCAAACCTGATTGTAATCAATAGGAACACATTTCTGTTCCTGTCTTTCATTCACAAATGTAATTTTTTTTCCATCTCAAGCACTTACCGTGCACTGTGGCAGTAGCTTTTGCAGCAGCAAAACTAGCACAAATTTCTTTTTCCTTCTTCACAATTTCACAGATAGAAGATTCCTTCTTATCATAGATCTTAGCAACCTCAGCATGAAGTTATTTTTTTCCTTCCTTATTAAGTCGAGAACTTTCACTTTTCACTTAAAGGAAGGACTTTATGGCTTTTCTTAGGCAGATCCGAATTGTCAGCATCACTCCTCTTGTGGTTGGGGGTTATAACCATGTAAAATAAGAGTTCCTTGAACACAGCGCTGTGGATACTGTGATGGTTGATCTGATAACTCAGGCAGCACCCGAGTGACTCACGGTGGGGAGTGTCTATGGTGTGGATCTGCTGGACAAAGGGATGATTTGCATCCCAGGTGGAACAGAGCAGGATGACACGAGGTTTCATCATAATTTGAAACTTAGGAACTGGTCATTTCTGTAATTTGCCACTGTATATTTTTGAACTGCCATTGGCCACTGGCCACTGGTAACTGAAATATTAGAAAAGAAAACCTCTAATAAGGGGTGGGGGAACTACTGTACAGACATGTGTACCAGCCCTGTTCCAAACCAAGGCTCCTGGAGTCTCCTTCCTGTGCAGGAACATGATGTTGTTTTCCTGAACATAATACTGCTGTGATCTGTTAAACATCTGATTTCCCAAATGGACACTCCTAGCAGATGGCATCTTTGTCACCTAACTGAACCAACGATGGCACATTGAAACAGCTCCATAATTTCTGCCAAGGAGGGAAGCTGTGAAACTTGAAAGATGAATGAAGTTGAATGGGTGGGGAAAGGGAGCAGGCAGGTAGCGAGAGACTCAGTCTCTGCAGGGAGGATCCCAGATGACTCACAAAGTGTTAGTTCTATCATAGTAGGAACTTCAGAGATGGCACAATCCCCTTATTTTACAGATAGTAATAGAAATCTATTAGAATAATGAGGAGATATTAGGCTTTTGTGCTAGGTACAGTTTAAAGTGGTCCACATTAGTAACTCATCGAATTCTCACACCAACCTTGTGAAATAGACACTGTTGTAAATCTCCTTTTCACAGATGGATAAACAGAGGCACAGAGAGTTTTAAGCAACTCACTGAAGGTCACACAGCTAGTAAGTGGTAGAGCAGGCTTTTAGAATCCAGATAGACTAATTCTGAGTTTATGCTCTTAACCGTTCAACTCTGTGGTAAAAGTGATTTGTCCAACTCAATTAGTGAGTGAGCCAAACTGGGTCTAGACCATACAAGTCCTGAGAACATCCAGTGTAGACACACAATAGGCACTGTGTGGAAAAGACAGCCATGAATGACAGAATTAGAAAGATGTATCAGGAAGGAAGGAAGGAGGGCAGAAAGGGGAAGGGAGGGAGGAAGAATCATTTTCCTTGTCCCAGGGTGTATGATCCAGCTTCCCACTGGCCTCTCGTCTATCTGCAGACCAACAGCTCTGATGCTGACATGTTGGTTTGCTGCAGGATGATTTAGACAGGAGAGTAACATCATCTGATCACTTTGGCCAAGTTTCACCAGATGGACTATGTTGTCTTCACTACCTGCCTTCTGTGTTCTCTTGTCAATGAAGGGTAAATCATCCTGGTTAACAAAACTATGCTCCTGGGTTTTTGGAATAATCATTACAAACAAGAACAATTTGTTGAGCTGTTTAAATGCATTATCTCATTTTATCATCCCAGAAAAAACTGATGTATATATTATTATTCCCATTTTGGAGATGAAAATATTGAGTCTCAGGCAGCTTAAGTAATTTGCTCAAAATTATATAACTCATTAGTAGAAGGAATGAGATTTGAAGCAGGACTATTTCATTCTAAAGCCTAGTCTTTAGTATGATGATGTATTGCTTCTGCAGAGTGTATTCTGAATCCTCTAGATAATTTCATATGGTGAAAATATTCAAGTCCTGGCCGGGTGCGGTGGCTCACACCTATAATCCCAGCAATTTGGGAGGCCGAAGTGGGCGGATCACCTGAGGTCAGCAGTTCAAGACCAGCCTAGCCAACATGGTGAAACCCCATCTTTACTAAAAATACAAAAATTAGCCGTGCCCGTAATCCCAGCTACTCGGGAGGCTGAGGCAGGAGAATCGCTTAAACCTGGGAATATATATATATATATATATATATATATATATATATATATATACTCAAGTTCTAACATCGTTATATTAACCAATTTGAGCAAATAATCTACAAACACCTGTTTTCAGATGGCAGAGAAGTGGCCTCTTTTCCATTCCCTCTCTATTCCCAGCAGGTCAGAGACTGACTTTGACCAGATCACAGTGAGGTAACTGTGTCCTTGCATAAAGAACTGACCCAGAAGCAAGCCATTTGAGAATAATTCAGTGGCACATTCTAGGCCAAGAGAAAATAACTCAAGATAAGAATATAACCCCCAAAGGGGAATAGATTTCTTGTTGGCAGAACTCTATATGCTTCCAGTTCTGCAGCAATAGCAGATTTCTCCAAGTTACTGAGTTCAGAGGATATATTTTGTTTAAACAACAACAAAGAAAGCTCAAGAGAGAGCTTGTTTTTTCTTTTGCAATAAGCTACATGTATTTTTTGAATGCCTGTTAAACATTCCGTTGTCTGGCATGGGGCTCTCCACATTTTCTTTCCCCTGTGGGGCTCTTACAACCCATCTCACTTCACCCACAGCCTTCCCTGAAATATGGCTCATTTCACTAGTAGGTCAGCAAATATGGCAAATTGGCAAATTGTCAACTCCAAATTGACCTTTCATTTCTCAATGCTGTTTGCTGGGCAACAAGCAAGGGGAATTAAAACTTCAGTCCTGGAGTCTCAAAAGGAATTGGAGCAAAAATCAAGATTGATAGCAAAGTGCTGAAACAGACATTTTATTTGGTGGAGCCATTTCAACCGAAGTGCAAAAGGCATCCTGGTAAGGAGATGAGCTTGTGTCTTTGAACAGCTTTTTCCCTTTCATACATCTGATATTTTTTTGAGTGCCTACCAATTTTCTAGACTTTATTTTTGGCTTAGGATCCAAAACATTATAATCACTGCCCTCCAGGAGCTTACATTCTGATGGGGGAGGACAAAACATAAACATAGGAAAAAGTAAATTAAATTGTGCATTAGACAGTGATGTGTTTGGGATAAAAAAAAAATAAATAGGGAAGGGTTTAGAAAATGCTAGGAGGTGAGCATTTTAAATAGTGTGTTGTCAGGGAAATCTTCACTGAGAACTTGATGTTTGAATAAAACCCAAAGGAGGGAAGGTAGCAAGCCAAGCTGATGTTCTGCAGGACAGTGTGCCAAGCAGAGAGAAGAGCCACTCACAAGGCCCTTGGGGACAGGTACTGGAGGAATGCAAAGGGGCCAGTGTGAGTGGAGTGGATGAGGCTAGCAAGAGGAGACAGATACTGCAGGGTCTTGTAGGCCATTGATAGGTCTCAGCACCCTGCTAAAACCATGACCACTGCGTCATGTGTAACCCTGACATTTGCAAAGCATTCATTTTCAGTGTTTGCTTATATCCTTGATCAAACTTGGTTCAACCCCGAGAGGAAGAGAAGCAGACCACTTCTCATTGTCTCCACTTTAGAGATAAACCAGACGCCAAGAATACTGAATAAATGACCAACTTCTCAGAGGGTGATTTGACCTCCCGTCTCTTAATTTCTAGACTGTTGCTTTTTCTACTGCATCTTCATTGTATTTCAGGCCATTTGTGCTTTGAAAATGGAGAGCTGATAAAAACGAGGAAGCTCAAGCCTTATCCTCAGCAATTATCTTGGATCATTTTGATTCAAGGGCTCTCTCATTTCTTGGTTTATTTATCTCACTATCCACAGCTACAAAGCAATGGTGCAGGGTACACACAGCCCAGCTCTACTGGGCACCATTCGTACAGACTGCAGTGTGAATTGTGCCCCTTGGTGTTGAGCCAAGTGCAGGCACTGCTGTGGTGTACTGTCTTTCCTCATCTTGACTTTGTCTCTTATTTCTAGCCTCACATTTGAATTCTCTGTAGCAGAATTTCATCTTCCCAGTTTTGAGTTTTGGCAGTCCCTAGATAGAACATGGTTTGCACCCACACTTTCGCAAATAATTGACCTAGACCCAACCCAGTCTTGAGACATCTTCTGGCATTAACTGCCTAGAAGGTATCTCAGTTGTTCCTGTTCCCTCCTGTCCCTCATGCCTAACAAGATTTGGGACAGTTTTGAAACCACTTTTGCAAAAATTTTAAAAATGTGAAAATTATGACAGTAAAAGAGATCTGATCTAACCAATCTCCATCTTGCCTTTAACTTCCAGACTGTCCTTGGCCATTCCTAGGCTTGGGTCTAGCTAACTTTGGGAGAAATTTAGTTTATCATTTAAATGATAACAGCCCTTCCCCAAAAGTAAACCATCTTTCTAAAACTAATGAAAGACTACCAGGTTAGGAGGATGAGAGGAGGCTGAATTCTGCTAAGATGTAGGCAGAATAAACTATTACCTATAAACAAGGTAATGAACCATTACCGGCCATTATTCCAGAGGTCACAAGATTTGCAAATTCTCCGATTACTCCTGTAGATAACATCGCTATTGTGGAACCTAACAAGATTGGCCTTTTGAGATGTCCTTTCAGATTTTTGCATTTCTAACTACCAGATGGCCCACCCGGACCCAGGACTCTGCTCCTGTGGCTCCTACCCAGAAGGGACTCTGTACAAGGACCACTTTCCACACCGCTGTGATTGCATCCAATCAAGCAGTACCCATTCCCTCAGCCCCCCGCCCACCAAACTATTCTTAAAAAACCCTAGCCTCTGAATTCTCAGGGAGATTGATTTGGGTAATAACTTCATCTCCCACATGGCATGGCTGGTCTTGTGTCAATTAAACTTCCTTATTGCAGTGTCACGGTTGCAATGAATTGGTTTTGTCTGGACAGTGGGCAGGAAAAACCCATGGAGCAATTACAGTTTCCTTCTATATCTAACTATCCACCCTTGAGGAAATCAGCTCATAATCTTAGGTAGTTGGTATTTATCTCTGATTCTTGTGTTTATATATTTCAAATCCTCCCAAACCTTGGGCTGCAAGTTTTTTCTGTATGCTGTCTTTGTGGGGTCTTTGGCAGTTTTTTCACAAATGACTAAGCTTGAGCCAATTTGATGAATGGAGTCTTTAGAAACGGATTCTCGTTTGACACACAGATCTGCTAAGCTAATAAACTTTGTTATGAGCTGAGCAAATTTCCTCTTCTGGAATCTTCCCTGTGGTGACCGGCCTGTGCTGGGGAGGAAATCAGCTGCTTTCTCAAGGGCCTTTGTGTCCCCAGCCCCTGCTGCAAGTTACAGAGGGGTGACCTCTACCATGTACTTTCCCACGCCCCACCTCCTGACTCTGGGGTGTGCGAGTGAGTGTGAGAATCCTTGAAGTTACATAACAGAGAGCTCAGGCAACAGACTGCTTCTGCTTCCTCCATCACCAGGAGAGCTTACTTCTGACTTTGGATCCCAATTCTTCACTAAGGATGCCCTGTCCTTTCTCAATTAAATTTCCTTTCACTTCCTCTAACCCTTCAATCTTGGATTCCCTTTGATCACGTAGTTCTGTTAATCCATAGCCAGGAAGTTTTTGGAAGAAACAGAGGCACCCTTTATCTCTTAACATATGAAATACATACAGGATATACGCATATGAGCACATGCAGTACCAATATGGCACCATGCAAGGACAGCCATCAGAGGATATCCCCACAATGCAACAGCAAATTTTCTTGCTTTCTTATTTACTTATTTATTAATTTTTATTTTTTGAGATGGCATCTCACTCTGTCACCCAGGCTGGAGTGCAGTGGCCCGATTTCGGCTCACTGCAACCTCCACCTCCCGGGTTCAAGTGATTCTTCCGCCTCATCCTCCCGAGTAGCTGGGACTATAGGCGCGCATGCTAATTTTTGTATTTTTAGTAGAGACTGGTTTTCACCATATTGGCCAGGCTGGTCTCGAACTCCTGACCTCGTGATCCACCTGCCTTGGCCTCCCAAAGTGCTGGGATTACAGGCGTGAGCCACCGCACCCGGCGTACCAAACCAATAAAAGAAAAAAAACCGCTCACAAAGCAGGCCACACTGACCCTCCCAATAGTGACGCAAGATAGAATTTCTGGGAGGGGTGTTATAAGAAATTAAGAACTATATATTTGATTTCTGCCCCTGGTTCCTGGTACAAGAGCGTCTAAGAACCCCTAGGAGCTCCCTGAGTGATGGGAGTGGGAGGAGCTTCTTTTGTCGTTCCTAACAAGTTGGGGACTGGTTGCCAGAGGAATCAAATTCAGCCCCATCACCCGCCCCAAACCTAAGGAAGGGGAGAGAGGCTGGGGATTGAGTTAATCACCAATGGCCAATGATTTAATCAATTGTGTTTATGTAATAAAACCTCCATAAAAACCCCTAAATAATGGGGTTTGGAGAGCTTCTGGACTGGTGAACACGTGGAGGTGCCTAGAGGGTGGTGCTCCTGGAGAGGGCATGGAAGCTCTCTGCCCCTTCCCCATACATTGTCCTGGGCGTCTGATACGGTTTGGCTGTTTCCCCACCAAAATCTCAACTTAAATTGTATCTCCCAGAATTCCCATGAATTGTGGGAGGGGCCCAGGGGGAGGTAATTGAATCATGGGGTCAGTCTTTCTCGTGCGTGCTATTCTCGTGATAGTGAATAAGTCTCACGAGATCTGATGGTTTTATCAGGGGCTTCCGCTTTTGCTTCATTCTCATTTTCTTTTGCCTCCGCCACGTGAGAAGTGCCTTTCGCCTCCTGCCATGATTCTGAGGCCTCCCCAGCCATGTGGAACTGTAAGTCAAATTAAATCTCCTTTTCTTTCCCATCTCGGGTGTGTCTTTATCAGCAGCGTAAAAACGGACAAATACAGCCTCTCTTCCATACGCTGTTCCTGAGTCGTGTCTTTTATAATAAACGAGTAGACTGTTTTCCTGGATTCTGTGAGGCAGTCGAGCAAAATATTAAATCCAAGCATGGGGTCGTGGGGACCCCTTATTTGTAGCCAGTTGGCCAGAAGTTTGGAGGTCCAGATTTACTACTGGCATCTGAAGTGGGGGGCTTGTGTGTGGGACTGAGCCCTTCACTAGTGGGGTGTGATCTAACTCCTGGTGGTTAGTTTCGGAATTGAGTTGAATTACTGGACACCTAGTTGATGTCTGGAGAGTCACAGTGTTGGTGATTGGTGTGGAAAAAAAACAAAACAAAACAAAAAAACCTCCCGCATTAGGTGTCACAGGTGTTGCGAGTATAAAAACAGTTTTTTCCTCAGGTGGGCAACAATCGCTTTCTTGCTTCTGGGGCAGGAGGATGTAAAGGAGGGAGATGAGGCAGTGGGGCACTGAGTGAATCTGGCCTGGGGTTGGTTAAGGCTGTTTCAGGAGAACATGTGGAAACTTACATCAGAATCACACTGAATAATTCTTAAAGTCATATATAGCTGCTGCTTCTTATTCATGGTAGTTATGGTCTGTAAAGTCGCTGTAACACTAAATTAGTGAATACTGAGTCATTGCTCCTAATGGAAATACAGGCACCTGCAAGCCTCTGGTTACAGTATTTTCCTCCAGTGGTCAATACATAACCTTGTTTGACGTGTATCACTGTTTGAAGACACTTTATTTAACATTGTTGATTCATTGACACTGAACTCAAGGCCAACAGCACTATCATTCCTAACTGAGCAAAAGCTTATCTGACACATGTATTTCTCTATAACATATCACAGCCTTCTTGCACTTAGGAACACTAGGCCAGCAGTGTTTGGCACCAGGGACTGGTTTCATGGAAGACTATTTTTTCATGGACTTGAGTGGGGATAGTTTCAGGATGATGCAAGCCCATTACATTTATTGTGTACTTTATTTCTATTATTACATTGTAATATATAATGAAATAATTATACAACTCATGGTAATGTAGAATCAGGGGAAGCCCTGAGCTTGTTTGCCTGCAACTAGACAGTCCCTTCTGGGGATGATGGGAGACAGTCACGGATCATCAGGCATTAGATTCTCGTAAGGAGTGTGCAACCTAGACCCCTTACACGCACAGTTCACAGTAGGGTTTGTGCTTCTATGAGAATCTAATACCACCAGTGATCTGATAGGAGGCAGAACTCAGGCAGTAATGCAAGCAATGGGGAGCAGCTGTAAATACAGATGAAGCTTTGCTCACACACTGCTAACCTCCTGCTATGGGGCCCAGTTCCTAAAAGTCCACAGAACAGTACCAGGCCCAGGAGTTGGAGACCCCTGCACTAGACAAAACTTCAGCAGCTACACTTGCGGGCCATTTTAAATAGCAAAATTACCAACACAAAGCACGCACAAAACCCATGATACAATGAAAAGGACACTCGTTTACATCATGAGAGCTGAAACAGAAAGGCAGAGTAATCATGTCAGTATTTCAAATGTCTTGCTACTCTATGGATGTGCACAAACACTGCAGAAGTGGCATGTGTATTGATTCTGAGGTTAGAAATACATTTTAGGGAGCAGGCAAATTCACAAATATGGAATCCATGAATCCGTGTCTCAGTCAATGTACGGTCATGTGCTGCATAATGACGTTTTGGTCAATGACAGACCACATATACGATGGTGGTCCCATAAGATTATAATGGAGCTGAAAATTTTCTATTTCCTAGTGATATTGTAGCTGTCATAACAAATGTCATAGTGCAATGCATTACTCCCATGTTTGTGGTGACACTGGTGTAAACAAACCTACTTCACTGCCAGTTATGTAAAAGTATAGCACATACAATTATGTATATTACATCATAATACTTGATAGTGATAAAATGACCAAGTTACTGGTTTATGTGTTTACCATACTATACATTGTAGCATCATTTTAGAGTGTACTTCTACTTATTAAAAAAAAAAGCTAATTGTAAAACAGCCTCACATAGGTCCTTTAGAGAGTATTCCAGAATAAGACGTTGTTATCCTACGAGATGACAGCTCTGTGATTGTTACTGTCCCTGAAGACCTTCCAGTGGAACAGGAGTGGAGGGGGAGGACAATGATATGGATCATCCTGACCCTGTGTAGGCCTAGGCTAATGTGTCTGTTTGTGCTTTAGTTTTTAACAAAAAAGTTTTAAAAAGTAAAAACTAAAATAAAAAATTTAAAAATAGAGAAAAGCTTATAGAATAAGGATATAAAGAAATAAAATATTTTTGTACAGCTGTACAGTGGGTTTGTGTTTTAAGCTAAGTGTTATTACAAAAGAATAAAAAAGTTTAAAAAGTTTTTAAAGTTTGTGAAGTAAAAATGTTACGGTAAGCGAAGGTTAATTTAATATTGGAGAAAGAATTTTTTTAAAAATTTACTGTAGCCTAAGTGTACGCTATTTACAAAGCCTACAGTGTTGGACAGTAATGTCCGAGGCCTTCACATTCACTCACTCAGGGCAGCTTCTAGTCCTGCAAGTTCTTTTCATGGTAAGTGAACTATACAGGTGTAGCATTTTTTATCTTTTGTACTGTATTTTTACTGTACCTTTAATTTTTTAATTTTTTAATTTTTCCATAAGTTATTGGGGGACAGATGGTATTTGGTTACATGAGTAAGTTCTTTAGTGGTGATCTGTGAGATTTTGGTGCACCCATCACCCAAGCAGTATACACTGCACCATATTTGTAGTCTTCCATCCCTCACCCCTGCAAGTCTCCAAAGTCCGTTGCACCATTCTTATGCCTTTGTGTCCTCACAGCTTAGCTCCCACACATCAATGAGAACATAAGATACTTGGTTTTCCATTTCTGAGTTACTTCACTTAGAATAATAGTCTCCGATCTCATCCAGGTCGCTGCAAATGTTGTTAATTCATTCCTTTTTATGGCTGTGAAGTATTCCATCGTGTATATATATATATACCACAGTTTCTTTATCCACTCGTTGATTGATGGTCATTTGGCTTGGTTCCACGATTTGCAATTGTGAGTTGTGCTGCTATAAACATGCGTGTGGAAGTATCTTTTTCAAATAATTACTTCTTTTCCTCTGGGTAGATACCCAGTAGTGGGATTGCTGGATCAAATGGTAGTTCTATTTTTAGTTCTTTAAGGAATCTCCACACAGTTTTCCATAGTGGCTGTACTAGTTTATATTCCCGCCAGCAGTATAGAAGTGTTCCCTGTTCAGCACATCCACACCAATATCTGGTTTTTGATTTTTTGATTATGGCCATTCTTGCAGGAGTGAGGTGGTATTGCACTGTGGTTTTGATTTGCATTTCTCTGATGATGAGTGATGCTGAGCATTTTTTCATATGTTTGTTGGCCATTTGTATATCTTCTTTTGAGAATTGTCTATTCATGTCCTTAACCCGCTTTTTGATGGGATGGTTTGTTTTTTTTTCTTACTGATTTGTTTGAGTTCGTTGAAGATTCTGGATATCAGTCCTTTGTTGGATGTATAGATTGTGAAGATTTTCTCCCACTCTGCATTGTCTGTTTACTTTGCTGACTGTTCCTTTTGCTGTGTAAAAGCTCTTTAGTTCAATTAGGTCCCAGCTATTTATGTTTGTTTTTATTGCATTTGCTTTTGGGTTCTTGGTCATGAAATCCTTTCCTAAGCCATTGTCTAGATGGGGTTTTCCATTGTTATCTTCTAGAATTTTTATAGTTTCAGGTCTTAGGTTTAAGTCCTTAATCCATCTTGAGTTGATTTTTGTATAAGGTGAGAGATGAGGATCCAGTTTCATTCTCATACATGTGGCTAGCCAATTATCCTAGCATCATTTGTTGAGAGGGTGTCCTTTCCCCACTTTGTTTTTGTTTGCTTTGTTGAAGATCGGTTGGCTGTAAGTATTTGGGTTTATTTCTGGGTTCTCTATTCTCTTCCACTGGTCTTTGTGCCTATTTTTATACCAGTACCATGCTGTTCTGGTGACTATGGCCTTATAGTGTAGTTTGAAATCAGGTTGTGTGATGCCTCAAGATTTGTTCTTTTTGTTTATTCTTGCTTTGGCTATGAGGGCTCTTTTTTGGTTCCATATGAATTTTAGAATTTTTTTTTCTAATTCTGTGACGAATGATGGTGGTATTTTGATGGAGATTGCCATGCTTTTGGCAGTATGGTCATTGTCACAATGGGAGATATTACAAATGACACCACTGAAATACAAAAGATCATTCAAGGCTACTATGAACACCTTAACACACATAAACTAGAAAACCTAGAAGAGATGGATAAATTGCTGGAAAAATACAACCCTCCTAGCTTAAATCAGGAATAATTAGATACCCCGAACAGACCAATAACAAGCAGCGACATTGAAATGATAATTTAAAAATTACCAACAAAAAAAAAAGTGCAGGACCAGACGGATTCACAGCAGAATTCTTTTTTTTTTTTTTTTTTTTTTTTTTTGAGATGGAGCCTCTCTCTGTCGCCCAGGCTGGAGTGCAGTGGCGCAATCTTGGCTCACTGCAAGCTCCGCCTCCCGGGTTCATGCCATTCTCCTGCCTCAGCCTCCCGAGTAGCTGGGACTACAGGCGCCCGCCACTGCGCCCGGCTAACTTTTTGTATTTTTAGTATAGACGGGGTTTCACCATGGTCTCGATCTCCTGACCTCGTGATCCGCCAGCTTCGGCCTCCCAAAGTGCTGGGATTACAGGCGTGAGCCACCGCGCCCAGCCCACAGCAGAATTCTTCCAGACATTCAAAGAAGAATTGGTACCAATCCTATTGACACTATTCCATAAGATAGAGAAAGAAGGACCCCTCCCTAGTTTATTCTATGAAGCCAGCATCACCCTAACACCAAAATCAGGAAAGGGCATAACCAAAAAAGAAAACTATAGACTGATATCCTTGATGAACATAGATGCTAAAATCCTTAACAAAATACTAGCTAACTGAATCCAATAACATATCAAAAAGATAATCCACTGTGATCAAGTGGGTTTCATACCAGAGGTGCAGGGATGGTTTAACATACACAAGTCAATAAATGTGATATACCACATAAACAGAATTAAAAGCAAAAATCAAATGATCATTTCAATAGATGCAGAAAAAGCAGTAGACAAAATCCAGCATCTCTTTATGATTAAAACTCTTAGCAAAATTGGCACACAAGGGACATACCTTAATGTAATAAAAGCCATCTATGACAAACCCACAGCCAACATAATACTGAATGGGGAAAAGTTGAACACATTCCCTCTGAGGAGTGGAACAAGACAAGGATGCCCACCCTCACCAGTCTTCTTCAACATAGTGCTAGAAATCCTAGCCAGAACAATCAGACAAGAGAAAGAAATAAAGGGCATCCAAATCAGTAAAGAGGGAGTCAAACTGTCCCTGTTTGCTGACGATATGATCATTTACCTTGAAAACCCTCATGACTCCTCCAGAAAGCTCCTAGAACTGATAAAAGAATTCAGCAAAGTTTCTGGATACAAGATTAATGTACACAAATGAGTAGCTCTTTTATACACCAAAAGCGACCAAGTGGAGAATCAAATAAAGAACTCAAACCCTTTTACAATAGCTGCAAAAAAAATGCAGTACTTAGGAATGTACCTAACCAAGGAGTTGAAAGACCTCCATGAGGAAAACTACAAAACACTGCTGAAAGAAATCATAGATGACACAAACAAATGGAAACACAACCCATGCTGATGGATGGGTAGAATCAATATAGTGAAAATGACCTTACTGTACCTTTCCTATGTTTAGGTATGTTTAGATACATAATACCTACCGTTGTGTTATAATTGCCTACAATATTTAGTACATTCACATGCTGTTACAGGTTTGCAGCCTAGGAGCCAAAGGCTATGCCATGCACCCTAGGTGTGTAGAAGACTATCCCATCTAGGTTCATGTAAGTTCACTCTACGATAATCACACAATGATGAAATCACCAAATGACGCATTTCTCAGAAAGTATCTCAGGTGTTAAGCAACATGCGACTGTATATAGTATACGTGTCTGGGTCTTATTATAGAATGTGGTCTTCATCAAGCCCTCCCAGGCATTATACGTACATTTGAGGGCTGGATATAATGGATTCTTCCTGACTATTCAAATCAAAGCTTAGGTGCCCAGAGTGTGCAGGACTAGGTAAAGAGAATACATTCAGCAACACTTACCTGGGCCTGGGTGCATGGCAGTTGGCAAAAGTTGACAAGTGTAGTTGGCAAAAGGATGCCAAGATCAAATAGATGTGAGTCTATGCACTCAGACATATGACAGACTCACTTCTAGGTGGGCTGACACAGCCCCATGTGAAAGGAGTGATGGCTTTCCTCTGTCACTGGCCTGGATGGAACCCAGAGGGGTTAGAATCGCCTATGCTCCTCTTTTAGTATTATTGAAAGGCTCCCAGGAGCTGTCTTCCAGTGCTGAGGCCACATGAGCTACTGGATCACCCACTGCCTGGGAAGCTGCATGGGGGCCTCACCACTGCTTTTGGTTCCCACTGCCAGGCCGCTGTGGCCAAGGGCTTCTGCCTCTGACTGTCACCTCCACAACACCTCTGTTGAGCCTCACTGCTGCACTTCCCAGGACCCCCAGAAGCCAACACCAATTGGTATTCTGAGCAGATGTAGAAGGATTCTTGTCAGTCCTGAGGCTGCCAGAACAGATAATCACAAACTTGGTGGTTTAAAACAGCAGGAATTTATTTCTCACATTTCTGGAGGCCCAAAGTCTAAAATCTGGCAGGGCTGCCCTTCCTCCCGGGGTTCCAGGGGAGATTCTTCTTTGCTTCTTTCTGCTTCCAGTGGCCCCAGGCATCCCTAGGCTGGTGGCCATATTACTTCTATCTCTATCTCCATTTTCTTTTCTTTCATGGCTCACTGCAACCTCCTTCTCCTGAGTTCAAGCGATCCTCCTGCCTCAGCCTCCCAAGTAACTGGCATTTCAGGTGCCTGCCACCACTCCCGGCTAATTTTTGTATTTTTAGTAGAGACAGGGTTTCACCATGCTGGCCAGGCTGGTCTTGAACTCCTGACTTCAAGTGATCCTCCAACCTCGGCCTCCCAAAGTGCTGGGATTACAGGTGTGAGCCACCACACCCAACCAGAAGATGCCAACTCTTTCCTGAATCTCCAGGCTACCGGCCTCCACGATCAGATTTTGGGATGGCCAAGCTTCCACAATAGCATGAGCCAATTCTTTAAAATAAATCTCTTTCTCTCTACATACACACACATCCTATTGGTTCCTTTTCTCTGGAGAACCTTGACTAATATATCTATGCTATGGTAAAGGACAAACAAAGCCAGTGGCGACAACACTATTTTTTTTTTTCCTGGCTATAGTTGACATGGCTCTGTTGACTATTGAGTTAAAAGGCTTATTATTCCTAGAAGTCACGCTGTAATGTTTATTTTCTTTTTGTATCTCATTATCTCAAACAGTAAATGCAGTTCATTTTTTCATATACGTACTTAATTTTTAGATTTGGGGTTATTGATATGAACAATTTCCTCATGCCTGTGTCTGGCATCTCTGTCGAGTTTTATAAGCAGGGATGGGAACCCCCACTTCAGCTTGGCTCTCAATTAGTGGTATTCAAAGTGTGATCCCCAACCAGCAACATCAGCATCCTTGGGAACTTCTTAGAAACACACATTTTCAGGCCCTACGCTAGACTTATTGAACTAGAAACTCAGGGAGTGGCCCGGCAATCTATGTTTCAAGATTAAGCTAAAGTTTAAGAACCACTGCTTTAATTATAGAAGACTAAGACATTTCCCCAATTTCCTGAATGATAGAAGGTACAGATACTCCTTCAAATAACTCTCTTGACTGATAGGAAAATAAATAAATTTCCAGATGGGTTATTGAAAAATGTGTACAACCAGAAATTCACATAGATTTAGAAAACAGTTCTAATTTGACTTTTGTTGCATCTCAGAAATTAGCAACAGTGGTGAAAACAATCAAATCTCAATCAGTGCTTAAGACATAGCCGTCACATCATTAGTTAGACTCAGTTCCCCTTCATTCCTGATTCTGTGCCTTCCCTGTTACCTAAATTACCCATCCTTCTTTCTAATTTATTGATTCATTCAAGGCCCAGCTGAGGTTCTTTCTTCCTTGTAAAGCCTTTTAGCTACACTATTCTCTCCCCGTTTACCATCTACCTGGTTAGATTATTGCATTTTCTCATTTAGTTAAATAACCTTGGATTGCATTGATATTTATATTTTCTCCCCAGAAAATATTGCAAATATCTGGAGGAAAAGACATGCAAATTTAGGTGATTGTCTGTGCCCCACAGCACCTAGCATGGTTTTGCCATTAATGGCAAAAACCAGAATTACTTTTGCTCTCAACCTAATACATAAGCAACTACTGCTTGTTAAGTTGAATTGAACTACAGTGGTATCATCAATTTTATTGGTATCTGGCAAATGCTAACAGATTTGCTTATCTTTTATTTAGCTATCGTGAAAAAGTCTCCATTCCTTGCCCTGGAGGAGTTACAGTCTAGAAAAAGGAAAGTAAATATACACAAGTAAATACCAAAAGTCAAACTGGGCCCTTGCAGAGGCACAAACCACATGCCACAGGATCACAGAGGTGGGAGCAATGTAACAGCATCCAGGAGAGCTGTACCTTCAGCATCCAGAGCACTGCTAGGGCTCAGTAAATATTTCTGATGGACTAAGTGGTGTCCAGATTTTTTATTTTTTACAGTAACTAGACTGGAACTTGATACATACTCAAAAAATTGTTCATGGGCTGACGAATCAACTCTCCAATTCTAGTGCCATCTGGACTCATGCCATGCCAGCCTCACAGGCCAGGAATACACCTGATATGTGTATTTAGAATCAGGAGATTCTAAAGTCTGTGAAACTTAGTTGATTCTATAGCAGGAATTTGCCTTTGCATAGAGTACATCAGGAGTGTGCTTCTCCTGCACAGGGCATTTGGAATTCTGTTGTGGTGACTACATCTGGCTTCCCTTAGAGAGTAAACAACATACTCTGCATCATCTCACGATTCTCAGGCATCTGCTCAGCAAACTCTGCATCCCTGGGAGCTGAACAATTCTGTTCCTCCTGGAGATCCTAAATTTGATCTTGTAGAACTCAGTAGGTGAAACTCCCCATGCTTTCGCTAACATGATTCACAAGTCCACCAACACAGCTGCCCTCCTTTGAGCTCTGGGACTGCTGAGAAACCCTGGGCTGAATAAAGGACCTCTTCTTGAATAGGGATGGTGACTTCCCTAGCCCAGGGGTTTGTTACTTATTAGGAAGAAAGTGATATACGCATAAATTGGGCAACTTTTGGGTGTACTAGAAAGAAGACTAGAATGAGAGCCAGGAGATTGCAGTTCTGAGCTCCATCGTTAGCTAATTGTGTGACTGTGGGAAAATCAACAATTCGTAGGCTTCAGTTTTTTTTTTTGCAGAACAGTTTGTCCAGCTTATACAATCATTCTGGCTTCAACATTCTATTATCTGTGATTTCACTGTGGTTTTATGCCTATTTATTATCAGTCTCCATGTAACAAAGAAGGTGTTTGCCTGAAAACACTGTGTCTAACTTGTTTATACCTTCATACTTTCTCAAGATTCAGGATAATTTATCATTATTTTCTGCATACTTCAGAGATTTCTGGCAAATTCTAATATATCAATCTCTTTATATCTGATTTATAAAGCGTAGGACTAATCTTGAGTTTACTCTTTCATTTGCTGTATTTTAAAATCAACCCTAATTATCCAGACTATAAGATCAAGTTCTAAACCATAAACAAAAGAATTTCCATAATTTAAATCGTATTTTTCATGAACAAACACTCACTGGAGATCAGAGAGGTTGGAACTGTAGAAATTGAAGTTACTTAGACGTCAGTGTCTACAAGACTGCCTGGCCCAGAATGGTTGGTATTTTTAGAAGCTGATTTAGAGTTCTATTGAGAAATGTGAGTGTGATAAAATTACTTCCAGCAGTATTTGTTGGCTGAGCTGAACAGTCTTGAAGCCTGCTTTGTATCGAATGACAGGGTGAACAAAGTGCATGGGAGTATGGGATCTGACGCATTCAGGGATCCTTTTTTATTTTTTTCGTAAGCTTCTAGGTAGAGCTAATCCCAAACACCAAAAAAAAAAAAAAACACCGCATTCTCTCTAGGGACTTTTATGGTATCTTCGGTTGACTTGAGGGTTGCAGTATTAGGGACTATGTGGTTCTCAATTTAGGATCGTAGGAGGACACTTCCTTATGTCATATTTGACATAATGGCAGCAGAGGTGGCATACCAGTGGTGAGAAGGGAGGGAAGTCCTGGTATCACTGCTGGGCTCAGGAGTGTGGGAGGGACCCAGAGCCCTGAGACAGTGAGGAATTAAAAGGCTGTATCTAGGCCGGGCATGGTGGCTTATGCCTGTAATCCTAGCACTTTGGGAGACCAAGGCAAGTGGATTGCCTGAGCTCAGGAGTTCGAGAACACCCTGTGCAACACGGTGAGACCTCATCTCTACTAGAATACAAAACATTGGCCAGGCACGGTGGCAGGCACCTGTAGTCCCAGCTACTCAGGAGGCTGAGGCCCGAGAATCACTTGAACCTGGGGGGCGGAGGTTGCAGTTAGCCGAGATTGCACACACTGCATTCCAGCCTGGGCAACAGAGGAAGACTCTGTCTCCAACAAGTAAATAAAAGTAAAATAAAATAAAAAGCTTTATCTAGATGTTCTCAGGTTAATATGCATAAGGTCTTGTAGACAGTCTCAGGAAACATTAATGAGAATTCTTGATTTGCTGGAGTTGTTGTTTTGTTTTGTTTTGTTTTGTTTTGTTCTTTGTTTTAGACCATCCTTGGGCAGGAAATCCAAACTTCCCATTATTAATCGTATCAATGACTGTCATCTTTTGAGGACCTACCATAGCCTAGACCTGTGATGTCTAATACAGTAGCCACATTGGACTATTTAAATGTAAACTTAAATTTAAAAATTAATTCCTCGGTCACATTAGCCACATTACAAGTAGTCAGTATCCACCTATGTAAAACTGGACAAAATACGGAATTTTCATCATTACGGAAAGTTCTATGAGACACTGCTGTGAGCATTCTCTAAATATACTTTGGGCATTATTCCTAATTCTCACACCTCACTACAGTCAGTATTATTACCCCATTTTTGCTGCTGAGGAAACTGAATTTCCGAGGGATTCAGTGACTTGGCCAAGTTCATGTACACAGTACATGGCAGAGGTAGGGCTCGATTTTGAATTGGGCTGGTTCCTAAAGTCCTCTACCTCTCTTCACATCTTTCTTTCTTTTTCTCCCCTCCCCTCCCCTTCCCTCCCCTTCCTTTCTTTCCTTTCTTCCTTCCTTTCAACAGGGTCTCCGTCTTTCACCCAGGCAGGAGTGCAGTGGCATGATCATGGCTCACTATAGCCGCAAACTCCTGGGCTCAAGTGATCCTCCCACGTCAGCCTCCCAAGTAGCTGGGACTACAGATGCATACCACTGTGCCAGCTAATTTTTAAAATTTTTTGTAGAGTTGGGGTCTTACCACGTTGCCCAGGCTGGTACACCACATTTCTTGATTACAGTTTCTCACCATGGCATTGTCTTTTTCAAAAAGTCTTTCGTCAGGACATTCATCAAAGAATAGAATTATCTTTGAATTATTGAGTTTTAAGTAGACAGTTCTTAGACACAGGGATGCGGTGTAGAGTATCTCAATAAAGGGATTTAAGTAGTCAGGAGAATGGCCTAAGAGCTTCAGTGTGTTTATGTATAAATACACTTTTTTTTTTTTTTTTTTTTTTTTTTGAGACAGAGTCTTGCTCTGTCGCCCAGGCTGGAGTACAGTACTGTGATCTTGGCTCACTGCAACCTCTGCCTCCCAGGTTCAAGTGATTCTCATGCCTCAGCCTCCCACGTGAGTAGCTGGGAGCACAGGCGTGTGCCACCACACCTGGCTAATTTTTGTATGTTTTAGTAGAGATGGGGTTTCGCCATGCTGGCCATGCTGGTCTCGAACTCCTGGCCTCAAGTGATCTGCCTGCCTCAGCCTCCCAAAGTGCTGGGATTACAGGCATGAGTCACCACGCCTGGCTTTGTCAATACACTTTTATCACATTTAGTCTTAAGTAATGCAAACCAGATTTGAAGCTGTTAGACTATACCTGATATAGTCCAAGAAATGAATGTGTACAGCCTGGAGTACATCATTCTAACATGCTCCTACAGTCAACAAGGGCCAACCTGCCATTGGGTATTGCCTAGAAACCAAGAGAAACATGCAGAAAATATGACTCCGTCTTATAGAAAAGTATGTTTTGTCTAAACTTCGAAGAGACTGTGTATATATTCTAGAATGCACCTCAAGAAAGGCTTAAAAACACTGGATGGAAAGAGCCCAGATATGGGGAACTAAATTCATTAAAGAATGGATAACCTCTAGGTGAAGGGAGAAAACATGTGTGAGCTTTTGCCAACGGCGTTCTAAAGGGAGGATTGTGACTGGAGCAGCTGGCCTGTTTTTCAAGACAGACCATGGACCTGGCTTTGTCTTTTTTTTTTTTCCTTAACGCCTACAGCATGTTACACATTACTGGTATACAGTTATTGCTCATTAATCATTTATCGAATTGAACCATATGTAAGAATTTTTTGCCTCCAACAATCCTGATGAAAGAATTAGAATAAAGGGATAGATGATATAATGAGGCATTTTCTGTTGATTTTGGATAAGTAGCTTCTGTCTCCTCTAATGTGCACATTCTCTTCTGCAACACATTTGTCTTTGATGCTGTGATTGGCTTACTTGCCTAACACTGTGGTTCACCTCGCAAATGTGTTGTGAGAAGACAAGTTTCATTACACCCCTCCGATATGCCAATCCTTCAAGGTCAACAGAACTCCGCTCCAGAGGAGTCCACGTGCCCCAGCTGCCCACAAGTTGGTCCCAGTACAGACTGTGAGTCCTTGAAGCTTGGATGTCTGCCCTGGAAGGCAACCTGGACAGAGATGACACCAGCTGCACTCAAAAGGGAGCAAGGACAACATGTTTATGACACATTGCTGGAGGGCAATGGAGGGAATGGGGTGGCCAGAGGGAAACACTCTGTCATGCCAACATTTTTCTAGAGGCAGTTGGTCATTTTCAAAGCCACTTCCTGTCAAGGTTACAGTGATGGGAGGCAGATCCCACCTTAACCTCGCATGCTGTGGATACTCATACCTCGTATTAATACGACATTATCAGGCCAAGTGCCAGGTGGGTTTGTGATTCACAAGGGACAAAACAATGGCACGTGCTGGGTGGTTGTCAGCTTTCCAACAGATCTGAATCCCAGAGCTGTGAGTTCCTGCTCTGCCTACCCAAACTCATAAAAACTACTGTAGAGCCTTCTGAAATGTGATATTTCTCCAAGCCAGAGAACAAGATTCATGTTGGGGATTTGTCCATGATTGCCATTTAACAGTTTTGTGACAGCTAAAGCAACTCCCTCTTGGTTGCTAACCCACCATGTTGACTTCTGATTAACTCCAGTTCCAGAAATGCCTCTAAGATTTCTATTTTATCTACTGTTCCTTGTGTAAGAGCATGTACTAACTGTAAATCTTGCCCATAAATCCTGCCCTTAGGCAGATGCACATAGCATTCTTGCCTTTTCCTACGATTGTGCTATATATTCCTTCCCTATGGTATATGAGCTCTGGGTTTTGGAGGGTGATGGCACCAAGATCCACCATCTAGACTCACAGCCACCCAGCACTCAGACATGGCTTCTGTTTGCAGCAATTAAATGTGTATGTTTTTTAAAAAATAAGAAACTGGATTTGTCAGCCTCTTTCTTTGACCTCTCAGCTTCTTTGGAATTCAAGGGTAAGTTTTCATTGGCCTGCCTACCTCAGAACAATTCCCATCTACTATGGACTAGTAGGGGTGTGGAAAAGGTAGGATCATTGTAGTGCAAAGAATGTTGTAAGGCTGAGAAGGAAAGGAGGTAATCCCCAGCAACTCTTATTCTCTGCTAGTTTCTAAACTCCTCCATAGAGCACTTTTGTGTCAGGTCAGTACATCTAGGAAGCTGTCTACTCATGCTGGGAATTCATTCAGTAAATCTTCAGTAGTGTTTGGCCATGAGAGGTCTATGTGAGCACATAGGAGGGCACCTAAGCTAAGCTGGGTTTGGGGAGTAGAGAAGATTCTGCCCAGAAAAAAATTATTAGATGATATGTGCAAAATAAGTAGCATTTCGGTAAAAAAAAAAAAAAAGACCTTGCAGAAAAGTGTTCTATGCAGTGGGAGTAGCATGTGCAAACGTGAGAGAGAGAATGAATATTCAGGAAAAAGCTTATGGTAACTGCAGCCTTAGACATGAAGCGATAACAGTATAGATGTGGATGGAGAGATGGGAAGGGCCAGCCAAGTCCCATCAGTCACTCAACCAGCAGCAGCTCTCACCATCTGGGTACTGGTACCAACTTGCCACTCTGTTTGATGTGTATTATTTTATGTACTATTCACAACAACCATAGGAAGTAGTTGCTGTTGTTTTCCCCAGTTTTAAAGCTAAGGAAACTGGGGCCTAGTGAATCTATATGACTTGTTCATGATGATCTTTCTGTAGTTGATTAATGAGAGTATCAGAATTTGAACCCAAGAATCTGTCACCAGGGTGATAAGGTCAAATCTCCAGTTGTATCAGTAATGTCATATATATATATATATATATATATGTTTAGATCAAGATCCAGTCAAGGATCATGCATGGCATTTAGTTGTCGTGATCATTTAGGCTTCTTTAATATAATATCCCAGCCTCTTTTTGTCTTTCATGATGGTGACATGTTTTAAGGATCCAGGACCATCGTTTTCTTATATAGTCATTTTTCTTATATAGTCATTGAATCTTACATAGTCATTTTTGTGTGTCTTGTTTAAGAATATTTTTCCTACCTCAAAATCTGAAAGATACTCATGTGTATTTTCTACTATGTTTTTCCCAACATTTTATTTTTTAAAATTTCAAGTCTACAGAGATATTATAAGAATAGTACAAAGAATATCAATATATCCTTCACTCGTCCATCCAGATTTATGAATTGTTGATATTTTGCCGTGTATACAAATTATTGCTATTATTATTAGTTTGCTGAAATATTTAGGAGTAAGTTGCACACATTAAACACTTTACCCCAAATATTTCAGCATATGTTTCCTACATTCTCCTATGTAACTACAATATAATATAATTACAATGCTCAAAGAAATGTAACACTGATACTGTTTTAGTATTAAATATGCATTTCATATTCTAATTTCTCCAGTTGTATCAATAATGTCATATATATGTATATATATGTTTAGATCAAGATCCAATCAAGGATCATGCACTGCATTTAGTTGTCATGATATTGTAGGCTTCTTTAATCTGGTATCCCAGCCTCTTTTTGTCTTTCATGATACTGACATGTTTTAAGGATCCAGGATCATCATTTTACAGAATGTCCTTCTGTGTGGATTTTCCTGATTGTTTCCTCTTCTTTAGATTCAAGCTATTATAGTATTTGTTTCTGGTTTTCCTGGCAGCATAAATCCTTGGTAAAGGTTCCCATCTCCTTTGGGACTTCTGCTAAAAATTCAAGCTCCTTTTCAGTCATTGTATTAATTAGGGCTGGGACTAAGCTACTATAATAGAGAGATCACAACTTAGGGGCTCAAAGAAGATAGGTTTTAATTTCTCTTTTACATAACAATCTACAAGTGAGCAGTCTGCAGTCCTGGTGAAATGACTTTTGCTCCACAAAGTCATCCAGGGACCCAGGCTCCTTCTATCTTATTGCTCCATCATTGTCATCCTCAAGAATTGATTCTTACAAAGTCAAAGCTCTCTTACTAGCACTGCATTGAAATTTCAGCCTGCAGGAAGGGGAAAGAGAAAGTTAAGAGCATGCAACGCCCTCTTTTCAAAGTATGAGATCTGGAAATTGCTCTTGTAACTTTCATTTGCATGCACATCTAGTCACCAAGGAGGCTGAGAAAAGCAATCAATACCTCGGAAGCCAATTCCCCAGCTGTAATATCGTGAAGTGTGTATTTGGTATTTGTCACTGTTTCCTGACATATAGCTCCTAAAATCCTTGGATTTGGGGTATCTTGTATACTAATGAGATGACTGGTGGCTGAGAGCCCCTAGATCACTTCAAGATAGTGGCTGATCAGGAGAAAGACCAAGGCATGATTAGAGGTTTGGGACTTTTGGCTCCACCCTGCATCACCCTTCCCAGTCTCTGGGGAAAAAAGTGGGGCTGAAGTTTAAGTTGATCCCAGTGGCCAATATTTAATCATTCATGCCTACATAATGAAGCTTCCATAAAACCCCAAAGGACTGGGTTCTGGGAGGTTTCTGATAGCTGAACATGTAGAGGTTCCTGTAGGGTGTTACTGTGTCCGGAATTGGTGGGTTCTTGGTCTCACTGACTTCAAGAATGAAGCTGCGGACCCTCGCGGTGAGTGTTACATTTCTTAAAGGTAGTGTGTCCGGTGTTTGTTCCTTCTGATGTTCAGATGTGTTTGGAGTTTCTTCCTTCTGGTGGGTTCGTGGTCTCGCTGGCTTCAGGAGTGAAGCTGCAGACCTTCGTGGTGAGTGTTACACTCATAAAGGCAGTGTGGACCCAAAGAGTGAGCAGCAGCAAGATTTATTGCAAAGAGCAAAAGAACAAAGCTTCCACAGTGTGGAAGAGGACCCCAGTGGTTTGCCTCTGCTGGCTCTGGCAGCCTGCTTTCATTCTCTTATCTGGCCCCACCCACATCCTGCTGATTGGTCCATTTTACAGAGAGCCGATTGGTCTGTTTTATGGAGAGCTGATTGGTCCGTTTTGACAGGGTGCTGATTGGTGCGTTTACAATCCCTGAGCTAGACACAAAAGTTCTCCACGTCCCCACTAGATTAGCTAGGTACACAGTGTGGATTGGTGTATTTACAAACCCTGAGCTAGACACAGAGTGCTGATTGGTGCATTTACAAACCTTGAGGTAGATACAGAGTGCCGATTGGTGCATTAACAATCCCTTAGCTAGACATAAAGATTCTCCAAGTCCCCACCAGATTAACTAGATATAGAGTGCCGATTGGTGCACCCACAAACACCGAGCTAGACACAGGGCGCTGATTGGTGTCTTTACAAACCTTGAGCTAGATACAGGGTGCTGATTGGTGTATTTACAAACCTTGAGCTAGACACAGAGTGCTGATTGATGTATTTACAATCCCTTAGCTAGACATAAAGGTTCTCCAAGTCCCCACCAGACTCAGGAGCCCAGCTGGCTTCACCCAGGGGATCTCGCACAGGGGCCGCAGGTGGAGCTGCCTGCCAGTCCCGTGCTGTGTGCATGCACTCCTCAGCCCTTGGGCGGTTGATGGGACCTGGTGCCATGGAGCAGGGGGCGGCGCTCAGGGAGGTTCAGGCTGCGCAGGAGCCCACGGCGGAGTGGGGGAGGCTCAGGCATGGCGGACTGCAGGTCCTGAGCCCTGCCCCACAGGGAGGCAGCTAAGGCCCCGGGAGAAATCGAGCACAGCAGCTGCTGGCCCAGGGTGCTAAGCCCCTCACTGCCCAGTTCCCAGTGCAGGGCCTGCTGAGCCCACGCCCACCCAGAACTCGCACTGGCCCACAAGCATCGTGTGCAGCCCCAGTTCCCACTCGTGCCTCTCCCTCCACACCTCCCCGCAAGCTGAGGGAACCGGCTCCGGCCTCGACCAGCCCAGAGAAGGGCTCCCGCGGTGCAGCGGCAGGCTGAAGGGCTCCTCAAGCATGGCCAGAATGGGCGCCAAGTCCGAGGAGGCACCCAGAGTGAGCGAGGGCTGCGAGGGCTGCCAGCACGCTGTCACCTCTCATTATGACTGGAGAAGGCATGGACGCTCCTGTGCCCCTTTCCCCATGCCTTGTTCTATGCACCTGTTCCATCTGGCTATTCATCTGTATCCTTAGTAATAGCCTCTAAAATCAAACAGAAAATGCAAGTAAAGTGTTTCCCTGAGTTATGTGGGCTGCTCTAACAAACGAATCAAACCCAAGGAGGGGATCATGGGAACCCCAATTTAGAGCTGACTGGGCAGAAACACAGGTCACAACCTATACTTGCAACTGGCATTTGAAGTGGAGACAGTCTTGGGGACTGAGCCCTCAACCTGTGAGATCTGACACTATGTCCAGGTAGACAATGTCAGAATTGAGTAAAATTAAAGGGCCCAGGCAGGGTGGCTCACACTTATGATCCCAGCATTTTGGGAGCCCAAGGCAGGAGGATCACTTGAGGCTGGGAGTTTAGACTAGACTGGCCAACATAGCAAGACCTCATCTCTGCAAAAAATTAGCCAAGTGTGGTGGCATGTGCCTGTAGTCCCAGCTACTGGGGAGGCAGAGGTGGGAGGATCCCTTGAGCCCAGGAGTTCAAGACTGCAGTGAGCTGTGATTGCGCTACTGCACTCCAGCCTGTGCCACAGAGTGAGACCCCGTCTCAAAAAAAAAAAAAAAGAAAAGAAAAAAGAAAAATTAAGAGGACACCCAGCTGATATTCACTGCTGAATTGATTGTTTAGTTGTTGTCTTGGGGAAAATCCCCACACAGGTGGTACCAAAAGTGTTCTGTGTTGATAATTCAGACCAGCTAAAACTCTGGTGGTTATATTAGCAACAGGAAGAAGGAAAGGCGGCCATTCAGGGAGCATTACTGGTCTCTGCCACAGCCATCCAGTAGGCTGTTATGTCCTCTGGTGAAGACTCAATACATGAACAAGCAGTTGAACTTATTAACCTAACCATGACTTCAGGTTCTCTTTCATAATACTTATTCAGATGTTTTCATCTCTAGGTAGAAGTATTAGAGATTTTTCTTAATGTAATTTTAAAATATCAAAAATACTTTGTATAATGAAAGGAACAACAGACACTGACGCCTACTTGAGGGTGGAGAGTGGGAGGAGGGAGAGGATTAAAAAACTACATATCAGTACTAGGCTTATTAACTGGGGTGATGAAATCTGCACACCAAACCCCCGCGACACACAATTTACCTGTCTAACGAACCTGCACATGTACCTCTGAACTTAAAATAAAAGTTAAAAAAAAAAAAAAACTTCATAAAAAAAAAAAGTCACGAGATCAAATTTTCAGGAATGGAAGGTTGTCATCCCGGGAAATTTTTATGTACTTTTATTCTCTCAATGAAAATAAAAATTGACGGGCTAGGCGCGGTGGCTCATGCCTGTAATCCCAGCACTTGGGGAGGCCAAGGCAGGCGGATCACGAGGTCAGGAGATCGAGACCATCCTGGCTAACACAGTGAAACCCCGTCTCTACTAAAAATAAAAAAAATTAGCCAGGCGTGGTGGCGGGCGCCTGTAGTCCCAGCTAGTCAGGAGGCTGAGGCAGGAGAATGGCGTGAACCCAGGAGGCGGCACTTTCAGTGAGCTGAGATCAGGCCACTGCACTCCAGCCTTGGTGACAGAGCGAGACTCTGTCTCAAAAGAAAAAAAAAAACTGACAATGATGAGAAAATTAATTTAAAAAGCAGAAACAGTGTGATTCGGTCTCAGGATCTAGTCTCCTCACTTTTCGTTCATCACTGAAGAGCCCTAGGAACAAGAAAAATAAGGTATTTTTAGGTGGTTTTATTTAAAGTATAAAAGGCACACTAAGGGCTAGTGATAGCATGTTAATGCCCACAGTGACCTCAGTCATTATTTAAACTTATTTCCTCATTTTATAGGTAAGGGAAAACCCAAGAGAGTTGATACAAATTGTAGATACTGGCTGGGTGCCGTGGCTCACGCCTGTAATCCTAACACTTTGTGGGGCTGAGGCAGATGGATTGCTTGAGCCTGGGAGTTCGAGACCAGCCTCTGCAACATGGCTAAACCCCGTCTCTACAAAAAATACAAAAATTAGCTGGGCATGGTGGTGGGTGTCTGTAGTCCTAGCTACTTAGCAACCTGAGGTGGGAGGATCACCTGAGCCCAGGAGATAGAGGCTGTGGTGGGCCGTGATTGTGCCACTGTACTCCAGCCTGGGTGACAGAGTGAGACCCTGTCTCAAAAAAAGAAATGAAACAATTTTTTTAAAAAAAGAAAGTTGTAGATGCCTTGCAGCTAGTTAGCTAAAACTCGAACTAAGTTTCCTGATTCTGGTCCAGATTGTCCTGCCGTGTCATACAACCTCTCATTGGTTTGAGTCAATTTCTCCTTTCTCACACATCTGGTTCCAGTCACTACACAGTCCACGTAATGCCTCTATCCCTTCCACGTTATCTGAAAAGAAGTGCGTTAAAAAAACCTCACAACAACAACAAACAGTTGTTGAAAGTATTTAAGTTATGTTTTTGAATCCCTTTCAAAGTAAAAGGAGAACACATGATATCTCAACTCTGGCATCTCCACCTCCCCTCATGCTTAGAGATGATTGTTCTGCCTTTGCCAAATTCCATTAGAAGTCACTGCCCAGATTCCAGTGCCCTTGATGATGTCAAAATAATGTAAACCTATTTATGTCAACAGCTTCCAAGGCCTCTTAGAAAAAAATGAAATCAAGCTGCAAGAGATAAGCCTATCTTTTGAACACTCTTTCCGCTTTGCTATGAAAGGGACCCACTTTATTTTACTTATTTTTGCTTTTATTCTTTTAGATTTTTATTGTTAAATATTGCAAATATAAAAATAAGAACAGAGAATAATGTAATATTCATATATCCACCACTGAACTCAAAGGACCCTTAATATTTTGCCATATTTGCTTCAGATATTTTCAGATTTTTTTAAAGGATATAAAACATTAGAAATGCAGTCAAGGCCTGATTCCATCTTTCTCACTTCCTCCTCTTTTTCCTTCTTTAGAGGTAACCACTGTCTTGAACTGAGTTTTTATTATATTTTTCGTTTTATATTTATTTAATAAAAAGCTCAGGTCTGTCTTCTATTATTTATTTTAATGGTAGTTTGGATTTTTCTCCACTGAGGTCTTTCATACTTGTTTATCTGTTAGCTTTATTCACTTGTCCATTATCATATTTGTTGCTATTATGCATGGACTTCTTTTTACCTCTGCTCTTTCAAAGCTATAGAAATATTTCTATTTTTGTTGTTTGTTTTCAAGCTTTGTTTTGTTGTTTTTGTTTGTAATTTAGGAGGTGTATTAGTTTTCTCTGGCTGCCATAACAAATTAGCATAAACTTTGTGGCTTAAAACAAAAGAAATGTATTTTCTCACAGTTCTAGAGGCTAGAAGTCCAAAATCAAGATGCAGGCAGGGCTGAACTCCCTATAGAGGCCCTAGGGAAGAATTCTCCCTGGCGTCTTCCAATTTCTGGTGGCTGCCAGCATTAGTTAGCTTGTGGCCCCATGACTCCAATTTCTGCTTCCATTACCTTTATTGCATTCTCCTTGTTCATATGTCATCAAATCTCCCTCTGTTTCCTTCTTAGAACACTTGTGATTAGCTGATGAATTCTCTTTATTACTTCTGCATCTTATATCTGAGAATACCTTTATTTTGCCTTCACTCTGGTGATACATTTGCTGGGCGCACATCCTGTTTACTATTATTTTCCCTTAACACTGTAAAATATTACTCTATTGTCATCTATTGTAGGTAAGTATGCTCTACATTCAATTCTTTGTGGGTAATTTACCCTTTATTTAAAGAGTGTTTAAGATTCTCTTTATCTCTAATGCTCTACGTTTTATCCTGCCCAGTCCTGAGCACCTTCGATCTGAAAATTCACATATTTATTTAATTTTGGGAAATTCTCATTAACTAATTCTTCAAATACTGCCTCTCCATCATTTCTTTCATTCTGTCCTGCCAGAGCTCCTGATAGTCCAGTGTTGGAAATGAATGCCTTTCAAAGTGTCTTAGAGCTGCTATTTACTTGTTTATTTCTTTGTCTTTCTGTGCCATCTTCAGTTTAGATTTATTTCACTTCTCTAATCTTCCATTTCACAAATTCTCTCTTCAACTGTTCATTCAAGACTTAAGCATAGGCAGCATTAGGATGTTATTTTAAAGCTAAGAGCTCTGCTACCAGCTTGTCTAGATTCAAATTCCACTTCTATTCATTATCTATTGGGCTTGGAAAGTTACTGGCTTCTCTGGATCTCAGTTTCCTCATGTGTAAAATGGGAATAATATAGTTAACTCCTAGTGTTTATGAATCTTAAGAGAGCCAATATATATATGAAGCATGGAAAATAGTTCTTGGCATAAAAAATATTAACTATTACTAACATTGGTCTATTAACATCTAAATTTATTACAAAAACATTTTAATGTTAAGACTTAATTTTCATATCCTTCTTTGCTGTTCTTAAAAGCAATTATATGTTATTTTTAATGCAAATTTGTCTTTGCTTATCTCTTTTGAACATCATAAACTTCCTTATTTTATTTATTTATTTATTATTATTATACTTTAAGTTTTAGGGTACATGTGCGCAATGTGCAGGTTAGTTACATAACATCCTTATTTTAAAGTCATTTTCATACTGCTCCAGGAAGTAAATTTCATCTAGAGCAAATTCCTATTCTGAGTTTTTGGGTCTGTTGGCTATTTTATTAAATGTCTTTGGTTTTGTTGCATAACAGGCTCATTTTGAAGGGGGATTTTTTTTTAAATCTCTCTCTTGCTTCACATGCACCCTTGGCTTATCTTTTTCTGACCAATTGTATGGTGGTCTCCATCTGGCCCTGCAGACTTCCAACTAAGAAGCAGAGTCTAAATTGTAGTTTGAAGTTCATTCTTACCCTAGACTAATACTGGGGGTACCAAAGAGAGTGTCACAGAACAAATCCTGTAACCACCCAATGGGTTCACCTTGCCCACTGGCTAGACAGAGCTGATTTATCAAGACAGGGGAATTGCAATAGAGAAAGAGTAATTCACACAGAGCCGGCTGTGTGGGAGACTGGAGTTTTATTATTACTCATATCAGTCTCCCCACACATTCGAAGAACAGAGTTTTTAAGGATAAATTTCTGGGGTATTGTTGGGAGTAAATTCTATTTTAAATTCTGAGTAAATGTTACGCTATCATTCCACCAGCAATCACCTAAGGCAAGTTAAGAAGCACTGGTGAAACTTAATAGCCACATACAATCGAAGTGTGAATGAAATGAATAAATATACAAATAAACTATGTAGCCATACCTACACATACATCATGCACTCGTTCTGTTACTGAAATGCCAGGGTTTCAGTCTAGGTTCTGTTACTTGCTGCACAGAAAGCCAATCACTGTGGCAATGAGTATTGCCAGGGAAGGAGGCTTTAATATGCTGCGGTCAAGGAGATGGGAGATCAGTCTCAAATTCTTCTCTCGGACCCACTAAAATCAATGTTTTATATAGCAGGGAAGGAATGTAATGATATGCAGGAAAACAGGAATGGGGGTGGGGCGGGTGGTAAGGAAGAGGAATTGGTCAATAGGAAGCAGGTGGTCAGGCAGTCGTGGTGGGTGAAGGGTCTGGCTTCTCATTGTCCAGATGTGATAATCTGGTAAGTTTCAGTTCCCTGATACTATCTGGGAGTCCTGATGGTTAGTTTCCTGAGAAAGGAACTCAGATAAGTGTAACTTTCTCAAGTTTTAAGACTGGGAGGGTCAATTTCTATGTTTATTCAAAAGAAACCATAAGCATCAGTTCTATGGGATAATTGAAGTGGTTTCCTTTCCACATTAACGTGTGTGTATGCATGTATGTGTGAACATCTCACAGTAACAGCTCACTGTAGCCTCAGCCTCCTGGGCTCAAGGCAGTGATTGCTTGAGGCTAAGAGTTCGAGACCAGCTTGGGCAACACAGTGAAACCCCATATCTTTAAAACAAAACAAAACAAAACAAAACAAAACAAAACAAAACATTAGCCGGAGGCTGGTGTGGTGGTGTGCTCCTGTAGTCACAGCTACTCAGGAAGCTGAGGAAGGAGGATCACTTGAGCCCACGGACTTAAGTTTGCAGTATGCTAGGATTGTGCTACTGCACTCCAGTCTGGGTGACAGAGCAAGCCCCCGTCTCCAAAATTTAAAATACAATATAAAAAAATGTTCATATCTGATGCACCCTGGGAAATTTGCAACATTCTTGAGGTAAGGTAAATGTTATCTCTGTTTAGTAAATGAAGAAACTAAAGGTAGAAGGTGCTTTGCAAAGCTCTTTTACAAGTGAACCTGTAGTAATCTGGTTTGAACCCAATGAACGTCTCATTGAGGCTGAAATAATAAATTTTGACATTTCTATTTCCATTCTGAGTTTATAAGTTCTTGTTACTAGGATGAAGGCTTTTTTTTTTTTTCCATTTTCGACTCCTTTTGTGAAATAAGGATAAACTAAATATGCATACAGTCAGTCATAGCAGGGAAACACTATGATAATCCAAATTGAAACACATCAGATAATCCAAATTGAAGGAATGTTTTACAAAATAACTGGCCAGGACTCCTCAAGTGTCAAAGTCATTAAAGAAAAGGAAAGACTAAGAATTGTCATAGAGGAGATGAAAGAGACACGGCAACTAGATAGGATGTGAAATCTTGGATTGGATCATAAACCAGAAAAAGCACATTGGTGGGGAAACTAGTGAAACTCAATGTCTGTAGGTTAGTTAATAGTATTGTATTAGTGTTAATTTCCTGGTTTTGATAATGGTACTGTGGTTATAGATGATGTTAACATTAGGGAAAACTATGTGAAGGGTAATTGGAAACTTTCTGTACTATTTTTGCAAATTTTCTGTAAATTTAAAATTATTTAAAACAAAAAATTAAAAGAAAACAAAAATACATTAGGTAAAATGGAAAGCAAACTTTCTTGCCTCATCCCTGAAGCCTTATTCTACCCCTTCACTTTGGGTTAGGCTGAGGCTGAAGTGTAGGAGGAGGAGTGGGTGGTTGTCAGACACAGAATAGAGGGTTATTGCATAGATTACTCACTAGTTGTTTAAATTGTGCTTTTATATGTCAATGAGGCCATTTTATATAGTGTATGCAATTGTAGTCAAAATAGCCCAAGTGGCCAAAGTAGAGATATCAACTTGGTCTCATCAAAATGTTGCATTTTAGACTCCAACTGTGTGTTTTTAAAAAAATATCACAAGGAACACTCAAAAATGTTCAAAGCGGTTATGTCTTGCTCAGACAATTGTGGGAGAATTTTAAAAAATCTTTATGTTTTCAGTAATTTTCAATTAAATCACAATTAGTATATTTCACATATATAGTGAAATTCAAATAATTTTTTTTAAATTTAACACAATTAGACATATGCCATATGATCATGGTGACAGACTGAATGTGCCAATGTTTATCCCATCCAATATGCTCTTCTTATAACGTGACAGTGGAATTTCTCCATCAGGAAGTCTATGTTACGTCCTCTTGAACATGGGCAAAACTGTCACTGTCTCAATCGGTAAAATACAGAGCATTGACACTGTATGACTCCTGAGAATAGATGATAAAAAGTACAGCTTTATCCTGGCTCTCTTTCCTTAAGAACACTTGCCTATGGGATCCAGCTATCACATTGTGAGCAAATCCAGGCCACATGCAGAAGTCATGTGTGGGTGTCCAGCCGGCAGCCCCAGGTAGGCCCAAATGAAAGAGCAGAAGTATTCAGATGATTTCAGCTCCCAATCTTCAAATATTTCAGCTAAGGCACAGATGAACTGAGATAAGCTGTCATTTCTCTACCCCATCTGAATTCCTTTTGCAAAGAAATCATTAAAATAAGTGATTGTTGTTGTTTTAAGCCACAACATCTTGGAGTAATTTGTTATTCACAGTACTTAATAAAAATATTAAAAACAAAATTATCAAAGTATCCAGCAATTCTACTTCTGTGTCTGTACCCCAAACAAGTAAAAGCAGGAATGTGAAGAGACATTTGTACACCCATTTTTGTGGCAGCATTGTTCACAAGAGCTAAAACATGGAAGCAACCCAGGTGTCCATGAATGGATGGGCAGAGAGTGGGATGTGCATACAGTGGAATATTGTTCAGTCTTTAAAAGGAAGGACATTCACACATATGATAAAACATGGATGAATCTTGAGAACATTATGCTGAGTGAAACAAGACAGTCACAGAGACAAATACTGTATGAAATACTTAGAGTGGTCAAAATCATGGAGATAGAAAATAGAATGGTGGTTGCCAGGAGCTGGTGGGAGGGGGAGAATCAGGAGTTATTGTTTAATGTGTATAGATTTTCAGTTTTACAAGATGAAAGGAGTTCTGGAGATGAATAGTGGTGAGATATGGAACATTTCCGTCATCTGAAAAAATTCCCTCTTGCCATTTTGTAGCTAATACCCTTCCCCCAAACTCCAGCCCTTCATAATCAAGGATAGTATCTCTGTCCTCAATGATTTTTCTTTTCTCAGATGTCATATAAGTGAAACCATACACTATATACCTGCTGTGTCTGGCTTCTTTCACTTATCGTAATGCTGGTGAGAATCATCCATGTTGCTGCATGTACCATACTTTGTCCCTTTTGATTGTTGACTTGTATTCTATTGTCTGTGCCACAGTTTATGTATATATTCCTCACTTGATGGACATATAGTTTCAATTTTTGATACTTTTTAATAAAAGTGCTATGAATATTCACATATACGTATGCTCTTTAATAAACACAAAAAGTGAGATCGCTGCGTTGTTTGGTAAGTGTTTGTTGGAATACAAAAGGCACTTGCAGATTGTTTTCTGGGTTAGTTTTCCCACTGCATTCCCAACATCATGTGAGAGATCTGGCATCTTCATATCCTTGCCAGCATTTGCATTGTCTGTTTCTGTTCTTGTCTTTAATTTTTATCATTCTGGTAGTGTGTAATGTAGCTCAATGAGATTTTGATTTTGATTTTTATAATGTCTAGTGACTTTAGGCGTCGTTTCATTTCTGGCTTTGCCATTTATATCTCTTCATTTGCACATGTATGGTTTTGGTTGTAAAAGTCCTTTATATTTTTTGAAATTAAAATCTTTATCAGACATGTATTATGTAAATATGGTCTCCCAGACCACAGCTTATGCTTTTATTTTTAAAAAATATTTACTGATGATGACTAATTTATTGTTGCTTTCTATTATGGTTTATAGTTTTACATCCTATATATGAACTATTTGTAAATAATAAGAACGCAAAAATTTTCTTTTATTTATTCTAGAAATGTTACCATTTTGGTTTTTACACTTTTTTGGTTCAAGTTGATTTTTGTATGTGGTACAAGAAATGGATAATGATGCATTTGGTACAAGTTGTCCAAGATATCACCACTTGTTGAACGTAGTGTCCTTTCTCTAAGGACTTACCCTGGAACGTTTGTTAAAGGTCAATTTGTTATCTGTGCGCATTGCTTTTTGGACATCCTATTCTGTTCCTTTTACATACATGTCTGTCCTTATGCCAGTGCTACATAATCTTGATTAACTGTACCTCTGTAGTAAATTCTAAAATCTAATTAAAAAAAGAAAAAAACGTATTACGGAGTAAATCAGGCAGTAATATTTCTCTAGACTTTATAATTTTGCAGAATTTTTAAAATTTATAATTTATTATGACTTCTTATTCTGTAAATAGCTGTTGGTTTTTACCACTAATTTCGTGATGGTTATTTTTCTTAAAGAGTTTCGCTCTCCCTAATTACATAAACTTCAGGCCCCCAACCATGGATCTGTGTGGGAATGTACAGTCTCCCAAACATACCTTCTGATTATCTGCCTCTGAGACCACATTCTTTTTCAAGGAGTATTAAATTAGAAGTCAATACTTCTACTCTTAATAGACTAACAAGGATTAGCACCATGTATGATAATTATGAGATAATAAGGCAGAGACTGCTGGGGTTTCAAGGAGTGGGGAGGAATAAAATGGAATCAGAAGATATGTGTTCGCTTAGTGTGCATGGATGGCTTTGTGCACAATGAAGACTATTTGTGGCTACTTTGAACAAAAATAATTTTTAATTTATTACTGTAATAATTTTAAATCCTAGTTCTCTTTAAGCCCCCTAGTTGATATTAAACTTTAAATTCATTTTATTCTAATTATAAATACAGTAAGCTTTAAAAATAATTTTTAAGGAAGTTTTTGATTACCATGTAATCAACTTATACTGAATAATGAAAATACCCTAAATAATCAACTTTATGACTTAATTTTATTTTTTCAAATGTTTTAAGCTGGTTTTGTAATTGTAATATACTTGATTTCTTTTGGAACATTTGGAATGGCTAGCCTAAAAAGCACATCGTCTTTACCTACCCATTCCCCTAAATCTAATTAAAACAATCTTTAAAATACAGTGAATCCCAAGTACCCTTAAACATTCCAGTATTGTTCACAAACCTGTTCTCTTATTCCTTTTGACCAAAAATCTCAAGCTGTAAAACAAATTAATTATATATTTTAAATTGGAATCACAGAGCTAATCTGTCAGACACACAAATATGCCAAATTCTCTTAAACATAACACTTTAAACATCAAATGCATGAATTATTCCTAAATTTAGCCCCAAGTTATTACTGAGCATTTGATTTACTATCTCTCTTTACTTCATTCTAAGTTCTTCCAGGATTAAATGTTTTACTGTCTTAGGTGAATTGGGGTCACCATCCTCAGGGACTTGCAGCACTTACTAATTAGATAATTGAGCCAAGATGAGAAACTCAACAGTCTCCAAGAATGGCTTCCGGATGAGCCATGCCTCTTGGAACCCAAATCCTTGTGTAGTGCCTGTTCTCAAATCTGGCCTGGTACTATGGCTCCAAATTGGTTTTATGTGAAACCAATAGAATTGGCAAAAATAAAATGCTACTGGCATCTGGTCTCCTGGAATGTTCACACTGAGGGAAGCCAGCTGCCATGTAAGATGCTTGACCAGCTTCAGGTCACCATGTCCTGGAGAAGCCCAAACTAGCTATGTGGAAATGATGTGTGTGGAGAGAGATGCCTGGTCGGTCCCACTCTCCCAATCCTGAACCATTCATTCTAGCTGGGGGTCCAGACACTGTACTTCTGAATCAAACCATCTCTGCAGAACTCCATTTGAATTCCTCACCTACAAAACTGTGAAATATAAAAGTAACAATTGTTGTTATAAAGTACTAAGTTTCAGGGTAGTTTGTTATACAGTAGCTAACTGGAGCCCCTGCAAGGTGAGTGATCTCCCAGGCCACTAATGACATGCTGAGCCCCCTTTCATGGTTTCTATAATATGGGATTTCAGGAACGTTTCTTTCAATTAGGATTTCATTCTCCTGGTGTTTTAGTCCATTTAGTGTTGCTATAACAGAATCCTTGAGACTGGGTAGTTTATAAAGTAAAGAGGTTTATTTAGCTCACGATTCTGGTGGCTAGAAAGTTCAAGACTGGGCATCTGTACAAGGTGAAGTTCTTAGGCTGCTTCAACTCATGGTGGAAGGTGGAAAGAGAGCCAGCATGTGTAAATAGATCACATGACAAGGGAGGAGGCAAGGGAGGGAGGAGGGAGGTGTCAGGCTCTTATTAACAACCAGCTATCATAGGAAGGAATAGAGTGGTGGGAACTTGCTCATGCTGGAAGGAGGTAATTAATCTGTTCATGAGGGATCCACCCCCATGATCTAAATACTTCCCATTAGTCCCCACTTTCTAACACATTGGGGATCAAATTTCAACATGAGGTTTGGAGAGGACAAATATCCAAACCATAGTCCCTGGTTATACCTGTCCCTAAGTCTTCCATCTGATTTCAGTCAGCCGGCTCCCAGCCCAAAGCAGCCTAACTTGGTCTGCTTCATGGCTTGATTGGATCTTGATTTTTGTTTGTTGTTTAATTTGTTTTCTTTTAGTCCAGGCTGAATTTTTCAAATACATCAAATGATGTCTGATTGGATTCTGCATTTCTTTCTTTGCCAGACTTTGAAGCCACAGCACTAAAGTCACGCTAATGAAACAGAGACCTGTGCCTCTGTCAGTGGCCAGGGTCCCCCAAGTCCACACCATAGAAAAACTTCCCTGAAGTGTGTAGCACTTCTCAGTACCTTTCTGTTGCTACCATGAGACCAGGTAGCTAGAAGGCTTACAATCTAAGAGATTTTAACTTATTAAGGCTTGAGACCTGAAAATATAATCATTGGCTTCAGTATATTCCAAGAAAGCTGCAAAATCGAGCTTGAAAAATATTTGACTAAATGTCCACAAATATATGTTAGTGTTACTAAATGCTGAATTTAATACTTATAAAAAGCTTATTACATTCAAGCACAACTTCAGGCTAGCCTTTTTTCACTTTACAAAAATTCCTGAGGAGGCCTAATGAGTACCAAAATATCAGAGTCGAGTGTAAATTACAATGTAATTTACAAAAGTAAAAGTAAAAATGTAAATACATTTTAAATTTTCAATTAAAAAGTATATATAATGTGGGCTAGGTGTGGTGAATCATACCTGTAATCTCAGCACTTTGAGAGGCTGAGGCAGGTGGATCACTTGAGGTCGGGACTAGCCTGGCCAACATGGCAAAACCCCGTCTGTACTAAAAATACAAAAATTAGCCAGATGCGGTGGCTCATGCTTGTAGTCCAGGGTACTCAGGAGGCTGAGGCAGGACGATTGCTTGAACCTAGGAGGCAGAGGTTGTAGCGTGCTGAGATTGCACCACTGCTCTCCAGTCTGGGCGACAGAGTAAGACTCTGTCTCCAAAAAAAAAAAAAAAAAAAAAGTATATATACTGTGGATTAAGCATACCTTTATGATATTTTTATGATGTGGGGTGGGTTTGGATTTCTACAAATGGGAGTACTATGGCTCTCCTATGTCCCATAATGGTCTTGGGGAACTGACTAGTTTGCTTTAAACACAGCCCAGATCCATTTTGTATATACAATCACTCCTCCAGCCCACTCAGTTTTCCATGGCTGCATGTTGTTCTTTGACTACGTCTCTTACAGAAGTAGATCTTGATGATTTGGTCCTAAGGCGATCAGTATATTGCCAATTTTAGAAATGTCCCCAACAGTTCTGTTCCAAGATGGCCAAATAGGAACAGCTCCAGTCTGCAGCTCCCAGCGTGATCAACACAGAAGACGGGTGATTTCTGCATTTCTAACTGAGCTATGTGGTTCTTCTCATTGGGACTGGTTGGACAGTGGGTGCAGCCCACAGAGGGCGAGCTGAAGCAGGGTGGGGCATGCCTCACCTGGGAAGCCTAAGGAGTCCAGGGATTTCCCTGTCCTAGCCAAGGGAAGCTGTGACAGACCGTACTGGGAAAATCGCGACACTGCCACCAAAACACTGCGCTTTTCCAATGGTCTTAGCAAATGGCACAGCAGGAGATTATATCCTATGCCTGGTTTAGTGGGTCCCACACCCATGGAGCCTTGCTCACTGCTAGCGCAGCAGTCTGAGATTGAACTGCTAGGCGGCAGCCTGGCTGGGGGAGGGGCTCCGCCATTGCTGAGGCTTGAGTAGGTAAACAAAGCGGCTGGGAAACTCGAACTGGGTGGAGTCCACCGCAGCTCACTGAGGCCTGCCTGCATCTGTAGACTTCAACTCTGGGGGCAGGGCATAGCTGAACTAAAGGCAGCAGAAACTTCTGCAGACTTAAACATCCCTGACTGACAGCTCTGAAGAGAGCAGTGGTTCTCCCAGCATGGTGTTTGAGCTCTGAGGACGGACAGACTGTCTCCTCAAGTAGATCCCTGACCCCCATGTAGCCTAACTGGGAGACACCTCCCATTAGGGGCCAACTGACATCTCATACACCTGGGTGCCCCTCTTAGTTGAAGCTTCCAGAGGAAGGATCAGGCAGCAATATTTGCTGTTCTGCAATATTTGCTGCTCTGCAGCCTCTGCTGGTGGTATGCAGGAAAACAGTGTCTGGAGTGGACCTCCAGCAAACTCCAACACACCTGCAGCTGAGGGACCTGACTGTTTGAAGGAAAACTAACAAACAGAAAGGAACACCATCATCAACAAAAAGTACATCCACACCAAAACCCCATCTCTAGGTCACCATGATCAAAGACCAAAGGTAGATAAAACCACAAAGATGGTGAGAAACCAGAGCAGAAAAGCTGAAAATTCTAAAAACCAGAGCACCTCTTCTCCTCCAAAGGATTGCAGCTCCTCACCAGCAACGGAACAAAGCTGGACAGAGAATGACTTTGACAAGTTGGCAGAAGTAGGCTTCAGAAGGTCGGTAATAACAAACTTCTCTGAGCTAAAGGAGGATGTTCGAACCCATTACAAGGAAGCTAAAAACCTTGAAAAAAGATGAGACGGATCACTAGAGTAAATGGTGTAGAGAAGACCTTAAAGGACCTGATGGAGCTGAAAACCATGGCATGAGAACGACGTGACGCATGCACAAGCTTCAGTAGCTGATTCGGTCAAGTGGAAGAAAGGGTATCAGTGATTGAAGATCAAATGAATGATATGAAGCGAGAAGAGAAGTTTAGAGAAAAAAGAGTAAAAAGAAACAAAGCCTTCAAGAAATATGGGACTATGTGAAAAGACCAAATCTACATTTGATTGGTGTACCTGAAAGTGACAGAGAGAATGAAACCAAGCTGAAAAACACGCTTCAGGATATTATCCAGGAGAACTTCCCCAACCTAGCAAGGCAGGCCAACATTCAAATTCGGGAAATACAGGGACATCACAAAGATACTCCTCGAGAAGAGCAACCTCAAGACACATAGTTGTCAGATTCACCACGGTTGAAATGAAGGAAAAAATGTTAAGGGCAGCCAGAGAGAAAGGTTGGGTTACCCACAAAGGAAAGCCCATGAAACTAACAGCTGATCTCTCAGCAGAAACTCTACAAGCCAGTAGACAGTGGGGGGCCATACTCAACATTCTTAAAGAAAAGAATTTTCAACCCACAGTTTCATATCCAGCCAAACTAAACTTCATAAGTAAAGGAGAAATAAAATCCTTTACAGACAAGCAAATGCTGAGAGTTTTTATCTCCACCAGGCCTGCCTTACAAGAGCTCCTAAAGGAAGCACTAAACATGGAAAGGAACAACCAGTACCAGCCACTGCAAAAACATGCCAAATTGTAAAGACCATCAATGCTAGGAAGAAACTGCATCAACTAATGGGCAAAATAACCAGCTAACATCATAATGACAGGATCAAATTCACACATAACAATATTAACCTTAAATGTAAATGGGCTAAATGCTCCAATTAAAAGACACAGACTGGCAAATTGGATAAAGAGTCAAGACCTATCAGTGTGCTGTATTCAGGAGACCCATCTCATGTGCAGAGACACACATAGGCTCAAAATAAAGGGATGGAGGAAGATCTACCAAGCAAATGGAAAGCAAAAAAAAGCAGGGTTGTGATCCTAGTGTCTGATAAAACAGACTTTAAACCAACAAAGATCAAAAGAGACAAAGAAGGCCATTACATAATGGTAAAGGGATCAATGCAACAAGAAGAGCTAACTGTCCTAAATATATATGCACCCAATACAGGAGCACCCAGATTCATAAAGCAAGTCCTTAGAGACCTATAAAGAGACTTAGACTCCCACACAATAATAATGGGAGACTTTAACACCCCGCTGTCAATATTAGACAGATCAACGAGACAGAAGGTTAACCAGGATATCTAGGACTTGAACTCAGCTCTGGACCAAGCAGAACTAATAGACATTTATAAAACTGTCCACCTCAAATCAACAGAATATACATTCTTCTCAGCACCACATTGCACTGATTCCAAAATTGACCACATAGTTAGAAGAAAAGCACTCCTCAGCAAATGTAAAAGAACAGAAATCACAACAAACTGTCTCTCAGGCCACAGTGCAATCAAATTAGAACTCAGAAATAAGAAATTCACTCAAAACCACACAACTACATGGAAACTGAACAACCTGCTCCTGAATGACTACTGGGTAAATAACTCAATGAAGGCAGAGATAAAGATGTTCTTTGAAAGCAGTGAGAACAAAGACACAACATACCAGAATCTTTGGTACACATTTAAAACAGTGTGTAGACGGAAATTTATAGCACTAAATGCCCAGAAGAGAAAGCAGGAAAGATCTAAAATTGACACCCTAACATGACAATTAAAAGAACTACAGAAGCAAGAGCAAAAAATTCAAAAGCTAGCAGAAGGCAAGAAATAACTAAGATCAGAGCAGAACTGAAGGAGTTAGAGATGCAAAAAACCCTTCAAAAATCAATGAATCCAGGAGCTGGTTTTTGAAAAGATCAACGAAATTGATAGACCACTAGCAACACTAATAAAGAAGAGAGAAGAATCAGGTAGACGCAATAAAAAATGATAAAGGGGATATTACCACTGATCCCACAGAAATACAAACTACCATCAGACAATACTATAAATACCTCTACGGAAATTAACTAGAAAATCTAGAAGAAATGGATAAATTCCTGGACACATACACACTCCCAAGACTAAACCAGGAAGAAGTTGAATAGACCAATAACAGGCTCTGAGATTGAGGCAATAATTAACAGCCTACCAAACAAAAGAAGTCCAGGACCAGACGGATTCACAGCTGAATTCTACCAGAGGCACAAAGAGGATCTGGTACCATTCCTTCTGAAATTATTCCAATCAATAGAAAAAGAATCCTCCTTAATTCATTTTATGAGGCCAGCATCATCCTGAAACCAAAGCCTGGTAGAGACACAACAACAAAAAAGAGAAGTTTAGACCAATATCCCTGATGAACATCGCTGCGAAAATCCTCAATAAAATACTGGCAAACCGAATCCAGCAGCACATCAAAAAGCTTATCCACCAAGATCAAGTTAGCTTCATCCCTGGGATGCAAGGCTGGTTCAACATATGCAAATCAATAAATGTAATCCATCACATAAACAGAACCAATGACAAAAACCACATGATTATCTCAATAGATGCAGAAAAGGACTTTGACAAAATTCAACAATGCTTCATGCTAAAAACTCTCAATAAACTAGGTATTGATGGAAGGTATCTCAAAATAATAAGAACTATCTATGACAAACTCACAGCCAATATCATACTGAATAGGCAAAAACTGGAAGCATTCCCTTTGAAACCTGGCACAAGACAGGGATGCCCTCTCTCACCACTCCTATTCAACATAGTGTTGGAAGTTCTGGCCAGGGCAATCAGGCAGGAGAAGGAAATAAAGGGTATTCAATTAGGAAAAGAGGAAGTCAAATTGTCCCTGTTTGCAGATGACATGATTGTATACTTAGAAAACCCCATCATCTCAGCCCGAAATCTCCTTAAGCTGATAAGCAACTTCAGCAAAGTCTCAGGATACAAAATCAATGTGCAAGAATCACAAGCAGTCTTATACACCAATAACAGAGAAACAGAGAGCCAAATCATGAGTGAACTCCCATTCACAACTGCTACAAAGAGAATAAAATACCTAGGAATACAACTTACAAGGGATGTAAAGGACCTCTTCAAGCAGAACTACAAACCACTGCTCAACAAAGTAAAAGAGGACACAAACAAATGGAAGAACATTCCATGCTCATGGGTAGCAAGAATCAATATCGTGAAAATGGCCATACTGCCCAAGGTAATTTATAGATTCAATGCCATCCCCATCAAGCTACCAATGACTTTCTTCACAGAATTGGAGAAAACTACTTTGAAGTTCATATGGAACCAAAAAAGAGCCCTAATTGAGAAGACAATCCCAAGCGAAAAGGACAAAGCTGGAGGCATCATGCTACCTGACTTCAAACTATACTACAAGGCTACAGTAACCAAAACAGCATGGTACTGGTACCAAAACAGAGATATACACCAATGGAACAGAATAGAGGCCTCAGACATAACACCATACATCTACAACCATCTGATCTTTGACAAACCTGACAAAAACAAGAAATGGGGAAAGGATTCCCTGTTGAATAAATGGTGCTGGGAATACTGGCTAGCCATATGTACAAAGCTGAAACTGCATCCCTTTCTTACACCTTATACAAAAATTAATTTAAGATGGATTAAAGACTTAAATGTTAGATCTAACAGCATAACAACCCTAGAAGAAAACCTAAGACATTCAGGACATAGGCATGGTCAAGGACTTCATGACTAAAACACCAAAAGCAATGGCAACAGAAGCCAAAATTGACAAATGGTATCTAATTAAACTAAAGAGCTTCTGCACAGCAAAAGAAACTACCATCAGAATGAACAGGCAACCTACAGAATGGGAGAAAATTTTTGCATTCTATCCATCTGACAAAGGGCTAATATCCAGAATCTACAAAGAAGATAAACAAATTTACAAGAAAGAAACAACCTGATCAAAAAGCGGCCAAAGGATATGAACACATGCTTTTCAAAAGAAGACATTTATGCAGCCAACAGACACAAGAAAACATGCTTATCATCACCGGCCATCACAGAAATGCAAATGAAAACCACAATGAGATACCATCTCATGCCAGTTATAATGGTGATCATTAAAAAGTTAGGAAACAACAGGTGCTGGGGAGGATGTGGAGAAATAGGAACACTTTTACACTGTTTTTGGGAGTGTAAACTAGTTCAACCATTGTGGAAGACAGTGTGGCGATTCCTCAAAGATCTAGAACTAGAAATACCATTTGACCCAGTGATCCCTTTACTGAGTATATACCCAAAGCATTATAAATCATGCTACTATAAAGACATATGCACACGTATGTTTTTTGCGGCACTATTCACAATAGCAAAGACTTGGAACCAACCCAAATGTCCATCAATGATAGACTGGATTAAGAAAATGTGGCACATATACACCATGGAATACTATGCACCCATAAAAAAGGATGAGTTCATGTCCTTTGTAGGGACATGGATGAAGCTGGAAACCATCATTCTGAGCAAACTATTGCAAGAACAGAAAACCAAACACCACAGGTTCTCACTCATAGGTGGGAATTGAATGATGAGAAAAGTTGGACACAGGGCATGGAACATCACACACTGGGGCCTGTTGTGGGGTGGGGGAATGGGAGAGGGATAGCATTAGCAGAAATACCTAATGTAAATGACGAGTTAATGGGTGCAGGAAACCAACATGGCACACATGCATACATATTTAACAAACCTGCACATTGTGCACATGTACCCTAGACCTTAAATATAATATAAATAAATAGACAAAAAGAAATGTCACTAACAAATGGAATAATTTGCCCATAGGTCTACAGCTAACAGGTAGAAGAAGGGCCAAGAATGGTACCCATGTCTCCTGACTCTGACATTCCTTTTCCTCCTTGTTTTTCCCTTAAAAGCCTCTTGTAGTATTCATTTTACTCACATGTCAAAAACTATTGCTGGTGGCAGGAAAGGTACACAATGTGATTGTCCTATTCTGCTGAGACATGGCCACTGGATGGCCAAGGACTCACCCTTACAACTGTGCTGTGAAAAAAATGGAATCAATAAGAAAGACTACACAGATGGGAGAAAAACAGAGTCTGAGTGAAGAAACACAAATGACAACAAAAGCCAAAACTACCTCATAATATTGTCTAGGGCCAGCCCTCCTCCTCATTTCCATCCTAGATGGGGCTTAGATCAAAGGTCAGAGTGCAGGCACTAGGGGTGGTTTTCTATGATTGGATCTTGGAGGTGGGAGACAAGGATAGGATATGTTAGAGAGGCTTCATCGTCTTTGGGAAACTTGCATTCTCTCTCCCTTCAAACCAAACCCCGTTCCCAGAAAAAGATCTGCTCTTGGTCATTTACACAATGCAAGTCAGCAAATGACCTTCCTTGGGGGTGTATGCATTTCAGCTGCCTGATTTTAGTTGTGAGGAAATAGGACTGAATTCTGGCTCAGTTACTGATCATGCAGGGCCTCATGTCCTGTCTTTCTGCTTATTCACCCTCCTCTGCTTTCATGGTAAGATTTGGCCTCAATTTTCCTTCCCACCAATTTTATTGCAAAATCATGTATATTTTAAAGTACCTCAAAAGCTTTTCATTACTAGGCAGAGTGTAATTTACTAAGTTGAGAAATAACTGGGTTCTCAGGAACCGAGAAATGTTTATTTTTCCTGGGGCGTTGGCACCTCCTAAATCACGCCATGTAGTTATTTAGTCCTGGCCTATACTATCCTCAGCATCCCCCAAAGTAGCTACAGAAGCCCCCCATTCACCCATGGGAAATCTTTTCTGGAGCTCAAAGCAAAGGGTAAACCATGCAGGTGGCCCCTGCGGGAGGAAACTTAAAGAAAATCAAGCCAAGAGGCAGGGAAAATAAGAAACAAGTCCTTTAAAACATTTAAAGCTAAACAAAAGTTTTCTCCTTTTTAATATTTTCACAAGGAAACTTGAGTAGCAAGAAGTGGGTGTACCTTGCCCTCGTGTTAGTTCTCTGCCGAGTCTTCCTTCAATGCATCTTTTTTTTTTTTTTTTTAAGAGAAAGTCTCACTCTTGTCCCCCAGGCTGGAGTGCAATGGCGTGATCTTGGCTCACAGCAACCTCTGCTTCCCAGGTTCAAGCAGTTCTCCCTCAGCCTCCCGAGTAGCTGGGATTATAGGCATCTGCCACAATGCCTAGCTAATTTTTGTATTTTTAGTAAAGACGCAGTTTCACCATGTTGGCCAGGCTGGTCTCAAACTCTTGACCTCAGGTAATCTGCCTGCCTTGTCCTCCCAAACTGCTGGGATTACAGGCGTGAGCCACCGCGCCTGGCCAGTCCTTCTCTCCTCTTGACCGTGTCCTCATAGTTTGTCCCATTCATCCAGCGTGGCCCTGGATCCGTCTCTCAGACATTTCTGCAGGAGGTTTTCTCTCTAGTTGGCTGGAGGAGTATCTAAGGGGCTGCCTAGGCTACGCCTTCAGTGTGCCTTCCGCCTGGAGGCCCTTATTGCTGGACTGGAAGTGCTGAATCCTACCCAGTCCTGGGGGCAGGCCTGCTGATTCCCGTAGCCACACAGTCACCTGCACTTCTCCCCGTCCTTCGCTGCCCTGCTGTAACCCCAGCAGCTCTTGTGTCAGGCAGAAATAAGAACTGTCTGGGAAGCAGTCATTGGTTGTGTGTCTGGTCAAGATGACACACAGGTAGGGTAAAGAGGAGACCATTTAGCAACCCTCCCAGAAGCAGACCATGCTCCAGTGACGTAGTTTGTGAGCTTCCACCAAGAGCCTGGAGCGCTTTAATGATGTTATTTTTTGTAGCTCCTGTCCCTTCTGCTCGAATTGCTTTTTTCTTCAGGCTCAGCAGAGGTGAAACACAACTGGTCGTCGTTACATTCCCCTCCAGTATCTCCATGCAATTGAAAACAACTGCATGAGATACCCCTTTTCCAGATGAAACCATGCCAAAACCCTAAATATTTCCTCCGTGTTCCCTTTTCCCATTCAAATCATCAATGCTAACATCTCATTTGGGGGCTTGACTTAAAATCAGTGTATTTCGTAATGGACAAATATTTACATTAGATAAATTTTAAATTATTTTATTTTAAACAGATAATTTATGCATATGTACAAAATTTCAAAGGTACATGAGGGGATACAGTGAAAACAGGGTCTTCTTCCTACATCTGTCCCTCAGCAACCCAGTTCTCAGAGCCAGAAGCAATTGAGACTTGAAAATATAATCACTGTTACTAAATTCTTAGGGTTCTAGTAGAAATGGTTAATGCATTAAAAAATATGGTTTCATGTGGTCAACTTTTTTAGATTCCACATATGAGTGAGATAATGCAATATTTATTTTTATGTGCCTGGCTTACTTCACTTAACATAATGTCTTCCAGGTTTACTCATGTTGTTGTAAATGACAGGATTTCCTTCTTTTTATGACTGAATAGTATTCCATTGTGTATATATGCCACATTTTCTTTATCCATTCATCCACTGATGGACACTTAGATTGATCCCATATCTTGGCTATTATGAATGGTGTTGCAACAGACATGGGGGTGCAGGTTTCTCTTCGATATACTGAGTTCATTTCCTTTGAATATATACCAGCAGTGGGATTGCTGGATCATATGGTAGTTCTATGATAATTTTTTTAGGAACCTCCATATGTTTTCCATAGTGGCTATAGGAATTTACATTTCCACCAACAGTGTGCAAGGGTTCCCTTTTCTCTACATCCTTACCAGCACTTGTGATCTTTTGTCTTCTGGGTAGTGGCCACTCTAACAAGTGTGTGGTGATGTCTCATTGTGGTTTTTATTTGCATTTCTCTGATGATTAGTGATGTTGAGCACCTTTTCATATGCCTGTTGGGTCATAGAAGTAGAGAGAGTAGAATGGTGGTTATGAGGGTGACATGGCTTGGCTCTGTGTCCCCACCCAAATCTCATCTCAAATTGTAATCCCCATAAGTAGAGGGAGGGAAGTGACTGGATTATGGGGGCGGTTCCCCCCCATGCTGTTCTCATGATAGTGAGTGAATTCTTATGAGATCTGATGGTTGCATAAATGGTAGTTTTTCCTATGCTCTCTCTCTCTCTCCCCCCCCCCACTCTCACATGGTGCCACGCGAGACATGCCTGCTTCACCTTCTGCTATGATTGTAAGTTTCCTGAAACCTCCCTAGCCATGCAGAACCATGAGTCAATTAAACCTCTTAACTTTGTAAATTATCCAGTCTCAGGAAGTTCTGTGTAGCAGTGTGAGACAGACTAATACAGAGGGGCTAACGTAGTTGCAGGGGGTCGGGGGAAGGTTTCTGGGAAGATGTTAGCTGAAGGACCCAAAATTTCAGTTGGGAAGGATAAGTTAAAGAGATTTATTGCACAACATGATGACTATAACTAATAATATAAAGTATTATTGAAAAATGCCAAGAGAGTAGATGTAAAGTGTTCTCCCCACAAAAAATGATGGCTACAAGTGGTAATGCCTATGCTAATTATAATAGCTAGTCATTCCGCAATGTATGTATACTTCAAAATGCCATGTTGTACCTGCTAAATACATACAATTCTGTCAACATAAAACAAAATATAAAAATAAAAATAAGTGAAATAGCAAGCACAAAATTTTAAGAAACAAAACCACATGGTTCTATATATTACATACTTAAAGTAGTAACAAACATACACTGTTCTGTAAGTATTTCACAGTATATTTTTAGATCTTCCCATAGTACACGTAAAGCTATTTCATTTAAATGAGAGCATATTGGCATATAGTGATGTACCACAATTGATTTAACTCTTTACTATATTAAATGTTTCCAATATTTTGTCATTACAGAGTGCTAGAATTAATATCTGTGTACTTTCATCACTTTGTACATGTAAGAATCTATACATAGGATAGATCCTTAAAAGTATTGCTGGGGCCTGGGCGCGGTGGCTCATGCCTGTAATCTCAGCACTTTGGGAGACCAAGGTGGGCAGATCACAAGGTCAAGAGATCGAGACCATCCTGGCCAACATGGTGAAATCCTGTCTCTTCTAAAAATACAAAAGTTAGCTGGGCATGGTGGTGCATGCCTGTAGTCCCAGTTACTTGGGAGGCTGAGGCAGGAGAATCACTTGAACCCGGAAGGCAGAGGTTGCAGTGAGCTGAGATCTTGCCACTGCACTCCAGCCTGGCCACAGAGTGAGACTCTGTCTCAAAAAAAAAAAAAAAAAAAAAAGGATTGCTGGGGCAAAGTGCATATCAAATTTTAATTCCGAAAGACACATTTTGTTACCCAGTTTCCCTCCAGGGAAGTAGTACCAACATATCCTTCTACCTCCAGTGGGATAGAGTCAGTTGCCTCATTCATCAACACTGCTTTTATTCAACTTCATTTATTTCTTTTTGAAAAATGTCACCTCACTGTAGTTTTAGTTGGCATTTCTTTTATTATGACTGCATCTGAGGTTGAACTTACTTTCATAAATTTCAAAACACTTCATATTTTTAAATTGTGAATACCTAATCATATCTTTGTCCATTTTTCTGATAATTTGCTAGACTTTCTGTTGATTTGTGGGGGCTCTTTTAAACTAAGGACATTAGCTCTTTGCTGTGTCATTATTTTTTCTGCCACACAAAAATGTTTTAAACTGATGTGGCTGCACAATTTAATTTTTTTAATAGCTTCTGGATTCTGTATTATAGGCAGAAATGCCTTAGCAACTCCAATAATATATTTTTAAACTCTCCCATATTTTCTCTTGGTGTGTTTACAGTTTCATTTTTTTATGTTTAAATTTTTTAACAGTGTGGAATTTATTTTAGTGTAAGATGCGAAATAGTGACCAATTTATTTTTTCAGATGGCTACTCAGTTGTCCCAACACCATTTATTAAATAATCTGATTCTTTTAAAATAATTTGAAATGCAAACTTATCACATATACATATTTTATATGTATATATGTATATTACCTGTATGTAAATATGTATATACACACACAGTAAAATTATATATGTGTACTGAGTCCATTTTTGTTTCATGAGTCTGTCTTGTCATACCCCAGACAACATTATTTTAATCAGCATAGCTTTACAATGTGTCTTAATACTTGGCAAAGCCAGTCCTTATGTACCATTCTTATCCTCTTTCAGAATCTTTCTTCTTATTCTTGTTTATTTTTCATGTGATTTTACAAAAGGGTTAACTTTTTTCTTGTTAAAATGTTTTTTATTGGTTTGTTGGTTTCGTGTAAAATGCACTGATTGACTTAGTAATAAAATACATTTTTATGTTCTTAAATCAATCCTAATCAAAATCATAGGACGTCATTCCATTTGATCTTCTGTGTCCAAAATAGTAATTTTAAAGTTTATTATTATATCTTCGTAAACTAATTCCTAGGTATTAGGTCATTTTTGTTGATGTTGTAAATAGAATGTTTTTAAAAAAAATTTTATATTCCAACTTGTTTGTACATATGAAGTCTATAGACTTCTTGAATATGAATTTTACCCCAGCCACCATTTTATGTTAGATATAATATAGTTTCAGTTGATTATATAAGGATTTCAAGATAAATAATCTTACAATCTTCATGTAATCATACTTTTTCCTTTCTAAGGTTTATGTGGCCTTTAAAAAATGTTTTCTAATTGTATTGTCTGGTACTAGCAGAATAATTTAGCATAATAGCAATGATAAAAGACTTCCTCTTTTTCCCTGGCTTTAGTGGAAATGCTTCTAGGATTTTCCCACTAATCCAATACTGATGCTGGCTCTGAGATTGAGAGAGATGTGTTATTTTGTGTTTTAAAAAAGAATCCACCATCAGAGAATACTATAAACACCTTTATGAAAATAAACTAGAAAATCTAGAAGAAATGGGTAAATTCCTGGATACATACACGCTCCTAAGACTAAACCAAGAAGAAGTTGAATCTCTCAATAGACCAATAACAGGCTCTGAAATTGAGGCGATAATTAATAGCCTACCAACCAAAAAAGTCCAGGACCAGATGGATTCATAGCCGAATTCTAACAGAGGTACAAAGATGATCTGGTACCATTCCTTTTGAAACTATTCCAATCAATAGAAAAAGAGCAAATCCTCCCTAACTCATTTTATGAGGCCAGCATCATCCTAATACCAAAGGCTGGTACAGACACAACAACAACAAAAGAATTTTAGACCAATATCCCTGATGAACATTGATGTGAAAATCCTCAATAAAATACTGGCAAACTGACTCCAGGAGCACATCAAAAAGCTTATTCACCATGATCAAGTCAGCTTCATACCTAGGATGCAAGGTTGGTTCAACATATGCAAATCAATAAACATAATCCACCACATAAACAGAACCAATGACAAAAAAATCACATGATTATCTCAATAGATGCAGAAAAGGCCTTTGACAAAATTCAACAGGACTTCATGCTAAAAACTCTCAATAAACTAGGTATTGATGGAGGGTATCTCAAAATAATAAGAGCTATTTATGACAAACCCACAGCCAATATCATACTGAATAGGCAAAAACTGGAAGCTTTCCCTTTGAAAACCAGCACCAGACAAGGATGCCCACTTTCACCACTCCTATTCAACATAGCATTGGAAATTCTGACAAGGGCAATCAGGCAAGAGAAAGAAATAAACGGTATTCAATTAGGAAAAGAGGAAGTCAAATTGTCCCTGTTTGCAGATGACATGATTGTATATTTAGAAAACCCCATCGTCTTAGCCCAAAAATCTCCTTAAGCTGATAAGCAACTTCAGCAAAGTCTCAGGATACAAAATCAATGTGCAAAAATCACAAGCATTCCTATACACCAATAACAGACAAACAGAGAGTCAAATCATGAGTGAACTCCCATTCAAGATTACTACAAAGAGAATAAAATACGTAGAAATCCAACTTACAAGGGATGTGAAGGACCTTCAAGCAGAACTGCAAACCACTGTTCAATGAAATAAAAGAGGACACAAACAAATGGAAGAACATTCCATGCTCATGGGTAGGAGGAATCAATATCATGAAAATGGCCTTACTGCCCAAGGTAATTTATAGATTCAATGCCATCTCCATCAAGCTAGCAATGACTTTCTTCACAAAATTGGAGAAAACTACTTTGAAGTTCATATGGAACCAAAAAAGAGCCCGCATAGCCAAGACAGTTCTTAGCAAAAAGAACAAAGCTGGAGGCATCACACTACCTGACTTCAAACTACACTACAAGGCTGCAGTAACCAAAACAGCATGGTACTAGTATCAAAACAGAGATATAGACAAGTGGAACAGAACAGAGGCCTCAGAAATAACACCACACATCTACAACTATCTGATCTTTGACAAACATGACAAAAACAAGAAATGGGGAAAGGATTCCCTATTTAATAAATGGTGCTGGGAAAACTGGCTAGCCATATGTAGAAAGCTGAAACTGGATCCCTTCCTTACACTTTATACAAAAATTAACTCAAGATGGATTAAAGTCTTAAATGTAAGACCTAACACCATAAAAACCCTAGAAGAAAACCTAGGCGATGCAATTCAGGACATAGGCATGGGCAAAGTCTTCATGACTAAAACACCAAAAGCAATGGCTACAAAAGCAAAAATAGACAAATGGGATCTAATTAAACTAAAGAGCCTCTGCACAGCAGAAGAAACTACCATCAGAGTGAACAGGCAGCCTAAGAATGGGAGAAAATTTTTGCAATCTACCCATCTGACAAAGGGCTAATATCCAGAATCTACAAAGAACTTAAACAAATTTACAAGAAAGAAACAACCCCATCAAAAAGTGGCCAAAGGATATGAATAGACACTTCTCAAAAGAAGACATTTATGCAGCCAACAGACATATGAAAAAATGCTCATCATCACTGGTCATCAGAGAAATGCAGATCAAAACCACAATGAGATACCATCTCATGCCAGTTAGAATGGCGATCATTAAAAGGGAAAAAACAGATGCTGCAGAGGATGTAGAGAAGTAGGAATGCTTTTTTACTGTTGGTAGGAGTGTAAATTAGTTCAACCATGTGGAAGACAGTGTGGTGATTCCTCAAGGATCTAGAACTAGAAATACCATTTGACCCAGCCATCCCATTACTGGGTATATACCCAAAGGATTATAAATCATTCTACCATGAAGACAAATGCAGACATTTGTTTATTGCAGCATTATTCACAATAGCAAAGACGTGGAACCAACCCAAATGTCCATCAATGATAGACTGATTAAGAAAATGTGGCAAATATACACCATGGAATACTTTGCAGCCATAAAAAGGATGAGTTTATGTCCTTTGCAGGGACATGGATGAAGCTGGAAACCAGCATTGTAAGCAAACTATCACAAGGACAGAAAGCCAAACACCATGTGTTCTCACTCATAGGTGGGAGTTGAACAATGAGAACACATGGAAACAAGGCGGGGAACATCATACACTGGGGCCTGTGAGGGAGTGGGGGACTGGGGGAGGGATAGCATTAGGAGAAATACCTAATGTAAATGACGAGTTGATGGGTGCAGCAAACCAACATAGTACATGTATACCTATGTAACAAACCTGCACTTTGTGCACATGTACCCTTGAACTTAAAGTATAATAATAAAAAAAGAATGCATTCTTTTTAAAACAATGTTCTATTTGATTAAGAGGTATTTTAAAATAAAAGCGTGAACACTAAATTTTAGCTGATTTTTAAACATTTATGGAGCCAATCATACGGTTTTTCCACTTTTGACCTATTTACTGTGAATTTCATTAAGATTTCCTGATAAACCTAAGTAATCAACTGGTTGTGGTGTTTTGGGGGAGGTCCCTCTAAGAAAATTATTTCTGCTATGGAAATTATGTTAGGTTTAAATTTTCTATCTCTGGTAGGGTTTTTATGATTTATATTTTTCTAGAAAATCATTAATTTCATCCAGTCTTCAAATTTATTTATGTAGAGTTCAGTAAAGTAATTTCTGTTGATTACTTATCATTATTTTAATTTCTTATAATCTGTGGTAATTTCCCTAATATTATTAGGGAATTTATTTTATAAATTTGTGTAGTTTTTTGTATGATAAAGTTAACCAATCATATACTCATTTGATATTTTTGTACATTTCTCCTTTTTTATTTATTAGTCCTTTTTAGTGTTTTGGGATTGATTTTCTGCTTTCATTGCTCTGTGGTTTTTATGTTTTTGTGTCGTTTAGATTTATTTGTTATTTTTCTAATCTCTTGAGTAGATATTTCATTTATTTTGTTCATTAAGATAAATGTTTGGAACTATGAGTTTTCTTCTGCAATTTGCAGAACAATTTATTGTAGCTGAATTCCATAAGTATGATATGTAATGCTTTTATTATTGTTAGGATTCTGTCATTTGGGTTTTATTTTTCTCCTAAACCCAAACCCAGTTTTATGAGGAAGTTTTTGTTTTTTACCTCATTATTGTGGGTTTTGTCTGTTTCTTTTCTAGTTTCGTTATTCATTGCTTCTTTTATTGTACTGTGATCGGAAAATATCCTCTGTGCCATATCTACATTCTGGAATTTATTGAAGTTTTATTAGCAGCCTCATATTTATGGTCAATTATTTTTATAATGTCCCATATGTATTTGAAAAGAAGATACTTTATTTCAAGGAGAGAGTTATAGAGACAACAATAAAAGCTGCCTCATCCCATTGTTCTTTGGATTTTCTGTTTTATTACCTAATTTTTGACCAGTTGAACAATCATAGACTGAGAAAATTGAGTTAAAGTCTTTGATAAAGTTCATTTTTAAAATTCTCTATAGGTTTGCTGTGCAAATATTGACACTATATTATTTGTATTATTTGATATAGTAACAATGACACTTCTTTTAGATTATGCATTCTATTATTAAAAGGTTATCTTTCTTTGTCTCAGTGTGCTTTTGGCTCTGAAAATAACTTGTTCTGGTATTAAGCTTAGCACTCCTGCTGCTTGTCTTCATTTGCTTGCTATGCTTTGCAGACCTTTTTATTCTCAATATTATTGCATTCCTCTGTTTGAAATATTTTTCAGGAACATCTGCATAAATTTGGATTGTACCCTGTGATTATAGCTGAGAGTCATTTGCTTTTAATAGACGAGCTTGTATCAAGATTTGCCTTTACTTAAATTGTAACATATAAGATGGACTTCTAGTTAATTAAAAAAATGCTTCTATGAAAATATTCAAAATTTACAATGTAGAAGTCATGACAGGTCAGCTTTGAAGTATTCACCCAAGACTGGGTGCGGTGGCTTATGCCTGTAATCCCAGCACTTTGGGAGGTTGAGGCAGGAGGATCAGTTGAAGCCAGGATTTGAGACCAGCCTGGGCAAGGTAGTGAGACTTCATCTCTCTGTAATTTATCTCTAGATAAATATAAAAAATCACCTGGGTGTGGTGGTGCATGCCAGTAGCTCCAGCTATTCAGGAGGCTGAGGCAGGAAATTGTTTGAGCCCAGGAGTTCAAGGCTGTTCAGTGAGCTGTGATTGTGCCACCGCACTACAGCCTGGGTGGGAGAGCAAGACTGTCTCAAAAAATACATATATATACGCATATATGGTGAATTTGGCTTAAAAATCAAATGGAACAGAGGACTTATAATGAAAAGTGAGAATTCTCTATGCAAAAGTGGTTACTTTGAATCATTTCTATTTTAGTTTTTTCAATACTTTTATCTGTAGATTTCTAAACAATTTTTTTACTTGCCTTTTTTTTGTTTATTAATTTTAGACATTTTCTATTGGCTTTCTCTTGTGGCAAATGTTGATTTTGCCCATTTACATACACCTGCTCACCCCTTCTCTATACTCCCAATATAGTTATTCTACTTTATTGGTAACTTGTGCTATTAAAGTTACTTACATCTCTTTTATTGTCTATTGCTCTGCCACAAACTACCCTAAAATTGAGTGACTTACAATAGCAGTAATGTCCCACAGTTTCTGTGGGTGAAGAATACAGCAGCAAATTCGCTGTGTGGTCCTGGCTCAGGGTATCTTATGAGACTGTAGTCAAGACGTCAGCTGGGCTGTAGTCATCTGAAGACTTGACCATAATTTGAAAATTTTCTTCTAGGATGGTTCACTCACATGGATAGTGAGTTGGTTTTGACTCTTGGCAGGAGGTCTTAGTTTCTGGTTCTAGGACCTCTCACTGGGGCTACTTGAGCATCCTTCCTACAAGACACTGGCTCCCAGGGCAGACATTCAAAGACAGAGCCAGGCAGAAACCTTGATGTGTTTTAGGACCTAGCTTTGGAAGTCACCCTCCATCATTTCTACAGTATCCTCTTGATTATACAGTTCAGTCCTACTTAATGTGGGAGGGGACTTCATGAGGTCGTGAATAACAGACGTGCAATCATCTTGGAAGCTGCCTACCACAGTCTTCCCTCTGGCCCCCCATGACTCACGTCTTTCCCACATGAAAAATACACTCACCACTTCCTAAGATGCCACACAAATCATCTCTATATAGCATCTTACTTGAAGTTCAGGGTCTTTTGCCATCTTAACTGGGGGTAAGTGTAGGTGTGTTTCTTCGTACACACGTCCTGGAGTACAGTTCCTGCTAAAGGTCCATGAATTAAAGAGACAGGCCATCTGCTCCACACACCCAGCATACAGTGGGAGGCAGATATAGGATAATCACTATAGACAGTCCCATTCAAGAAGAGGGAAAACGTTGTCATGGGCCTATACTGATTTCAATCCAGTTGGAGTTTTCTTGATTGGAAGTTCCTTGACTCAGTCCTGCTCCTTTCCTGAAATGATTCTCTTCTAAGAGCCAAGACAGGCTCTTGGCTCTGCCTTCTGGGCTTCTCTGGGAGATCCTGCCTTTTCCATGGAAGGTTGCCTGTGTCTGCAGCTGAATCATCTCTCTGCTTGCTTCCTGTCTGTAGAAGTTTTGGGGGTCAAGTGCTTCTCTTTGTTTTGTATTGTTGCTGTTCCTTTAATCCAAACCAGTATAATTTTCCTATTAAGGGATTCCCTCCATTTGACACAAGATCCACACACAGGAGTTTCTTTATGATAAGCCCTTCTTCTCATTGATCTTCAGCTGAGACTGTTGAGAGATAGCACCCTTAAGCTTCTTAGCAAGCTCTGTCTTTTAAGACATCATCCTAAATCTTTCCAAGGTGTAAATAGCCACATGCATGGCTTCATGTTTAGACACTGTTCTCCTGACAGTGCCCAGGATCTTATATTCTCCTAGAAGTCATATCTTAATTTCAGCATTGCTTTCCATCCCAAGGGGCTGAAAACTTTCAAAAGCTGGCTTCATCTAGTCCAGGCTTCTTTTTGTATAAAAGTTCTTTCTTCAGCTTGTCTCTTTCCTCTTGTATTTTAATATAAGCAATAAGAAGAAACTAGGTGACTGACACCTTCAACTCTGTCTGGAAATCTCCACTCAGTCACTCAACTTGCTAGATGCATTTTCTGTTTTCCATATGACTGTAGGCATCAGTATTGCTTCTTCCTGTTACAACATGACAAGGATTCCCTTTCTCCAGTTTTCAATAACACTTTCCTTAGTTTTCTGTAAGCTCCCACAAGCAGCCTCCTTAAAGGCCTCCAGGTTCTATTAAAAGCTGCTTCAGGCATTTTCCTTTTCACTAATACCCTTTTCAAAGTCCTTACTGTTTCTTCCTACTGCCCAATTCCCAAGGCATTCTCAAATTTTAGGTGTGGTAAGAGCAGAGCACTAAAATCTGTAGCATTTATCTGTTGTTGATTAAAGAGTTACCCTTGTCATATGCAATTTATCTATATAAATCCTGCACGTGTACCCCTGAGTCTGAAATAAAATAAAATAGAATTGCCCTAAAAGGAAGATGGAGGAACCTATGAATGCTGGAAAGAAAATTAACTGTAAACCTTAAAATGGGTGGCTTTCTATTGTCTTTGGATGCTTTAAGTTTGGAATTTTTACAGCTATACTAAAGTGTATGCAGTATTTCTTTTTCCTTTATTCTACTTGGCAAATAAGCTATTTCAGTTGGAAGTCATCTATTGCGGGAAGTCAGGGACCTCGAACAGAGGGACTGGCTGGAGCTGTGGCAGAGGATCATAAGTTGTGAAGATTTCATTTTAATATGGACATCTATCAGTTCCCAAATAATACTTTTATGATTTCTTATGCCTGTCTTTACTTTAATCTCTTAATTCTGTTATCTTCATAAGCTGAGGATGTACGTCATCTCAGGACCACTGTGATAATTGTGTTAACTGTACCAATTGATTGTAAAATATGTGTGTTTGAACAATATGAAATGAGTGCACCTTGAAAAAGAACAGAGTAACAGCGATTTTTATGGAACAAGGGAAGACAACCATAAGGTCTGACTGCCTGCGGGGTTGGGCAAAAAAAGGCATATTTTTCTTCTTGCAGAGAGCCTATAAATGGACGTGCAAGTAGGAGAGATATCGCTAAATTCTTTTCCTAGCAAGGAATATTAATCTTAATACCCTGGGAAAGGGATGCATTCCTGGGAGGAGGTCTATAAATGGCCATTCTGGGAATGTCTGTCTTATGCGGTTGAGATAAGGACTGAGATATGCTCTGGTCTCCTGCGGTACCCTCAGGCTTACTAGGATGGGGAAAAACTCCACCCTGGTAAATTTGTGGTCGGACCGGTTCTCTGCTCTCAAACCTTGTTTTCTGTTGTTTAAGATGTTTATCAAGACAATAGTGCACCGCTGAACATAGACCCTTTTCAGTAGTTCTGCTTTTGCCCTTTGACTTGTGATCTTTGTTGGACCCTTATCAGTAGTTCTGCTTTTGCGCTTTGTCCTGTTCACTCAGAAGCATGTGGTCTTTGTTAGACCCTTGTTAGTAGTTCTGCTTTTTGCCCTTTGAAGCATGTGATCTTTGTACCTACTCCCAGTTCTTACACCCCCTCCCCTTTTGAAACCCTTAATAAAAACTTGCTGGTTTGAGGATCAGGTGGGCATCACAGTCCTACCAATATGTGATGTCACCGCCAGCGGCTCAGCTGTAAAATTCCTCTCTTTATATTGTCTCTCTTTATTTCTCAGCCGGCCAACACTTAAGGAAAACAGAAAGAACCTATGTTGAAATATTGGAGGCGGGTTCCCCCGATAATCTTCTGTTTTCCTTCAGCTACAAAATTATTTCATGTTATTCCTTTGATAATTTTTCTTCCATGCTTTTCTATGTTTTGTCTTCAGATTATTTGATTTGTCTTTGCGAAGTAACAATAGCCTCTATCAAATTTCTAGTTTCAATATATAAATTCTTTCATTAACATACTTAATCATTGACTAAAATTTTATTAACTAGTGTTACATGTTAGGCACTGAGCTCCATGCTAATGATACAAATATAAGTAGAGTATTATCCCTTCCCTTGAGGGCATACAGTCTAGGGGGGAAGATACACTTTTAAATAAATAAGTACAGTGTTATGTATAGTACTGTAGTTGAAATATGTACAAAATAGAGTTGGGGCACAAAGAAGGGAGTGGATCATTCAATTTGGCAGCAGACAGAAAAGACCATAGAGAAAGGGAAGCTTAGGCACCTCTTGGAAGATAAGCAGGTGCTCACCAGCTAGGAGGTGGGTAATGAATAGGGACATTCTAGGCAAGAGAAGCAGAGTGAGCATCATGCTTCTGGGAAAATAGGAAGAAGTTTGAGATGCATTAAATGTAGGGTGGTGGTGGTATGAAACGTGGAGGGAGAACTAGGCAGGACCCAAATGACGTAGGGCTGCATATACCAGGCTACAGGATTTGGACTTTTTCCTGTAGGTAATGAGATGCTTTTGAAGAGTTTTGATTGGGAGAGTGGCATGGTCATAATTTTGTGTTAGATATACCACACTGGTTATGGTGCGGAAGGCAATTGAGGCAGTAGGGTTCAGGGGACTAGAATACTATCATAGTATTTCATGAGAGGTTTAATAATTATATGACTTGTAGTCACAGAAAAGGGGATGAAGAAATATGAATGATGTGATGGAGGTTGCATTAATGGAACTTAATCAGATGTGGGATGACAGGATGGAATAATAGAATATACAGAGTGACAACCAAGTTCTTAGTGGGGAGAATGGCTGGGCTTTGATGACATTGACTGAAGAACCAAACACAGGAAGGGGAGCAACATAGTTATCTGGAAGATCATGTTTTTTTGGTGTTGTATTTAATTTTATATACCTGTAGGGCATCCAATAGACATCTAGTAGGCAGTTATATGTGCTTTTGTGTACACACAGGTGCGTGCGCATGCACACACACGCACATCCTGGAGCATAAAAGTTCTCTGGACTATACATACAGTTATCAGATGAATTTAACATATATGTTATAAGTCAAGACATGAGAATTGATGATATTACCCAGGAATTGTATAAAGAATTACAAGAGTTTAAAAAGGATCAACTACAGACTCCTGGAAGCTCTAGGACATTAGTAGGTACCTCATAAATTTATTTTTAGTAAATGAATTTTAATGTATATGACTTCTTTGACAAATTTTGGGTATAAACACAGTCACGCTTTTTAGTTTTCCAACTAATTTTTGAGTTCTCCCATGCCTTCATTAGCATCAAGTGTCTACACCAGAACTCCCCCTAACATCTGAAATTGGGTTGAGATCTTAATCAGTGTCCTCTCAGGAGACCCCTGGACCCCAGTAGTACCACCACCTATTCAATTGCCCAAGTCAAAACTAAAATCAGAGAGCCAGTCTTAATCCCTGTTTTTCTTTTATTTACCACCATACTTCCAATCCATCACCAAGTTCTATTGACTCTCTCTTTAAAATGTATCCACTTTTCTCCATTGCTACCACTACTGCAGTCCAAGGCACTATCAACTCTTGCCTGGTGTCTTAGCCCATTTAACCTGCTATAACAAAATGGTATAAACTGGGTAGCGTATAAACAACAAAAGTTCATTTTGAAAAGTGTAAAGGCTGTGAGAAGTCCATGATCAAGGTGCTGGCAGAGTTGGCGTCTAGTAAGGGCCCACTTTCTGGTTCACAGAAGGTGGCTTCTTGCTGCATCTTCTTATGCTGGAAGCAGTAAGGTGTTTCTCTGGGGCCTCTTTCATAAGGGCACTAATCCCATTCATGAAGACTCTACCCCCCATGACCTGATCACCTCCCAAAGGTCCTACCTTCTAATACTATCACCTTGGTGATTAGGTTTCAGCATATGAATTTGGAGGGACACAAACATTCACACCATTGCACCTGGATAGCTGCAGTGGCCTACAAGCTTCCTACTCTCACTCTTGGCCATCTAAAATCATCTTTTTTTTTCTTATATAGTTGAAGTCTTGCTCTATTACCCAGGGTGGAGTGCAGTGTGCAGTGGTGTAACCACTGCTCACTGCACCCTCAAACTCCTGGATTCGAGCAATCCTCCACCTCAGCTTCCCAAGTAGCTGGGACTGCAGGCCTGCACCATCACACCTGGCTAATTTTTGAAATTTTTTTTAGAGAAAGCGTCTCGCTATGCTGCCCAGGCTAGTCTTGAACTCCTGACCTCAAGCCATCTTCCTGCTTTGGCCTCGCAAATTGCTGAGATTACAGGCATGGGCCACCATGTGTGGCCAAAAATCATCTTTTTAAAAGACGTCAAATCATGTCGTTCCTCTGTTTAAATGCTTCTAGTGCTTCCCAATGCACTTTACTTTTTCTTTATTTTATTTTATTATTATTTTGAGACAGAGTCTAGTTCTGTCACCCAGGCTGCAGTGCAGTGGCCTATCTTGGCTCACTGCAACCTCCACCTCCTGGGTTCAAGCAATTCTCCTGCCTCAGCCTACCAAGTAGGTGGGATTACAGGTGCCTACCACCATGCCTGGCTCATTTTTGTATTTTTTTTTTTTTTTTAGTAGAGATGGGGTTTCACCATGTTGGCCAGGCTGGTGTCGAACTCCTGACCTCAGGTGATCCACCTGCCTTGGCCTCCCAAAGTGCTGGGATTACAGGCGTGAGACACAGCACCTGGCCCTGTTGCGCTTTAAATAAGATCCAGTTTTCTCACCATGTGCGGCAAGGCTTTCATGATCATTCCTCTGTTATCTCTCTTTCCTAACCTCCTCTGCTACCACTGGACTGTGCCCTAACCCACTCCACTCCCCAGCTCACTATGCTCTAGACTTCTGCGGAACACCAAGCTATTCGTGCATTAGAATATTTGCGCGGGTCGCCCCCAATCCCCACCTGGAAGGCTTTTCCTCTTGCTCAGTCCATGGCTCACTCCCTCCTGTTATTTAGGTCTTAGTATAAATGTCACCTCCTCACTGAGGCCTTCCTTGTTCACCTAATTAATGTAGCACCAGGTATGATTTCATCAGAGCACGCAGCACATGCTGTTAGCTATATATGGCCAAAGATAATATCTACCAGGCAATTAGGGAGATTTTATTCAAGTTATTGCCATAGGAAGAACAGTTATTAATGAGGAAAGGAAATGAAGGGAACTGGAGTTTTATAGAGGCTGGAAAACAAAGTCGTTAGCAGTTTTAGGGGAGTCATGAGGACGGACCCTGGGGAATACACAGAGAAGGGTGGGCCTTTGTGGCTAATTGTTTCTTAGAACATAACACGATTTCTTAATCACTGACGCTTTCTATGAGCACAGGGCTCAAAGTTAAAATTCCCTCTTTCCCTTCCTCTGTCTTTCTCTCTCCTCTCTTTTTTCCCCCTCTTTGTTGACAGATTTATAGATGTTTTAAATAAAACTTTTAATACGATTTCAGTAGAATTCAATGAGATGCCCAAGAGATGGCTTTTTCTGTTTAAAATCACTTTTGGCCAAGCGTGGTGGCTCCTGCCTATAATCCCAGCACTTTGCAGGGCTGAGGCAGGAGGATCACTTAAGCCCAGGAGTTCAAGACCAGCCTGGGTAACATAGTGAGACCCCTGTCTCTACAAAAAATAAAAAATGTACCTGGTCATGGTGGTGGCACACCTGTGGTCCTAACTACTCACAGGCTAAGGTGACTAAGGCTCACTTGAGCCCGGGAGTTTGAGGCTGCAGTGAGCCATGATGGTGCCACTGTGCTCTGGCCTGGGTGAAGGAGTGAGAGTCCATCTCAAAAGAAAAACAAAATTAAAAAAATGCTAAGATAAATATTGTACAAGAAAAAAATAAATAAAAAAACATTTAAAGGTGGCATTGGGTAACTTCTTATTTATTTTGAGTTGTTTTACCTATAAATCTCAGGTCTTTAGATGAACAATGCCTTCTTGAGAATATTTGATCATAGATACAGAGATTAATCTTACAAATTTTGAAGATGATAATGAAGACTTAAGTCTAAAAGGCAAAACTTCCAAGAACTCACATTTGATAAGAAGTCAGATTTTCACAACAATACTATATATAACTATGTAGATCTCAGAGCATTAGAACTGTTGGAGAAATCAAGTATTCCAAACCCCTAATTTTACAAATGAGGAAACTGGGGCCCAGGGAAAGTGACTCGTCTAAGAGCACGCAAGTTAGGGAGAAGTCTGGGATCAGTTCCCCTTGTTTCTAGCTCAGTGTTGTTTTCTATCTGTTATCTCTCTGCTTATGTAAACACAGAAACAAAAGCCAAGAGAACAATTTTGGGGGGTGGTTTCTTCTCAAAGAAAATTAAATCAAATTATAGTCATTTTAAGTTAAGAAGAGGAAAAAAAGTAGTTAAGTGAATCCTATCTGTGACTCTTCTTCTATATTGCATTTTAAACTCCTACAGATTGAGTGGAGGTTGTTGGAATGAAGTTCATTTTAACTTTGAAGTTCCAGGACTAACTTTTACAGACTCTTTATGCCCATTGCAGATTTCTCCTCGGGCAGATCATTCTGACAGCCCATGACCTGATCAAGTCTCTGCCTTGCTGGCACCTCTGCTTTTCATGGGTGAGAATCCTACTTTCAAGAAATGTTTTGGAACTTATATTAGTGAATAAACAGGAATGCCTTAAATTCTCTTATCAGTTCATTTTTAGAAACCTGATCTGAAGAAGTTATAAGTATGGTAATAAGAAACAATTGTCTTTGGCTGGGCAGAGTGGCTCACACCTGTAATCCCAGCACTTTGGGAGGCCGAGGTGGGTGGATCACTTGAGGTCAGGAGTTCAAGACCAACCTGCCTAACATGGCGAAATCCCATCTCTATTAAAAATACAAAGATTAGCCGGGTGCGGTGGCATGCGCCTGTAACCCCAGCTACTCAGGAGGCTGAGGAACAAGAATCGCTTGAACCTGGGAGGCAGAGATTGCAGTGAGCCGAGATCACGCCTCTGCACTCCAGCCTAGGCAACAGAGCAAGGCTCTGTCTCAAAAAAAAAAAAAAAAAAGAAACAGTTTCTTAAAGGGCTACTTAAGTGGTTTAAACAACTTCCCAGGATATTAGTTAAAATATAAGCAAATATTTTATGTGTATATTTAGATCAGATATCTCAGCCCAAGCTCCTTTCCCTCCCTGTTGGAAGTAGCAAAATCTCAAAATGGGGGAGTCGAAATTAATGAGTGTTTACAGTGCTTTCAATATATGGTCCCTAGCATTTTTTTTAAGAAGCAGCTTTTAATATGCCATATACTAGATGTGTTGTTGACATTTAATAAATGTCAAAAAAAAGAACATTTCTCACTGAACAAACAGTTTGGATTACAATCTTTTTATAGGATTGCTTTCTTCCTAAGATATACTTATAAAAGTCCAAGATCCTTTAGGTGAGTTCATTCTTAAACATTTTAAGAAAATAAGAAATTTAAAGTTCAGTTTGTGCAGATTGATACCTAAAAAGGCTAGGTCATGGTCCAAACAATTAGTACGTCTTGAACATTGACTATCTGCAAAGTACTGTCTTAGGCTAGACAGAGAGAAAGGCTGAAACAGGTATGACTGAAACAGAGTTCCAATCTTCAAGAAGCTTTCAATCCTGTAGGAGACATAAGACATATAATAAGAGATATCCTTAATGCAAAGTAATCTGTAATGTGCTCAAAAATAGGCAAAAACTCTAGGATATGGCATTTCAGAGATAGCTAATGGGAATGCAGCAGCAAACGAAATAAAATCCTTATGCCTTACCTGAGCCCAGGAAGGTCGAGGCTGCAGTGAGCTGTGATTACACCACTGCACTCCAACCTGGGCAACAGAGCAAGACCCTGTCTCAAAAAAATTAAAATAAAAATTAAAAAACTAAAATTCTTATCCTCAGGGAGAATGCGTTCTACTGGGAGACGCTTTATATCTCTGGCCATATCTATACTTGTGTTGATCTATATGTATATATGATGTCAGGTGCAGAGTAAGGGCATGGAGAGAGAAGAGTGACCCAAGGAGGTCTCCACTGATACAGTGATATTTGGGCAGAGATTTGTAAGGAAATAAGGCAGGAGGAGTATCTGGAGGAGAAAAGCATTCTCGGCAGGTGGGACCCATGTACCAGGGACATTCCTGTGTGGCTAGAACTTACTGTTCTGAGGGAGATGGGAAGGTTGGTTAAGAGACGTGCCTGGAAAGATAGCTAGGGCCAGATTGTCCCTCCCCAGTGCCAAGGGCTTTGAAGGTCCTTGAAAAGACCCTGGCTTTTGCTTCAAGTGAGATGTGAGCTGCTGACCGACTTTGAGCAGAGCAGCGGCGCGATCTGACTTGGGTTCCAGAAGGATCACTCTGACAACTGTGGGAGACAAGGGCAGAGGAAGGAAGCCCAGTTAGGGGACATGTTAGTTTCCCAGGGCTGCATAACGAATTACTATACAAATTACTCATACCGCTTAGAACAAGTCCATTTGTTTTCTCACAGTTCTAGGAGCCAGAAATCCAAAATCAGGGTGACGGTAGGATTGGTTCGGAGGGAGAATTCCATGCCTCTCTCTAAGTGTCTAGTGGTACCTGGCAATCCTTGGTGTTCCTTGGATTGTGGACTTTCTCTAATTTCTGCCTCCATCTGCACATGGCCTGTGTCTCTCTCTGTCTATTACTCCGTTTCTGTTTCTTAAAAGGATACTCATCATTGGATTTTAGGCTCACTCTGAGCTAGAAAAATCTGATCTCAAGATCTTTAACTGACTTAGATTGGCAAAGACCCTTATTCCAAGAAAGGTCACCTTCTGGAGGTTCTAGTTAGACATATATTTGGGGCGGTGGTGTTATTCAACCCAGGAAAAGGATGTGTTTGAGTAGTTCAGACAAAGGTATTGGAATACAATGGGTAGAAGTCAGATTCTAAGGTCCTTGAAGGCAGGAGATTTTATCTGTTTTGTTTACTTTGTGACCTCAGAAACCAGAACAGTGCCTGTACATAGAAGGTGCTCAGTAAATGTTTGTTGAATAATGTTCTTTATATCCTCCACCCATTAGAAGGCCACAGCACCAGTGATAGTGCAAGGCCAGGAACCCCCCCTGGCTTCACTGAGGTGTGCGAGCCTTGCTCAGGCTTCTTTCCCTTTAAGCATCAGTGACGTCGCCTGTCCCTTTTCTAACCTCATATGACCCTGACCGTCTGTGATGCCCAGGTCACTTCTGAAGTGTGCCGTTATGGCATTAGTCAAGGTGTCTGCAGGAGCTCTTTATCAGCTTATCAACTCTCTGATTTGGGCAAGGAGCATTTCCTATATTTGCATTCAGCAAAACCAAAATGCTTGGCATCTTGGGTCTACAATACCTCTTCATTTGTACTTAATAACCAGGAAAAGCCTAGGAAATGAGAGATCTCTTACTTCCTAATTGCTTCTGTAGTGAAAGGAGGACAGAGGGTCTGTCTATGAAGCCCTGACCAATACCTGTCTCTAATAATATAGGTGTAGTTGTAATCTGTGCTGAAGATTTTGTCCCTCTCATTTGTGGTCTCTCTTTGAACTGAGGAGAAGTCGTTCTGACACTGGTGGGTTGGGGGAGGTCCCTAAATGCTGGCGGCACCTTGACCCCAGCAAGTGTCCTCACTCTTGACACCAGCACGAAAAGGAGTCAAGGATGACTCAGAAAATAGTGCAAGTACAGAGATTGATTTCAAAGCGAAAAGTACACACACTCAAGAAAGGGGAGTGCAGGTGTACTCAAGAGAGACTCATGCAAATGGGGTTTGGGGCTGCAACTTTTATGGGATTCTTTAACCAAGAGGTGGCATATTCATGAAGATTCCTGGAAGAAGGTAGAGATTTCTCAGAACTGTGGTGCCACCCTATTTTACTCCAAATACAGTTTTCCTGGAATGGTCATGGCACTGGTGGGTGTGTGATTTGGGGTGTTAATGAGCATATAATGAGGGCCTAGGTGAAACCTAGATCAAATCCAGTGCCTTGTTGGATCCATTCGGTCATAACCAGCTTGGTCCATATCCTGGGTTTTCAGAGTCTTCCCAGGTCATATCCTCGAGTCATGTGGAACTGCTGCCTGGAATATTTTATTTTTCTGTGACCACCCTGTATTATTTGTGTCTCAGTTCTGTCCCTTAATTCCATGGCGACCCACATTCATGGTTCAGTATCGTTCCCGGAGTACCCTGTCAAGATATTGGTTCTCAGACACGGCTGCACATGGTAACCACCTGGGGGAATTTTTAAAACTACACATGCCTGAGTCCCACCCTTAGAGATGATAATTAAGTTTGTGTAGGATGTGTCTGGGTACTTGCATTTGTCAGATCTTCCCAGTTGATTCTAATTTGAGAGCTGCTGCCTCGGTAGAGTATATAGATGAGGCATCAGCTGATGTTGCTTATTGATTTGGGTGGGATCTTTTGTCTGTGTCTTTGCACTTTTTATGTGAATAAACTGTCAGCTAGATAATTCTACAGGGAATTCCCCAATTCCCAAAACCCACACACGGCTGTAGGGCCAGCTGTAGTCACACGGAAATCACAGTCAGGACTTATGAAAAGGAATTTGTCCGAGAGTAACCTTTCTCTCGCCACCCACTGGAATTTTTTGCTGTTTGAACACTCTTCTTCATGCTCAGTCTACAGTAAGTGACTTGATCAGAATTTTCAGGAAAGTCTGTCAAAGCAAAAGCTAAAGTAGCATGACACTGTCCCTTCATGAAAGTTAGATGAGATTAAGACAGTTCATTTTAATTAATGTCAAGTTCTCAGGCCAAGGAAAAGCTGGCTCCTTGAATCATGATCATTTTTATTTTTCCTCAAACACTTAAATGTAGTCACTTCCGGTAGTGTACTGGGAACTTTTGTGCTTTGGGACAATTTCAGACTTTGTTATAAAGAGAAAAGCGGGGAGGAGAGGTGCTGGCCTGCATCAACCACAGGAATCCTGAGACCCAGAAGCAGGACATGGGATGCTAATGTTGGTACTTCGTGGTTTCAGGGTTCCCAGAGACTACAAATTGCCCTTATGTACAAAACACCCATACTGGCTGGTACTTTCTATGAATAATTCATTCTGCTTATACAAAATTACAAATTAAGTAACCAAAATAGACTTCAGCAATTTTTAAGGTTTTCTGGATGTGTTAAATTGTCTAAGAAATCATCCAGCACCAATTCCCAGTGTCTCTCTTTGATTCCCAGCGACTCTGCTAAGTACAGAATGGCCTCACTTGGCCTCAGTGTGGGAAATACCATGTCTTTGAAAGTTTTATTTTTAAAGGAATCAGCTGAGGAGATGCTTGTATTCCTCACCAACTCTGGCAGATCTGTGATGTAGGAGAGGGTAGAAACTACCCACAAAAATTTACATGTGCTGTGGAAAAAAAAATCCCTTTATTTTTCATGATTGTTTGTTAATCCTAAAGCTCCCATTTTCACTAATGATAGAAGAGACACCAATGTTGAGTTGCCAGTTTATGGTAATCCACTCATTTTAAAGTCCCAACTCCCTCTCCTGGCATTTGCCATGGCTTCCTAACTAAGGCATTTTAAAGTCCTAACTCCTTCTCATGGCATGAAAATAATTTTCTCCCTACCCTTTATCCTTCTTAGTTGGGACAAACCCCTGTAACAAAAGACAGATTAACAAAAGAAAAACAATTTATTAACGTGTATACCTCATGTATACCCAGGACATATTCAAGGGAAAAATGACTAAATTTCAAAAAGGTGGCTTAGAATTTAGGCTGAAATACCATCTTCAACTGAAAGAAAGAAAGAAAGGTGGAGGCAGGGCCAGTTACTGGGAGATGCCTAGGAAAAGCTCAGTAAACCATGGTAGGGTTTGTTATTGTAAACCCCAAAATAAAGTTATTTTCTTGAAATTTAAGTTCCTTACAGATGCAGGTTATTGGACCTTTGTCAGATGCATAGTTTGCAAAAATTTTCTCCCATTATTTAGGTTGTCTGTGTAGTCTTCTAGTAAACAGACATAGTCATAGTCATAGTTTCTTCTGCTGTGCAGAAGCTCTTTAGTTTAATTAGATCCCATTTGTCAATATTTGCTTTTATTGCAATTGCTTTTGGCGTCTTCATCATGAAATCTTTGCTGAAGTTTTTATAGTTTTGGATTCTCCTTAGCAAACTATTGCAGGAACAGAAAACCAAATACTGCATGTTCTCACTTATGACGGGGAGCTAAATGATGAGAACACATGGACACATAAAGGGGAACAATATACACTGGGGCTTATCAGAGGCTGAAGGGTAGGAGGAGGGAGAGGATCAGGAAAAATAACTAATGGTACTGGGCTTAATACCTGGGTGATGAAATAATCTGTACAACAAACCCCCATGACACAAGTTTGCCTATATAACAAACCTGCACATGTACCCCTGAACTTGAAATGAAAGTGAAAAAAAATTTTCTAAAATTATTCTCAATTCTTTAAGGGATATTTCCATATCCTGCATTAATACTCATAAACATTCAGTAGCAATGTAAAAAAAAATTTGAAGGCCTACATCCAGTCATCTGAATGGACCCCTCCTCTCAGCCAAGGGCCTTCCAAAGTTAACCTAAAAAACTAGTTTCAGGCCATGATGGGAAGGCAGAGCCAGATATGCCTCAGGATACTCACCTCCCTTTTGAAATTACTGATACAGCAGACTCTTTAATAAAAACATTTACAATCTATTCTCTCTGAAGCCTGCTACCTGGAGGCTTTATCCCCATGATAAAACCTTGGTCTCCACAACCCCTCAGCCAGACATTCCTTTCTATTGATAATAGCTCTTTCCACCAATTGCCAATCAGAAAATCTTTGAATCTGCTTGTGACTTGGAAACGCCTTGCTTCCAATTGTGCTGACTTTCCAAATGAAACCAGTGTATGTCTTACATGTATTGATCGATGTCTTATATCTCTCTAAAATGTGTAAAGCCAAGCTAAACCTGGACTACCTTGGGCACTTGTCCTCAGGATCTCCTGAGAGCTGTGTCATGGGCCATCGGTCACTCATATTTGGCTCAGAATAAATCTCTTCCAGTATTTTACAGGGTTTGACTCTTTTCATCAACATTCTGAAGATTTAAATCCATGCCTTTTCCATTGATAAGAGTTCCTGGTACAGATAGACATCCTTACAAATGGAGATTTCCCTTATAGATATAAATTGCCCCTACAAAAGGGTAACCTCTACTCTGCTTTCAGAGATTTTTCTGTGTCTTCAGTTTCTCAAAATAATCCTTATGCCAAGGCAGAGTATTTGGGGGTGGCATGTTCTGGTCTCTTACACCAGTGTGAGTACTCATCCTCATGGGACAGGCAAAGAGGTGGGGCTAGCCTTCCCTGTTGGCTGTTACCAACCTGTGTGGGAACATGCTCAGACCCCCAGAATTGGTATAAAGATTATCTTAAAGGGAAAAGATTTGAACTGAAGAAGATGCAGAAATAAATCTTATCTCAACTTCCTTTATCTGACTAAAGCAGAGCCTCCAGAAAATACAGTGACATTAACCCCCCTCATAGGGGATTTCCTGTGAATTCAGCTGCTGCGGGGACAGGCTGCTCATTTTGTTAGCATCAAAAATGTAACTAGAACTCTTAACTGTCTGGCAGCTTCTCTTTGTTCACTGCACAAACAAAACCAATTCACTAAGATCATGGCATTGCAAAGGAGAAATAGCTTAACTGACATGAGGCCAACCATGCCATGTGGGAGATAGAGTCATTACTCAAATCAATCTCCCCACAAAATTCAGAGGCTAGGGTTTCTCAAGGACAATTTGGCAGGCAGGGGTTGGGGGCTGCTGATCAGCTGGGGATGCAATCATAGGCATATGGAAAATGGTTCTTGTATGTGCTAAGTTTGCTTCTGGGTGTAACCATTGGTTGGCCCAGGTGCAAAAATGCAAAAACCTGAAAAGACATCTCAAAGGCCAATCTTAGGTTCTACAAAAATGATGTTACCTGCAGGAGTAATTAGTGAAGTTGCAAGTCTTGTGACTTCCGAAATAACGGTTGGTAATTGTTTATGTCTACACCTAGCAGAATTCAGCCTCCTCTCATCCTCTTAACCTGGTGGTCTTTCACTAGCTTTACAAAGGTGATACAGTTTCGGGGAAGGGCTATTATTGTTTAAACTATAAACTAAATTTCTTCCAAAGTCAGCTTGCTGTAAGCTCAGGAGAGATTAAGGGAAGTTTGGAGATTAGAGGCAACATGGGCGTTGGTTAGATCAGATCTCTTTCACTGTCATAATTTTCTCACTTGTATAATTTTTGCAATGGTGGTTTCAGAACCTTCCATACCTTCCCTTTGAAGCCCTAACCCCACCACCACCCTGCTCATACTTGTTAAATTTGTTATATAAGCTTTTCATCTCTGGCTATTGAGCAAGTTGCTCTTCACTGAGTACTCCTGCATGTATGCAGTATGGGAGAAAATGCCTTCTCTCTACTCTTAGGTCCTGTAAGTGAGTCTGTGACAACAGGCAGATTAACAGGAGAAAAAGTATGCAAATTTGTTACATGCATAGGGGCATCGGAGGAAAAAAAGGGGAATACCACCCAAACCCAGTTAGTCTAGAAGCTTATGTACCCTCTTCATAGGGGAGGGGGTATGGAGGCAGCTTAGAGGAGAGTAGCTGATGAATGGAAAAGATGAATGGGCCTTTGGAAGAATAGGTGACAGTCTGTGACTAAGTTTGTCTGAGTGTGGCATTGACGCCCTGACTCCCCTCCTGTGATACAAGTTAATCTTCCCTGGTTGATGAAATTCCTTGGGAGGGGACTGATGACAGCTGAGTTCCTTTCAGAGGATCTGTTTTTAGACACATAAGGGGAGCCCAGAGAAAGCCTCTGCCTACATCCACTGTCCCCCAAGTGCCCTCAGTATGAAATGTCAACACACTGAAGGGGCATATTTTATAGTGGCATTTCCTGAACTCCTTTAATGCATAAGCAAACCTTTTTTCCTGTTAATCTGTCCATTGTCAGTTAATATACAGGCCCCCAACCACTGGATTCAACCTGGCAGAGGAAAAGCTTTCCTTCCAACAAGTTACTCGTATAACCTGGTTTCTGAGCATTGGCTGCTGTTCTCACTGCATTTGCTGTGGAAGAATTGTTCAAGGGTGGTATAACCTGTGTGGCAGAGGTACTTGGCAGCAATCACTTCAGCATACCCTCAGAATGTGCCTATGATCTAAGAAGAATGTGTGTTCAGAGTTCTGAGCTAAGGAATCTGGGAGTGGCCAACCTGGAGATTCATTCCTTATCTATGAAGGACATTTGAATCCCTGGCCCATTAGTTGGAAGGCAGGCTGTACAGAGGATTGAGGCCCTTTGTTAGCTAGGTGGAGGTTGCTAAATGAAAATACTGTATAACCTGCACGCTTTTTTTTTTTTTAACAAATGATAGTGGTTTTCCTGTCTAACCTGCTACTCTTGAACTGACCTGTGTGTAAGTCCTCAATAAACCCTAAGTGTCATTTGCTGGCCCTGAGTCTCTTCTAGGGTCTCTCGGACACAGTGCTGTCCCAGCAAAGTCAATAGTGATCTGGAATGACATAACTCATGTTCTAATAAATTCAGAAAAAAACAACGCGGCAAGTCAAGATCCTTGGAACATGAAGACTCTGCAATTTCCAACAATACTCACTGGCAGGTGCAGGTGAAGGATTTAAGATGAGCAACTGAACTGGGAAGAGGCATTGGCCTCTTCAATAGGAATGAAGGTAGGCAGTTCATGGTAAGGTCTGCGGGGCAGGAGCAATCTAATCCTATGAATTTTATTTTATTTTATTTTATTTTTTGAAACTGATCAGCAGAGCTGCCTTCCAAAATAAGAACTCAATTTGAAGGAAAACTACCAAGCTTGAAATCACATTTGAGCAAAACAACAGAAACTAAGGATAAAAGAACATCCACAGAAAAGCAGGGAAGGAGAACAGAGCCAGAAAATCTTAGAAATAAGCAGCCAAATGTTTTTGTAGTTTTGTGAACTGAAATTTTTATTGAGATCATTGTAAATGCACATGCAATTATAAGGAATAATACAGAGGAATCTTGTATGTAATTTGCCCAGTTTCCCCTGATGGTAACATTTTGCAAACCTGTAATATAATATCAGAACCAGCAGAGCCAAGATGTTAACATTGATACAATCCACCAATCTTATTTAGATTGTTTTCCAGTTCTACATGTATTCATTTATGTGTGTGCATACTTACTTGGTACAGGTGTATTACCTGTGTATATTTGTGTACTCACTACCACAGCCAGTGACACTGAACAATTCTTACTACAAGGATCTTTCTTGTTGCCTTTTTATAACCTTATCTATCTACACTATTCTTGTCTCCATCTCTATGATGGTAGCCTTTCAAAAATGGCATATAATTGAAATAAAATCATATAATAAGTAAACTTTCATGATTGGATTTTTTTTTTCACTCAGCCTAAATGCCCAAGATTCATCCAGGTTGTGTGCATCAATAATAGCCCATTACTTTATTTCCTTTTTTTCCTTTTTGAGATAGGCTCTCACTCTGTCACCCAAGCTGAAGAGCAGTGGGGTGATCATAGCTCACTGTAGCCGCCAACTCCAAGGCTCAAGCCATCCTCCGCCTCAGCCTCCTGAGTAGCTAGGACTACAAGTATGCTACCGCTCTCAATTAATTTTTAAATTTTTTTGTAGATATGAGGTCTCAATATATTTTGAAGGCTGTCTTGAACTTCTGGCCTCAAGTGGTCCTCCCACCTTGGCCTCTTAAAGTTCAGGCGTTACAGGTGTGAACCACCACAACCTGTTCAGTTGTATGTTCCTTTTTTGTAGCTAAGTCATATTTCATCATATGGATGTGCCATGGTTTGTTTAACCACTTATCTATTGAGAGATAGCTAGGCTGTTTCCAGTTTTTGGCTATTACAAATAAAGCTACTGTAAACATTCCTGTTCTAGTTTTTGTGTGAACCTGTCTTTATATCTCTGGACTACATGCCCTGGAGTGAAATTGCTTGGTTGTATTGTAGTTGTATGTTTAGTCTTATAAGAAACTGACAAATGTTTTCCAGAGTGGCTGTACCATTTGACACTCCCACCAGCAATGTGTCAGTGATGTAGTTTCTCCACATCCTTGGCAGTATTTGATGTTGTCTTTAATGCTTTTAAACTATGCAAACAACAGAAAAAGAAGTTCTGTGAACTTAGCTTCTTTTAAATGTTTTTTTCCCTCAAAAAGAGGAACATTAATTTCATGTAAAACGTAAAATGTAACCTCACATAAAAATGACCAAAAGAAAACCATCGAGGTTAAATTTCTCACAAAGTTGCTCTGAGAATAAAAGAGAATAAGAAACTGAGTAACAGTCCTACAAACAGCAAAAGCATACCAGAAAGTGCCCATAAAACAGATAGAAACTAAAGTTTTTAAAATTAATAATTAAAAAATTTTAAGAATATGATAAAACACAGGAAAGAGAAATATAAATGGGATTAGAATACTCAGAAATAATGTAACAGAATTCAAGGAAGAATTAGAAACACAAAAAAAAATTATGAAAAATAAATAACCTAGGCTGGGTGTTGTGGCTCACACTTGTAATCCCAACACTTTGGGAGGCCAAGGCAAAAGGATTGTTTGAGGCCAGGAGTTTGAGACCAGCCTGGGCAACATGGTAAAACCTTGTCTCTATAAAAAAAAAAGTAAAAGTGAATAAATAAACTAAAGGGAACACATGCTCTGTTCACTGAAAAGGCCTTATGGTATACTGCTGATGGCAGCAGCTGTTCCAGACAGCCTGCCACTGCCATCATGCTGGCTGCAGCAGGGAGGCATGGCCAGGGCTGCACACTGCATGGAGTCAGTGGGAGCCGGTGACAAGCGGGAGCCCCACCCCTCCTGAATTGGGTGGCAGGTCCCTGGGTGCAGCTGCAGCCATCAAAACTGCAGCTGAAGACTCAGGGTTTCCGCTCCACAGAGCAGGTGGGAATGCTGCTACCCCCGCCACTTGGCCCTGGGCATGGCTGCAGCCACCCAAATCACAGCTGCAGACTCAGGCATTCCTGTGCTCTTGGGGGACCAGGAAGGCCCCCATATGCCCTCGCAGGCTCAGAAATAACCTGCTCCCACTGCCTGGAGTCTCCCTGCTGTTGGCACCCACTCTGATTTGGGAGCAAAACTGAGGCTGAGCCCAGGTGCCATGAACAGCAGCAGAAGGCAGACAGATTACTGTGTTGAAGGGGGTCGGTCCCCAGTGAGGCCCCACCTTCAAGCCAGGGAGGGCCTGAAGGCCAGGGGCTTGGCTGCCAGTCCCACCCATTGGAGTGGGAACCTGTAGTGCCTTTTCTGGGCCCATCCATGGCCTCCCATGGACCAGTTGGCACACATTTCCTCCCCCCTGAGGCCCATAAAAGCCCTTGGTTCAGCCAGAGCTGAGCAGACCTTGGGAGGACAAGCTGCAGAGAGAGCTACCCTCTCTAGGGCTTCCTCTCTGCTGAGAGCTGAACAGTCATCAGGATGAGTGTTGTCAAAGAGGAGCCACCCACTTCAGGGCCTCCTCTCTGCTGAGTGCTGAACACTGATGGGACAACCTGGCTACAGAGAGGAGCTACCCACTGTGGGTCTCCTCTGAGCTGTTCTAACACTCAATGAAGCTCCATCTTGCTCACCCTCCACCTGTCTGTGTAGCTCATTCTTCCTGGGCTCAGAACAAGAACTCAAGCAAAGGCATCACTGGCCACAGACGTTTCTGGCCATAAGAGCGACACCCCAAAGATGCCTTGACTCTGTTACTTTGACAGTCTCCAATAAACCACACCTTCCTGCCTTTATGTAGTTCCTACCCACACTGACTCTGGACAGGACAATTTGGACAGACAAAGAGACATGAGGAATTGAGATGCAAGCAGAGGCTTCATAATGACTTTCATACTGAGGCTTGTCTCCCTGTAATGTTGGCTCTTAGGATACTCTCTGTTAGAATCAATCCCAGAGCCATTTTGTGGGAAGCCCTGCTTAGGCATGTGGACAGCCATGCAGTAAGAGATCGAAACCCTCAGGGACCAGCATCAGCTGAGCTTCCTAATGACATCACCAATGTGCCAGCCATGTGGGTGACCTTTCAGCCCTAGTGGAGCTGCCCCAGGTGACAACATGTGGAACAGCCATTCACAGTCTATATAAAATTTGGCCCAAATGGACAAATCACAAAAAAATTACTCACTAAATTTTGAGATAGTTTGGTATGTGGTAATCAATGAAACAAATCTGGAAACATTGACAAGCCAGTAATGAGCATCGCTGGCACGCAGATTATTGTCTTGAAACAGCATTTCCCTCTAAAAGAAATCATGGCTTCTTGGAGAAATGGATGATTCCAGGTCAGGGACATGAACTGTGCAATATGCACATGGGACATCTGAATATACTAGAGAGCAAAGAAGCTTCAAAGAGTAACAGGGTCACATCAAAAGGACAGGGGCCAACTTGCAGAGCTCCTTCCTGGCCAGAGATGAAACAGTTTCAGTTTTAGTAAAGATACAGCTTGGAACACATAAAATATATTTAAACTCAAGTGCTACATTTAAAAAGATAATTAGTCACATTAGAAGAATGGCAGAGTCAATTTATTATCTTGAAAACTGATAAATAAAGGGAAAGAATCAAACATAATTCTTGCCTCTCCTATATGAACTGTAGTAATGAGTCACCGAAGAGTAGATGAGGGAAGCATCTCGTGAGAATGAAATGTTTAGAGCATCACCATTTTACACTCCCAAGAAATTACTACGTCTGGATGATGATCGTCAAGGGTTAATATCTCAAGAGAAGAACACTGACGGACACTGCTTGCCTCCTGATGGAAAGACACATCAAAACTTACGGTCTTGCCCAAGGCTCAAGCCTGAGTCTCGTCAAGCCTCTGTCTCCAGCTGTCAATGTATAGGAAATACCAAAGACGTACTGAAGAGTACCAGGACCAAATTCCTGACCAAGAGAGCCTTCATGGAGAAAATGGGCCAGCTTTTCCAACTGCTAAACTCTAAGGAAAAAAAAAGAATGAAGGAAAAACCTATAGAAGAAAAACAACTAGAAGACATGGAAGAAAAATGGGGAAAATTAAGCTATGATGTTTCCATCTGTACAGTTGGATGATAAAGCCATTAAGAAATGTAAGGAATGATAACTATAAAATCAGGAGAATAATTATAGTTTGGAGGGAGGAAGGTGGTTATGATTGGTACATGGAACAAGGAGGAAGCTCTGGGGTAACTGACAGAGCTCTATTGGGGATTAAAAGGATAAGGTGTATATATGTTTGTGCAGTTTCCTGATTTGTAATTATTTTACAATAAAGAGATTAACACAGTTTATCTTTCAAATTAGTGCATCATTCAAATTTGTATATAGATAATCAGTAATAACATGAATTAGTGATACATGCAACAAAATGGATGGTTCTCAAAATCATGTTGAGCAAAAGAAGCCAACACAAACATAAAAGGGTGCATAATGTGTTTCCAATCATATGGAGAGCAAAAACAGTCAAAGTCCATTTATAGTGGTAGAAATCAAAATAGTGGTTAACTCTTGGTGAGAAAGGATACAGGTTTGACTAGAATGAAGCAGAAGAGAAATTCCTGGAATGTGAAAATGTTCTGTTCTGATTGGGGTGTTAGCTATATGGATGCATACCTTTATCAAAGATCATAAAACTATATATACATATAATATATGTGCATGTGATACGTATATGTATGCATATGTATAATATATGTATACACAAAACTGTATACCCATGTAATACAGGTATACATTACAGAATACACACACACACACACACACACACACACACACACACACGAAAAACAACACGACAGCATTTATCAAAATGACTGATTCCAGGTTTGGGTTAGGAAATGTACAAGATGAGCCAAGAGTATCTTGTCATGAAATGAAAGCAAGGATGCTATCTAAGACTACTAGGGTTTTTGTGAAGTGAACTGTGTCCCCCTAAAATTCCATGTTAAAGACCTAACCCCCAAGGTAACTGTCTTTGGAGATAAGGCCTTTTAGGAGACAATTTAGGTTAAATGAGGTAATAAGGGTAGGCCTTAACCTGATGGGACAGGTGTCCTTGTAAGTAGAGGAAAAGACACCAGAGATCACTTTCTCTCTCCATGCATACACAGAGGAAAGGCTAAATGAGGACAGCCCTTTGCAAGCCAAGAAGAGAGACCTCACAAAAACCAACACTGTTAACACCTTGATCTTGGACTTCCAGCCTCCAGAATTATGGGGAAATACATTTCTGTTTAAGCCACCTCATCTGTGATATCTTATTGTTGGAGCCCCAGCTGACTAACACCAGGATCAGCTAATAAAGACCCAGGAGTCATAGGAGGCTCTCATTGGCCAAAGATAATATATTTTGGATACTGATAAGGATAATAACTACAATTAATTGAAACACTACAAATAGGTTTTAGTCTGTGCATTTATATTTATTCTAAAAAGTATAGGTTAAAAACTCACTGGTCACCTTTGAAGTGTACTAAGGAATCAACTTATTATTTTGAAAATTTGCTAATTTAGGATAAGAATTAATTATTTGCTTGCTTTCCTATACCCCAGAGTAACTAAATAGTTGGTAAATTTTCTCTTTATAGGTATATTCCAGCTAATAAGTGATGAAAAGTGTTAGAATATGAATATCAGCATTTTGTAACTGCCAATGAATTAATGGGTCTATATAATGATCGTCAATAGCTGATAATGTCAGGGACAGACCTCACGACTCTCTGGTGAGAATATGCACAGTGCCAATGAAGTAGTGTTTCCAAAAACATCTAGCTTTAATCTGTTCAAGCCTTTAGATACACCTGCACATTTAGATGAAATATAAGAATCAGAGGAAAATATTAAATGCTATCATTACAAAAAAGTACAAGAAAAAAGAGAGGACAAACCTACATATCAGAAGAGACTTAAGAGATGTATCAGCCAATCAGAATGTATGAACCTTATTTGGGTTCCAGTTCAACTCAACAAATTGTAAAAATGTGAATATTCCTAAGACAATTGGGAAAATGGGGACACTAGATATTTGATGATTTTAACAAATACTTTCTTCCTAAAGCCAGGAATATGCATGAAAAGTAGATTCAGTCTCACCATTTCTATTTAACATTTCAGTGGAAATTCTTGCTCTGTGATAGAACAAGATAAGAGAATAAAAGACATTCCAATTGGAAAGAAAGAAGCAATATTGTCTATATATGTATTTGATGTGATCTTCTATGTAAAATCTACAAAAAAATCTATGGACTCTACAAAAAACTAAAACTAATAAGATTTAGCATGATTGCAGGGTTTGAGAGCAATATACAAAAATTAATTGTATTTTCATATGCTTGCAATGAACCAAGAGAAATTGAATTTTAAAATAGGATCATTTATAATAGCATCATAAATATGAAGTACTTGGCATACATCTCACAACAAATGTGCAAGACCTGTATACTTAAAACTATAAAATGATGACAGAAATTAAAGAAGACCCAAATAAATGAATATATATAGCATGTGCATAGATCAGAAGATTATATTATTGTATAGATGTCAGTTATCTCCACAATAATTTATAGATTCAAATTAATTCTAATAAAAATCCAAGCAGGACTTTTTTAAAAAAGAAATTGACAGGCTTATTTTAATATGTGTATGGAAATGCAAAGGGTGAAAATGGCCAAAACAAATTTGAAAGACAGGAATAAAATTGGGAGCCTTATACTGCCTGACTACAATAATCAAGGTAATGTAACATTAGCATCAAGACAGACAAATAGGTCAGTGGAACAAAAAGTAAATTTAAGAAAGATAGTACACATATGATTAATTAATTTTTAACAAAAGTACAAAAACAATTCAGTATAAAATGTCTAGTTTTTAACAAAAGGTGAAGTAACAATTCAATATCCATATGCAAAAATTTATTTTGACCCAGATTTCATGTAATGTACAAAAATTAACTCAAGTGGAATATAGAAATTCTGTATCTGGTAAAAACTTGGTATCCAGAGTATATTTTAAAACTCGGACAACTCAATAATGAGAAAATAAAAAACAATTTAAAAGAAAATGGGCAAATGATTTAACAGACAATCCTTCAAAGAAGAAATACAGATGGCAGTTAAGTTCATAAGAAGGTGATCAACATTGTTAGTCATTTGGGAATAATGCATGTGTTTGTTATATTGACTATGGAGATGATTTCTCAGATATATAGGCAATACTTAGGAGATTTATAGATTAAATGCTATTTTTGAAGAAAAAAAGTTGCTAATCAATGACCTTTATTTTCTGCCTTCAGAAGCTAGAAAAAAAGAGCAAATTATACTCAAAAATAAGTATTTGTGTTTCAACATAAATATCTATAGTTATCTATCTACTTAAAAATTGTATGCTTTAATCATGTGAAGCTTATTGTTTACCAATTATAACTGGATGGTATGGAAAAGGGAATAATTGTCACATACCGCAGCCTGTAACTTGTTTAGTAGTCACAAAAATCCTTTGAAGCCATTTGCTTTTCATTGTCATATTTTTATTTAAGAGAAAGTAGTTTTTTCTTTTTAACCTGTAGGGAAATATCTCAGCTTGTAGTCTAGTTTTATTCTATGAGCTGAATGGGTCCGAAGCAACTTCATTTACATTTTAATTAAATCACTGGTATTTCTTGAACACCTATAATTTATTATGAAGGAGATTCCCAAGACGTGTCAGACTTCTGTCTCTCTCTAAGCTTTAGTGTCTGAGCGAACAACATAATAAGCAAGTGCTTTGAAACAATGCAAAGCAGTGATGCTCAGGCCAAATGAGTGGTGGAAAACTAACATCTTTTTGAGCTTAGGAAAAGCAAGAATCTGGCCTTGGGCTGAAGCCTGAGGGAGAAGATGTGCCTTCAGTTATGCCTCACATACTGGGTAGAATCTGGTTGGCTGGAGAACATTCAGGTGAAAGGCAGGACGTTCATGGTAAGGGGATGTGGAGAATCTGGAATAGGCTAGTTGGCCGAAAAGAAGATTTCATGTTTGGGAATAATGCTTAAGCTGTCCAACTTAATGGATGCATTATGTTTTCCACACTATTGCCAACACAACACATACACATATATAGAGAGAGTGAGAGTGGGCTGCATGGGATGGCGGGGGTTAGTGGGAGAGAGAGAAAAATGCCATCTTCGTTTCAAGAAATTTAATCTGTTGATTAGTCATATTCTCACCAAACACATACTGTTAAAAGAAGTTACCACATTCATTTGCTCATCTACAAGTTCCTTCCAGTACTTTCTCGAAACCCAGTAACATGAAAAGAAACACATAAGTCAATTTTGCCCCAATTCAGTGCTGCCTCACCTTCAAAAAAAATAAAAATAAAAATACCATTCCCTATGGTGTGTTCCTCCTTTGTGCATAAGTTGAAAGATTCTAAGTTTTAGAAGAAACATAACATGTGTTTTTAACCTCTTTCACTTCACTTTCCATTCATGGCAACTAGTATAGCCTTTGCCAGGCCAGACAGTGCTGTTTTTCAAGTGGAGACAGTTAACCAGGCCATCAGCTTCTAAAGAAAATCAAGCTTGGATTTAAGTGTGCAGGGGCCACCTTGCCAGCAAGAGAAGTCAGACATAGAGTGAAAAGATCCATTTAGGGCAGTAGTATGTTTATTCTCAGGGGGTCTTCAGACTAATAAGCTGTCATGGAGTGACTTGTATGTAAGGTATAGATTGCCCAGAAGAAAGAATACAATCCAAAGTTGATTTGTTGCAGCTCTCTCTACTCTCCTTCCTTATCATCCTCTGTTCCTCCTGGGTTTTCAAGACCATGGGTTTGGGGAAAGATCACTTGCTGTTGGACATTTGTAAGACTATTTAGTAGCTTCCGTTGATCTTTGGATACAGTCTAAATGGAACACAAGCTCTTGCAGGGCTGTGCCCATGCCCTGAGTATCACCATTCTCTTGTGTCTCTGTCCCAGACTACATTTGGCTCCAGAAATGTTGGCCGTCTCTTTGTTCTTATTCTCCAGACAAGCTCCTTTCTGTCTCAAGCCTTTTGTATATGCTGTTCTGACTGTGTAGAATGCTCTCTCTCCCCTTCCTATCCCTGTTCTCTTGCCTGAATAACTCCTATTCATCTTTCAAGTCTCCATTTAAATCAATTTTCCTTGGGAAAATCTTTCCTGATTTCCAAAGGAGGTTTGGCATCTCTGTTACACTCTGTGAGGACACCCTGTACTCTTAATTCTTGGTATATTATCCAATATCATAATTAACTAAATGCCTGTCTCCCCGTTAGACCATCAGTTTCTTGAGAGACAAGGATCAAGTCTGTTTCATTCACAGTGATATGTCCAGCATCTAGCATAGAGCTTGGCTTATAGTAGACATTCAAATGCCTGTTAAATTAATGACTGAGTAAATAATTGAATGAATGAAACTTGAAATACATCTCAAGCAAAAACGTAAGTGGCTGCTTCATGTTCACTAAACTTTCAGAAGGTGCTGATAAAACATTGTTTTCTTAACCATGCTTTTAATTCTTCACTACTTAAAAGTGTCTTTCAGGCTTTTACAAAATAGTTTTAGTAGTCAGGGCCAGGGATAATATATAGTATTGCAAAGTTGAATAAGCAAATTAAGTTCTGGATCCTGGATTTTAGACCTTTCTAAGGGGAATTAAACCACTTTAGCTTCCTATTTCACAAGCACCTATTATGAACAGTAAGCATTGTTTCTGATTTGCTCTGATTCCAACTTCCTATGTGTGTCAGATGGAGAGACTGCGGTGCCATCTTGCCTTTGGGAAAAGTGCAGCTGCTCTAAACTACTCCTTTTTAGATCCATGCTTCCTCTCACCCCATGTCCTCTGGAGTAGCCACAGGCTGAGGCAGTTTCTCTGACAAGTCCAGAAGGAAGTCTAGAAAGAAGAAGCTATGCCAGGTGGTTATACAGTGCTTTGAGATCCTTTTCCTCTAGGGAACAAGTGGCTGCATCAATATTCAGAGATTTCAAGGTCAAAGAAAGCCAGCTTTGGGAATGGAAATGCCTGTCAGCCTTGCCTTGCTTTTTTTGCACTTTGAGACGTGATTTCTTCTCTTCATGAAGATGGTCTTCAAAGGTCATTTTGCCCGCGCTTCTCCTGGCTAAATCATTTATGAAGAAGCATATTGTTGTTTGCCATAGGAATCTAACTTCCAAATAACAGTTCTAGTCCCATAGACCTCAAGGGACAATTGATGTCATCACGTGTTTCTCTTCCACTTTTCTGCTCTTAAGATCCAACATTTTCCTATGAGCCCCTGCCATCCTATGCTCTCTGTTTTCCTTTGTGAGCGGCAAGGACACTTCCTCCAGTTTTCAGGGGCATCAATTATCTGTGCAGGATCCACCTTTCTCATGAGGAGCATGCACTTTTGGCTCTTTCCTGATCTCTTTGGAGTAGGTATGCATTGAGGATGCTCTGCAAGATGCCAAGCCCCTTTCAAACACTATCTGTGTGAGACACAGTATTGAACTATCTTAAGTGAGCCATCCATATACTATTTCATTTTTTACAATCATCTTAAAGGAATGGGTTTTTATTGCCCGAACAAATAATTTGTATGACGGTAGTGATGATGATAATTATATTTATTATTCATTGCTTGAGTGTATGCCATTATGGAAGACAATATCTTGTGCTTGACAGAGAAAAACAATTGATACATTCATTAATTAGGATCCTGCTTAACCTTCTGTTATAAAGGATGATAAATTGTTTTAGGCAGAATGTTGTGTTTTGATAGAAGCATAGTGGGACAATAAAAATATGACTGGATATTTGTGTTTATTTTTATTTTACATTTTTAAATTTGCTTTATGATTAGGTAATCTAGTAAGATAGTTCAAAAATGAAACAACATTGGGAAAACATATTGGAGGCTCACCATTATCCTGAATAATTCAGTTTTTTCACCCTTCCTGTCATGAGTAACCACATTTGTTAGTTTATTCTACACTCTTAGAGAGTCTCTTAATGCCTATGATTTTGTTTCCATTACATCCAGTGTGAATATTACAGGAGAGGCAGACTGAGCCCCGGCTTTCTAAACTAACCTTTATCATAGAAGCAGAAGACTTAACTTAAACTAATGAATGGTTATCCTTCCCAAGACATGTATAATGATAAGTGTTATGTGATATAATTTATTTGTTTCCTTCTCTTATTCTGAATGGAATTGGTATTTCATTCGTAGCTACAAAATAGATATCCATATGAATACACAAAGAGAAATACAGTGCCTTTTTAATTTTATTTATTTATTTGAAACGGAGTTTTGTTCTTGTTGCCCAGGCTAGAGTGCAATGGCATGATCTCGGTTCACTGCAACCTCTGGCTTCCTGGGTTCAAGCGATTCTTCTGCCTTAGCCTCCCAACTAGCTGGGATTAGAGGCATGTGCCACCATGCCCAGCGAATTTTGTATCTTTAGTAGAGACAGGGTTTCAACATGTTGGTCAGGCTGGTCTTGAACCCCTCACCTCAGGTGATCCACCTGCCTTGGCCTCCCAAAGTGCTGGGATTACAGGTGTGAGCCATTGCGCCTGGCCACCTTTTTAAATTGGCATATATTTTGTCACTTGAAGGCATAATGAAAGCCAATCAATGCAGTGACAGAATGATATGTTCTAAAGACATTCAACAAAGATGAAATAACTGACTAATAAGAGCCAGATCTGTGTGAATAAACATGAGTATGTATATTTTTGGCTTTAGATGAAATTTGATGTGGATGTTGTCATGTATATATGTGTGGGTGTGACAGGAAAGCAAATTACAGTAATATCCTTTCAAAAATGTTTCACTGGGAACCAAATGCATGTATATATATCAAGGTGTCTCTCCAGAAACTGAAACCATGGTTGTCAAGATAAAGTGTATGTATTCCCATAACTGTGTGTTATTCAATTTCACTATTCTTCAAGGCTCTGTCAGTTATTTTTATATTTTCTTTGAAATCAGTCTCTTCTCCTTCACTAATGCCCAAATATCTCTTCTATAAAAAAAAAGAATAAAAATCTTGCTTCTTACCTACTACCTCTTAGGTTACCATCTTCTCTCCCTTCTTGAGTTGCCTGCAAACTTCTCTAGAGGCCATTGACCCCCATCTGTGGAAGTCCCATTGATTCTTTGTTCCTTACAATGTGGCTTTTGTTCCTGTCACTCTGTAGAATTTGTATTCTAAGGAGTCATCTATAGTTCTACTGGCAGACCCAGGCACTTCCCTTGTCATTGTCAACTGGCTTCGTTTCCTTGTAGACACTTTCTGTCTCTGACATTGATAACTTCCATATATCCTACGGCTTCTTTGAGGTTTTTTCAGTGGATTTTCCTCTACCGTCTCTTTCCTAAATTTACCTATCCACAAAGGTCAATTTTGTGGCAAGTTTGAAGCAATTTTGTCCCACATTTCTCTCTCACCGTTATTTCTTCCTTGGTTATCTTATTTAATTAGCTGTCACCTCCATGGGACACAGCCCTAAAATCTACATTTGTGATCTCTGACCTCTCTCCAAAACTCCTATTATCTATCATCATGTAGATGTTCCTCTACACCTTTATGGTCAATTTATTGAAAATAAGCCCATCATCTTACATAACACGGAATCTCTTCCAGTATATTCTGGCTCATTAATATTTTTTAATATTTTGTTTTTAGAGATAGAGTCTCACTCTGTTGTTGAGGCTGGAGTGCAGTGGCACAGTCATAGCTCACTCCAACTCTTGGACTCAAGCATTCCTGCTGCCCCAGCCCCCCAAGTTGCTGAGACCACAGGCCTGCACCACCACGTCCAGCTAATTAATTTGTTTTTTTCATAGAGGCAGGGGTCTGCCTTTGGTGCCCAGGCTGGTCTCAAGCTCCTGACCTCAAGTGATTCCCTTGCATTGGCCTCCCAAAGCACTGGGATTTCAGGTTTGAGCTGCCACACCCGGTATATTTTCTGGTTTTATTTATGCAGCATTTTCCTTTCATGTAGGCTTGAAGTTGATTTACAGATGTTTCCTTCTCCTTTGTCCCTTCTTTGCATTAGTAACCTTGTTGAATCACTCATCGTCTCTTATCTGAATTATTGCTGTTTTCCCTCCCTGAAACACTTGCCTCTCCTTCCTGAATTACTGTAGGATTGACTGTTCTCTCAATACCAACCCTGTCATCATTCTAAACTATTTCTATCCAATTATTCCAGAGAAATCTTCTTAAACCTAGCCTCTTGAATCTTAATTTTTTTCTTAATGTTTCTCCAGTGTCTACCAAGTAAAGTCCAAGCTTCTTATCAGAGCTTTTGCTTTTATTCATTCATTCATTCATTGAGCAAACATTTGCTGAGCCCCTATTATTCGGTAGACATTACATGAGGCATTGGCTACAGATACATCATGTAGTTCAAGTTCTCGTAGGAGAAGGAGCAAAAGGAGCATTTCCAAGTTGGTAGGTAGTGTTGTGATGGAGGCATAGGATGCAGGATGAAGGATGCAAGCATACATGGCTCTCTTTCGGTAAGAAGTGGAGGCACCATCTACTGTAGGGGGAGATAGGATCTTGGCAACCACTTTAGATACACAGAGGGGGGCTGGAGAGAGTGGCGCCTTTGAGGACCACCATGAGAGACGCAGGATGCAGATGCAGGATGGACATATAAGGGGGGCCCTAACTCAGGGTCAGGGAGATTTCCTGCAGGAAATTACATCCACAGGGATAGGTAAATTCTATATGGACGGAAGGGGGAAAATGGGTTTCCAGGTAGAAGCAACAGGGTGGCTTTTGAAGGCTTGCTGGGATCTGGCCTTATTCTACTTTTTCAGCTGAATCTTTCATTGGGTCCTTGAAGTCACCCTACACCCCTCCCAAACCAGACAGCTCCAGGTGCTTTCCTGCCTCTGGGTGTTTGCTTCAGCCTTTCTGAATGCACTCTGTTATCTGCCTTTTCAGATCCTCCCCATCCTGTAAGACTCAGCTCAACTACATCTAACCATGAAGTGTTCTCATTTCTTAGGCTGGAAAAAAATATTTTCCTTCTCTGTGCTTTTGTAGCATTTTGTTTGTACATTTCTTATAGCATATATGCCTCATATTATATTATTGTCACATCAGTTTCCTATTTATTTATTTATTTATTTTGAGACAGACTCTCACTCTGTCACCCAGCCTGGAGTGCAATGGCGCGATCTTGGCTCACTGTAGCCTCCACCTCCCAGATACAAGCAATTCTCTTGCCTCAGCCTTCTGAGTAACTGGGACTACAGGCTTGCACCACCATGACTGGCTACATTTTGTATTTTTTGTAGAGATGGGATTTCACTGCCAGGGTAGTCTTGAACTCCTGGCCTTAAGTGATCCACCTGCCTCGGCCTCCCAAAGTTCTGGGATTACAGGTGTGAGCCACCACGCCGGGCCAGTTATCTATTCCTTTTTTTAAGCCTCTACAAGCCCCTTGAGGACAGGGGCCATCTTTTTTGTTTTGTTCACCTCTAGGTCTTAGACAGCATTGCGTATTACACCCCACTCCAGGGTGAGAACTTTAGGGTTTTTCAGGCATTGTAGCCACAAAATCTTCCAGGATTAGGGTGAAGTTGAAATCTTCAAAGAGCAGGGTGGGGCAACCTGAAAGCTGAGACTGGGTCTGATTGAGGAGCAGGGAAAGGATATAGTTGGGAGGTGAGTGTCGGGAATAGACTTTTTTTCAGGCAAACATTACATACCTCACTTAATCTGCACAACTGACTTTAGTGGGGAAGAATTGTTATCCTCATTTTATAGATGTGGTCAGGGAGATACAGAAACTTATGTATGGTCATACAAGCATTAAATGGGAGAGCCAACATTTCAGCTCATTGTCACTTCTAATGATTCCACACTCGGCTCTTTCTCTATGCCTTCCTCATCCTGAGGGTTGGGATGCCATGGAGGCTCTGAAAGGAACTAGGAAATACACGGCAGAAATTCAGAATACACCGAGGTCAGAAGGAGGAATGTAGAGCCTCACACCTCTCAGTGATGTCAGCAGCAGATGCAGAGAGGAGAGAGGAGTGTCTGGGGTTGAGGTCAGTACTTCTCTGCAGGAAATACGGTGAGGCAAGAGGGGACCAGGGCCCAATATTTAAAGAAGCACTTTCAGGAACAGGTGCATGCACTAGCACCCAGCCCAGCACAAACCTAGATGCATAGCAGATGCTCAATAAATGCTTTTCTAGTTAAACTGATTTGGCACCTGGACAGTGTTCCATATTGTCTCTGCTTGACTTCTGTAGATCATACATTTATCAAGTATGGGTGACACTTGCACTTGCAAATTAGCTAAGAAGTAAACTTTTTTAAAACTATATTGAGTCAAGTTATCATTTAATTAATACAATTAATATATGTCAATTATATAATATATATCAACATTATATATAATACCATGTATAATAGCTATAGTAATATAAAGGTGAATCAGCACTTTTTGACAGAGGATAGGTAGAAGAAATGGGCTGGTGCTGTGGGCATATTAGAGTCTCTTGGGAGACCCTTTCATGTTCAATGTGCTTGTCTTCTCTGTCCATCCATGCCAAGGTTATAAAATGCCCCTTTAAGCATACATGGCTCTCTTTGGTAAGAACTGGAGGTACCACGTACTGTAGAGGGTGATGGGAGCTTGGCAACAGCTTTAGATATACAGAGCTGGAACTGGAGAGGGTGCTGCCGTTCATGACCGCCATGGGAGAGAAAGCAGAAGATGATGAGGGAAGGGCTTTACACAAATCTATGGAGCTGAATCTTATAGGGCATGTAGGATTTCCTCAGCCAAGGCGAGAGTTTATGGAAGTACCATTAATAGAAGGCTCTATCCTTTGTCCAGTTGGTTGCCAATAATTAAATCCAGAATACTGTTATTCAAAAAAAGAATTTTTCTGGCTCTGCTATAGGCCAAGTTGTTTTCCAGCCTTCTATTATTATACCAGGTGGCTTATTACTGTTAATGTATTAATAATTATTACAATAAGAATGTTACCACTTCAGCAAATGAGCTAGGCTCTTTGCTAGGTAATTTAATTGCATTATCTCAAACCCTTGTAGTAATTGGATGAGGCAATTAGCATTATATCTCTTTAAATGGCTTACAATTCCCAGATCACTGGCAGCCATACACATTGTTCTCTCTATATTTTTGAACTTGGCTTGTTGACATTCTGCCCACCTGTTCATGTTCACTGTAGCCATAAACAGTGTCCAGGCTGGGTTGATAACATCCATCCTTGACATATGTGCTGTCCACAGAAGCCAGATGGAGACAACATGGAACATGGTCCATGTTGACCAGGTGCCAGATCACTTTAATTCATCAGGTATTTATGAAGCTCCTCATGGGTGAACTTCTAGATCTGTGCTCAGTTAAGTACTAGCAGAAACACAGAAATGAATGAGGCTCAGTGCTGAGCCTCTGGGGCTCACAAGATGGTAGGGTGGAGACACACAACTTAGCACAATGTAAGAAAGGTAGTGATAGATGCTAACAGGGAAATAATTTAAATGCACTGTGAGATATGCCTTAAATACTTTTAAAATCGTCATTCTCGAAGCCAATTAGAGACACCATATTTATAGAGTATTTGGCTGCTGTTTGTTTTGTGCCTTTGAAAACACATACATACTGCACATGTACCCTAAAACTTAAAGTATAATAAATAAATAAAAAATAAAATAAAATAGTGTCAATTCACAGTTAACTCTCAAGATTCACAAAAGCACAGTTCATTAGTTCTAAGATCATTCTATAGGCAAAATCACTTTTAGCAAATATTTCTTAAAACAGATCAAAGGGAGAACCAAATGCCATCCAGTAATGGCGTGCCTGACACAGAGTAGAGAATGTCAGTCTAGACAGTTAGTGGTCCCCGGAAGACTTGGAAAAAGTAAGTGGAATCAAAGCCACCAAGCCAAGTAGAAGGTTGTAGTGCTGTGTTTGGTCTGCCTTACTTTAAGATTCTTTTTGTTCCTGGCCTGGGTCCTAACTCTGTCCCAGCTGTGTGCTTTGACATCCCAGAAGGTCTTCATGCCCAGCCATGACTCCTCCACCCCCATTTCTCTCTATCACTGAGAAAACCCAGCCAGGATGACTCCACTTGTTCAAGAAGTTCAGAAATAGCATTTTGTTGATCTGTATTTATAAGCCAAATCACCCAGAAGGTCAAGGACTTGCAGTGCTTTGACCTCTGGTGTTCTCACCTACCCTCCATAGCAAGGCCAGGCAGCCTCCATGTCCTGCTTTAGCTGAGGCTCTTTGGAATGAGTGTAACTTTTCCTGAAGGAGTCTGTAGGCCAAGAAGCCAACAAAAGCACCCTCACTCGCTGGGACCCTGCAGACATTCCTAAGTCTATAGCCATCTCTTACTTAAAATTACAGTTCCTGGCCAGGTGCGGTGGCTCACGCCTATAATCTCAGCACTTTGGGAGGCCGAGGCAGGCAGATCACCTGAGGTCAGGAGTTCGAGACCAGCCTGGCCAACGTGGCGAAACCCCGTCTGCACTAAAAATACAAAATTAGCCAGGCATGGTGGCATGCACCTGTAATCCCAGCTACTCAGGAAGCTGAGGCAGGAGAATCACTTGAACCTAGGAGGCAGAGGTTGCAGTGAGCCGAGATCGTGCCACTGTACTCCAGCCTGGGTGACAGAGTAAGACTTTGTCTCAAAAAAAAAAAAAAAAAAAAAAAAAAAGCTAGTAACGTACTTGTTTGATTAAGCCACTACTGTTCCAGTTTTCTTTATCTTTTGCTGAATAGCAAAATTTCTTTGAACTTAGTGATGTAAAACAACAGCCATTTTATCATACCTAAAAATTCTGTGGGCCAAGAATTCAGACAGGCCTTGCTGGGCAATTCTCCTGTGTCTTATGGAGTCAACAGAGGACATTTAGACAGATAGGCTGATCTGGAGGGTTCAGGCAATAAGCAACAACCAAATATCCTTCAGAAACCATCATTTCTGTTTTTATATCTTTTGATATAAAGAATCCTTCCCAGTAGTGCTGCTCCAGGCATTACTTTATTGGTCAGAGTAGGATGGGTTTGGGCTGAGTCATCACTTCTCATCTGGTCTTCTTGTCACTGGAGTTCTTGTCAGTGCTGAGGGCAAAAACAATACGGATAATTTTAGAACTGGTTTTTATGGGTTTGTTGTTGGTGGTGGCAGTTTTCTTTTGAGACGGAGCCTCGCTCTGTTGCCCAGGCTGGAGTGCAGTGGCACGATCTTGGCTCACTGGCTCCTGAGTTCAAGTGAACTCCTGAGTTCAAGTTTCTCAGCCTCCCAAGTAGATGGGATTACAGGTGAGCACCACCATGCCTGGCTAATTAGAACTGCGCTGTATGTATGTTAAAGATAGTCTAGTTCAATGCTTTTCTATGGAGAACTAGTGATGTTCTGGAAGCATCTGAGAGACATCAAGGCAAACTCCCTCTTCTCCTCTTTCCCTCATATTCCAAGCAATAATTTTTTTTCTTATACTATTTCTAAATGTATGATTTCATTTGAAGAAAAGTTCTGCAAACTAAAATAATTTGAAAAATACTTACACCTATCTTCCCATTTTACAGATGAGAAAAGTGAGACCGAGTCAATTTAAATGATTTGTTCAAGACCACATGGTCAGTGAAGTAACTAGATGGGAATCTGTGTCTTCTTGGTTTTGGCATCTACTGTGTGGGCTCCCCTATCTGATTTTTATAACCTAAGAAGTAGGTCCTACATCTATTAGATGTGAAAAATGGGATCCAGAGAAGTTAGGTAAGTAGCCCAAACTCTTAGAGATAATAAATGGTGAAGCTGGATTTTGCAATGCCAGGCAGATGCATTATCTGTTATATCAGTGAGTTGTAAATTCTTTGTTAATCATACTCTTTGAGGATCTGATAAGTGCTATGAACCACTTTCCAGAAAAGTAAATTTTATGCCGAGTGTTAGATGTAATTTAATAGACATTCTATAAATCATCCATGAACAAAGACCTCCTAGGAAGGGGCTCGCAGGCCCTAGATTAGGACCAGTGTTGTGCTGGTAAATACAGTCTACTCTCCTTGTGTAATTCTGCCATGAATATTGGTTGATATTTTCATTTACTTTAACAAGTAAGATGAAACTGAAATCATGAAGATGAATGTCAGAATTTCACTTGTTTCTCAAATGACATGAGTGATATTTTTTGCCAAATCAGATAACAGTTTTTAAATATTGAAAGAACATTTCTCAATTCTTAAGATATTTACAAGGTAATGTCAGCATTCACAGATTGCTTTTACGTTTAATCTGCATTACTAACACTTCTCTGTCACATTCTTAAGTCTAGACAATCCACAAAACAATAAATCAAGCCCGGATTTGTAATGTTTGTTGATTTCTTTGGTGCTAATACTCCCATGATGGCGGATTTCCAGCCACCAACATGATGTTGTTGAATACAGAGTTGGGAAGAGATACACAGTAGCACACTCCTGTAGAGAATTTAGATGTAAAAACATAGATATAAATCATAATAATTAGGAATTGAGAAGTTCTGTGTATTTATTACTTTTGTTTTCAATACAATTTATTTAATTTTAAGTTAATATAATTTGATTTTTAGATGGCTATGTAGGGAAGTTCAAACTTTCCCTCCAAAGGTTCGAGTCTAAGTCTGTTGAAATGAATTGACAATAGACAAATTAACAGGAAAAAAAGGTATACAAATTCATTTAACATACATAAACACAGAAGCCACTCACAAAGTATGAGAGTTAAAGAAAGACCAAATGGTTGATGCTTAAATACACTCTTTATAGGGGAGAAGGAAGTAGGGGGCTGTAAGCAATTTTAGAAGGGTAGTAAATGATTTTAGGAGAGATTAATGAACCCAAGAGACAGAAATTAGATTGTAAATGATTCTGTTTATAAACCAAATGGGACCTGAGAAGTAGGTCCCATTTGTAGGTGGATATGGGAACTTCAGAGAATGGTGTCATCTTGTACTTTTGGAGAGACAGAGGATTGAGAGACAATTTTCTCTGGTCCCATTTAGTTTAGAGGGGGAGATCAGGGACCTTGAGATTGCTTCTTTAGTTCAGCATGTCAAAGTGCTATATTTTGGGGTATCATTTTCTGAGCCCCAAGAGTTGCATTTAACAATTGGCTTACAAGATTTCTTTCTTTTTTTTTTTTTTGAGATGGAGTCTCACTCTGTCACCCAGGCTGGAGTGCAGTGGTGCTATCTCGGCTCACTGCAAGCTCCACCTCCCGGGTTCATGCCATTCTCCTGCCTCAGCCTCCCGAGTAGAGTAGGTGGGACTACAGGCACCCACCACCACGCCCGACTAACTTTTTGAATTTTTTTAGTAGAGACGGGGTTTCACTGTGTTAGCCAGGATGGTCTCGATCTCCTGACCTCGTGATCCACCCGCCTCGGCCTCCCAAAGTGCTGAGATTAGAGGCGTGAGCCACCGCGCCCGGCCTGGCTTACAAGATTTCTAAAAATTTAACAACGGGCCTTTTCAAGCCTGGTATAAGCCAGCTCCAGCACACAACTGGTGAGGAGCCACCAGGCTGTCCCACCTTGCCTCCCTATGCACAATCCTCCTTGTGACCCGCTCAGCTTCCCCACGTATCAGAAGCCTTCTGCAATTCTCAAGCCAACTTTCTTCTGTTTCTTCACGAAGTTCATGTGATGGAAAAGAGGGGCAAGATTGCTGAGTCACCTTTTTCTACCTGTGATGCCAAGGGATGCCTTGATTCTGTCCTTTCCCTGCTTCCTTCTGGGTTGCACTCTCACTTTGATCATTATTTGCTCCACTGAGTTTTCAGCAAGTGTAACTCATGCTTCCTCCATAGCCCTGCTTCCCAGGGGGCGGATAGAGAATGCTGCCTCTGGGTATTTGAACTTGATATAATTCAGGGATATATTTTTAAAAGAATATGAAATACAAATGCAGAATGAGATACAGGGCTTTGGAAATGCCTGTGCCTAAAATTTCATTGGTTTCATGGCAAATCTGCCTCTGCAGCTCTCAGATTTTTCTGAAAATGGATGGATAGTTGGGAGAGGGGTGTGTGTGTGTGTGTGTGTGTGTGTGTGTGTGTGTGTGTGTGTGTGTGTATGTACACATGTACATTCATACCAGAATAAAGAGAAGTAGAAATGGGGCATGTGGGAACCAGGGTGCATTTTGGTAGGGCAGGGGCCAGGGTAATTTCACATTCATCTAGAATCCCCTGGTTAATTTACTGTATGGCCCTGAGCAAGTTATTTTACATCTGGAAGCCTCATTTTTCTCATCTATAAAGTGAAGGGAATGTACTGGGGCCTTGTTGATTTTAAATATGATTTTTTTCATTTTGAGACCCTCTGTCGCCCAGGCTGGAGTGCAGTGGCATGGTCTCCACTCACTGCAACCTCTGCCTCCCAGGCTCAAGCGATTCTCTCACCTCAGCCTCTTGAGTAGCTGGAACCACAGGTACATGCCACCACGCCTGGCTAATTTTTTGTACTTTTGGTAGAGATGGTGTTTCACCATGTTGCCCACGCTGATCTTGAGCTCCTGAGCTCAGGTGATCCACCTGCCTCAGCTTCCCAAAGGTGTAAGCCACTGCACCAGGCTGAAACATGATTTTTAGAGATTATTTATTTTAAATTGTTAAGGTTTCTGTGTGTGTCAGTGAGGGGGGATGTAAACATTTCAATATAAATATTTGTAGAATGAATGAGTGTAGAATCCACTTAAGCTGATCACAATCAAGGGAAGTACACAGGTAAGCAAACCCCTGCCTCCTATTTCACTTGTTACTGGAGAGACTGAGGGATATGGAGGGAGAATTTTGTAAGAATGATTGAGACTCATGTGCAATTTATATAATATTTAAATGCAAGGGATGCTCCCCCATTTGTCCTCTGGCAACGGCCCTCCTTGAGCTAAAGAGATTCCTCCACTAATACCTCAGCAGCAGCAGCCTAATTAAGATCCCTGATTTTTCTCCAGCAAAGGAGGTGCATCCTTCCAATGGTAATTCCCTAAACTTGTGTTCTGCCTCCCTTTACTAGGCCTTTCTCTCCAAGGTCAAATAAGCTTCCCCCCACCGCCCCCACTCTCTTTACTAAGTTAAAGAAGGGTTCACAGATTTCCCCACCTTATTTTCCTTGGCTGCTATGTCTCCCCGCCCTCCTGATCTTACTTTGACAAGTTTCTCTAAGGTCTTTCAATTGCTGTCAAATTGCCCAGCCTGCTCCTTCCTTACCTGGACCTGCACCCTCAGCCATGACCCCACTGGCTTCACCCACAGCCTGTCCCTGCTAAGGAGGCCCAAGAGTGAGTCTAGATTCCGCACGTCACCTCGGGCTCATTACTTAACTTTTCTGTGTCTTGATTTCCTAATTGTTCAAATAATGACTATAAGGGGCCTAATTCACAGGTGTGCTGTGAAGATTTTAAAAATTAATGTGCACAAGTTCATGCACATAAAGTTAATTTGCATAAAGTGCTCAGCACAACACCAGCAGACAGTAAACGCTCTGTACATATGAGATATTATTATACGATTCTGTGCAAACCCCAAAGGCAGGGTTTGCAGGCAATGTAATCACCTCTATTCCAACTGCACAGGTGACAAAATTTACAAAGGTTGAAATTTTAGGTAAAATCAATTATTTTGCATTGTATACAAACCCTATCTCTCTTCCAAAATATACATTGTTTGAATTTATATGTATTTTTATAACACTTTGTGATCACGCTCATCTTTGCTTCTCACTAAACATTAAATGTGATATAACCTAACTGAGGAAAGTAAGGATGAAATTTACTTGTTCTGAAGACTCTATCCACCTTACCTATCTGGAGACAGACTAGCTTATTTTAAGATGTAAAATTCATGCAACTGATTGTTTTCTGAAATAATCGGTAGAATTCAGTTGAATCCAGTCAACTACAAACATGTATTTTACAAAGCAATTATTATTATATTTTTAAACAAAGCATCCTTTGGGCTGATTTTGAACTTCAGCAAAAGGCTTGTGTGCCATTCTACAAATTGTCTTTTTCAGAAGAGTGGATGCTAAAGGGCCTACATGGGTCTGTTAGCTCCGCTCTGATTTTCAATAAAGACCAGCGATAATGATAGTGACAAGAATGATAATAGCCACCAGATACTGAGCACTTAGCATGCTAAGAATTTTACCAGGAAATTCCTATTTAATTCTGACAACTGCCCTGAATATTAGATATTATTAGCTTTATTTTATGAAGGCAGAACTAGGGCACAGGGAATTACTTAATTAGGAAGTAGCAGAGCCAGGACCTGCTACTGTACCTGTTTGTCCCCAAGTCTGAGTTGTTAATGACTGTACCATAAAGCCCTCTCAAACTCATGCTTTAAGGGAAAGAAAGACCACCGTATAGTGCTTTATGCTATTAATTTTCACTCACATTATGATTTTCTTAGGAGTAGGAACTCAGTAAGGATTAATGTGGAGTATGGTAGGGAAAGTACCAAACCAAGAAGCAGGAGATCTCAGATATGTGCACTTGGGCAAGTCACCTGATCTCTTCAGATGATAGTATTCTGTCTATAACATGAGCAGTGTTAAAGAAGAATATTCCTGACACTGGTTAAAATGGTAAGGCACACTTTATTCAGGACCATCACCATTGGTATAAGGTGTACTAAATGGAGTTTTGCAGTAATCAGGAGAAATTGGGCTCAACTTCAAAAACAACAAGAACAATTGGGAATTTATAGCCAATTTTTAGCAGCAGAAGGAAAATTACTAAGAGGAAACATCAGAGTTGGAGGAGATTCTGGCTAAATCCAACTAATAGGATTCTTATTGAAGGCAGGCCAGGCGAATCGGATGTCACCTGAGGGATGGTGGAGGATGAGGAACTCAATCACATATCAAAGGTGACATATCGAGGGTCCTGCCTAAACTAACTTAGCAGAATTCTTGCTAAAGTCGGACTCTTGAGAACACATCCAAGGACATGGAATGAATGAAAAAGAGCTCAGAGGAGCCTGTCTAGAGTTTGGTCAAAGAGAGAATCTTTGTCAGGAGGTCAGTGACTCTAAGATGCACACCAGCCTTACCATTCACTTCTCACATGTGTCAGGCATGTTGGTGTGAGAAGATTATGTAAGGGAGTGGTGTTGAGGTGTCTCAGATTTTGTGTCCACTGTGTGGAATGTATCATAATTTGTTTATCCATTCATCAGGTAACAGGCCATCTTCATTTTTTCCAGTTTTAGCAATTTTAAGTAAAGCTACTGTAGTAGTCAGAATAATACCTGCTCCATCCCATTTTTGTTGTTTTTTGTTTTTGAGAGTTTTTTGTTTTGTTTTGTTTCTGTTTTTGTTTCTGTTGGTCAGGCTTTAATGCAATGGCGCGATTTCAGCACACTGCAACCTCCGCTTCCCGGGCTTAAGCAATTCTCCTGCCTCAGCTTCCCAAGTAGCCAGGATTACAGGTGCCCACCACCAGGCCCGGCTAATTTTTGTATTTTCGTAGAGACTGGATTTCATCATGTTGGTCAGGCTGGTCTCGAACTCCCAACCTCAGGTGCTTCCTCCTGCCTCGGCCTCCCAAAGTGCTGGGATTACAGGTGTGAGCCACCACGCCTGGCTCTACCCCTTTGTCTTCTACACACAATGCATCTGAATCATAATCTCCAGAAACTGTGAATATGTTAATGTCAAAAGGGATGTTGTGGGTATGATTAAATTAAAAATTTTGAGATAAAGAAATTATCTTGGTTTATCCAGGTTGGCCCAGTATAATCACAAAGGTTCTTATAAGGGAAGCAGGGAGGTAGGAGAAGCAGAGCCGTGTGTGTGTGTGTGTGTGTGTGTGTGTGTGTGTGTGTGTGTGTGTCTGAGAGACAGACAGATTTGAAGATGCTACATGGCTGGCTTTGAAAATGAAGGAGGCTACAATCCAGGAATGAAGTCAGAATCAGCAAGAAAGTGAATTCTCCCCTAGAGCCTCCAGAATAGACAAAACCCAACATACTTTGATTTAGCCTAAGAGTTATTTTGAACTTGTAACCTCAGAATTGTAAGATAATACATTTGTCTTGCTTTAAACCACGAAGGTTGTGGTAATTTGTCACAGTAGTAATAGGAAGCTAATACAGCTGCTCTAAATATTTACTGTAGGTTTTGCGTCGATATTTTGCATTTCTCTTGGGTAAAATTCCTAAGAGTGAAAATCTGGGTCCTAGATACATGTAAGTTTAACTTTACTAGAATCTGCAGAACTGTTTTACAAAGTGGCTGTACCATCTGGCATCCCCACCAACGATGTCTGGGAGTTCTAGTTGCTCTAAATCTTTGCTAACAATAAAGTTGGTCTTTTTATTTTAACCTATATAATATTACAAATTATGTTGAGCATCTTTTCATATGTTTCTTTCCCAACAACATTTTTTCTTTGGTGAATTGTCAAAATATTTGTTCATTTTTAAACAGTTTCCCATCCCCACTACCATCACCTGCCTTCAGCAACCACTAATCTATTTTCTGTTTCTGTCGGTTTCTCTATTCTGGACTTCCATACAAATGGAATGATAATATGTAGTCTTTGGTGGCTGGTTTCCTTCCCTTAGCATAATATTTTCTAGGTCTATGTGGGATGTGGTAAGTAATAGCATGTATCAGTACTTGGTTACTTTTAATGGCTGAATAGTGTTCCGTGGCATGATTATGTCCCATTTTGTTTATTCATTCGTAGGTTGATGAATATTTGGGTTGTTTCACCTTTTGTGCCTTATAAATAAATGTGCTATAAATGTCTATGTACACATTTTTTGTGGAAATATGTTTTAATTTCTTCTAGTTATGTACCCATAGTGGAATTACTGGGTCTTATGGTAACTGTATATTTAATTGTTTGACCAACTGTCAGACTTCTTTGAAAGCGGCTGAAGCATTTTACTTTTCTGTCAGCAATGTTTGAGGATTCTGATATATACTTAGAAACACTTATAATTATCTGACTTTATTATTGTAGTCATTCTAGTGACTGTGAAGTGTTATTTTCTTGTGGTTTTGATTTACATTTCTCTGATGACTAATAACATCAACTATCTCTTCATATGTTGGCCATTTATACATCTTCTTTGAAGAAATGTATATTCAGATCTTTTGCCCATTTTTAAGTTGGGTTATTTGTCTTTTTATTATTGACTTGTAAGAATGAAGTTGAGCCTTACCTTACATTATATGTAAAAATTAGCTAATAGATAAATTGAACTTCATTCAGTACAATTGGGTTGTCTTTCCCCTTTCTTAATGGCATCTTTGAGCACAAAAGTTTTTAATTTTTATGAAATACAATTTATCTACTTTTTTCTTTCATTTCTGTGCTTTGAAAAAGTTTATGTCTTGGAATCCTTTGCTAAATCCAAAGGTGTATCAATTTACCCTTAAGTTTTCTGCTGATAATTTTATAGTTTTAGTACTTTGAGTTAATTTTTGGATATGTAAGGAAAGGTAAGGAAAGGTTCCACTTTGATTCTTTTGCACGTAGGAAAGTTTCCAACTTCATTCTTTTGCGTGTAGCTATTCAACTGTCTCAGCTCCATGAGTTGAAAAACGATTCTTCCCCTCCTACCCTCACCTCCGCTGCCACCGAATGGTTTTGTAACCCTCATTGAATCAGTTGACCATAGGTGTATTAGTTCATTTGTGGACTTTTAACTCTATTCCATTAATCTATACATTTTTATCCTCATCTCAACACGACACTTTCTGGATTACCATTGCCTTGTAGTAAATTTTGAAATCAGGAGATGTGAGCCCTCCTACTTTGTTCCTCTTTTCCAAGACTGTTTTGGTTATCCTGGGACCCTTGCATATGAATTTTAGGATCAGCTTGTCAGTATCTACAAAGAAGACACCAGGATTCTGATAGGGATTGCACTGTACGTCAATCTGAGGAGTACTGCTATCTAAACACTGTTAAGTTTTCTAATCCATAAATATGAGATGCTATTCTGTTTATTCACAGCTTCTTTAATATCTTTCAACAACATTTTGTAGTTTTCAATGTATAACTTTTGCATTTATTTTGTTAAATTTATTATTAACTATTTTATTGTTTTGATGTGATTGCAAATATTTGTTTGATTTTATTTTCAGATTGTCTATTACAGATTATTCTTTGTGTAGAAATATAACCAGTTTTGTGCTTTGATTTTAATGCATCTTCAAGCACAAAAGTCTTTAATTTTGATGAAATCCAGTTTAGCTAATTTTTAAAATAATTACTAATCTCTTTACTTGTTTCAGGTCTATTCAGATTGTCTATTTCTTCCTGAGTAAGTTTCAGTAGTTTGTGTCTTTCTAGGAATTTGTCCATCTCATCTAAGTTATCTAAATTGTTGATATACAATTATCATCATATTCTTTGTAATTCCTTTTATTTCTGTAGCATTGGTAGTAATGTCCCCTCTTTCATTTCTGGTTCTAATAATCTGAGTCTTTTTTTTTTTTTTTTCTTGGTCGGTCTAACTAATGCTTTGTCAGTTATGTTGATCTTTTAAAAAAACAGCTTTTGGTTTCATCGATTTTCTCTATTGTTTTTCTATTCTCTGTTTCATTAATTGCTGCTGTAATTTTTTATTATTTCTGTCCTTTTGCTAGCTATAGATTTAGTGTGCTCTTCTTTTTCCAGAGTCTTGTGTGTGTGTGTGTGTGTGTGTGTGTGTTTCTTTGGCAGTGGCTTTTCTTTTTTTTTTTTTTATTTTATTAACCTAAAATATTGTTACTAATTTGAGATCTTTCTTCTTACTTAATATAGGAATTTACAACTAGGAATTTTCCTTGAAGAATTGCTTTAGCTGCATCTCATAAATTTGAGTATGTTGTGTCTTCATTTTCATTCATCTCAAATTATTTTCTGATTTCCCTTTTGATTTCTTCTTTGATCCATTGGTTATTTAGGAATATGCTGTTTAATTTCTTCATATTTATGAGTTTCCCTAATTTTTTGCTGCTATTGATTTTTAATTGTATTCCATTGTGGTTGGAGAACATATTTTATATTATTTCTATCCTTTAAATTTATGAAGCATTTTATAGTCTAGCATATGACCTACCCTGGACAATGGTCCATGTGAACTCGAGAAAATTGTGTATTGTGTTGTTACTGGGTGAAGTGTACTATAGATATCTGTTAGATATACTTGGTTTATTCTTCACGGCTTCTGTTACCTTGTTGCTGTCTTGTCTAGTTTTTCCATACATTGTTCAAAATGCGATATTGAGATCTCTTACAATTATTGTTGAATTGTTTTCATTTCTGTCCATTTTTGCTTCATGTATTTGGTGCTTTGTTATTAGTTGCATATAAATTTATAATTATTATATTTTCGTGGCAGATTGACAATCTTATTAGAAAATGTTTCTCTTTGTCTCCAGTAACATTTTCTTTTGCTTTAAAGTCTATTTTGTCTGATATTAGAATAATACATCAGCTTTCTTGTGGTATTTGTTTGCATGATATGTGTTTTTCTATTATTTGCAATCTATTTGTATGCTTACTTGTCCATTTTAATTTTAGTTTAAATTTTGAAATCTTTTAAGGATTGGGTTGTTTAATATTGAGTTTTAAGGGTTCTTTAATAGTTTTGAATATAAGACCTTGATCAGATTTTTTTTTTTTTTTGCAAATATTTTACTCAGTCTGACTTGACCTTTTATCTTCTTAACACTATCTTTGGAAGAGCAAATGTTTTAAATTTTGATTAAGTCTTTGTTATCAGTATTTTCTTTTATGGTTTGTGCCTTTGATATCTCAAGAAGGCTATGATTAACCCAATGTCACAAAGATTTTCTTCTGTTTTCTTTTAGAGGTTTTATAGTTTTAGGTTTTATATTTAGGCTCAGCTCTAGTAATTTTGTATATATGGTGCAAGCTATAAATAGAGGTGGTTGGGTTTTGTTGTTGTTTTTGTTTGTTTTTACATAGAGATATCCAGTTATTCTAGCACCATTTGTTGAAAAGGCTATCAATTGTTCATTACATCCCATGGGCAACTTTGTAGATCATTTTTATTTATTTCATCAGATTGTTTACATAGATGATCATGTATGGAAACAAAGACAGTTATACCTCTTCCTTTCCAATATGGATGCCTTTTATTTTTTTATCTTGTCTTGTTGCACCGAATGGAACCTCCAGTATAGTATTGAATAGGTCTGGTAAGGCAACTATCTTAGCTTTTTTCCTGATCTTAGGAAAATAATTTAATCTTTTACCATTAAATATAGTTTTATATGTAGGTTTTTTGTGGATGGCCTTCATCAGGTTGAGGACATATCCTTCTATTCCTAATTTTCTGAGAGTTTTTTTTATCATGAATAAATATCAAATTTTGACAAATCCATCTTTATCTTCATTTTTTATGGTTGCAAAATAATCATAACTGACATATATGTGTTGTTCACTAATTTGCTATTACAAGCAAAATTGTAATGACTGAGACTATGGTAATATCCTTTTGCAGATGTGTATCTTCAAGGTAAATTCCCAAGAGCAGAACCATTAGAAAAGGATATGTATTTATAATTTTGAAAGGTATTACCAATTGTCTTCTACAAGGATTGCACCAATATACATTACTATCTGCAATGTAAGACTTATTTTCCTTTAGAGTTGCAAACAAGGTGTATTTTTAAACTTTGAGATTTTCTGAATCTAAATTGGTAAAAAGTGGCATTTTCATGTATTATTAAATTCTATCTCTTATTATGCATGACAATGACTACCTTTCATATGTTTAAGGACCACTTTATGTTTAGATTTGTGTTCCATCTTTTGCTCTTTTTTCCTTTGTGTGTGTGTGTGTGTGTGTGTGTGTGATTTTATTGATTTTTAGAAACTCACAATTACTATTTTTTGAGACAGAGTTTTTGCTCCTGTTGCGTAGGCTGGAGTGCAATGGCGTGATCTTGACTCACCACAACCTCCGCCTCCTGGGTTCAAGGGATTCTCTTCCCTCAGCCTCCCGAGTAGCTAGGATTACAGGCATTCACCACCACGCCCAGCTAATTTTGTATTTTTAGTAGAGATGGGGTTTCTTCACATTGGTCAGGCTGGTCTCGAACTCTCGACTTCAGGTGATCTGCCCGCCTCGGCCTCCCAAAGTGCTGGGATTACAGGCGTGAGCTACCGCGTTCAGCCAAAACTTACTTTTTACTTTTTATATATCAATTTTGGGGGGATCAATTTGTTATCTTTTGACTTTGCTTATATTTCAGCTTATCTTAAATGGGTTACATTTTCTTCCATTAATTTTTCTGCTGAGCTTTTAGGCATGTGACTTAGGAGAAAATGTGAGAAACACTATAGTTACGTCAATTATTTTGACAAATCACTTTTTGGAAAGATATTCACACGTGGTGAGCCTTCTAAAAATGGTGTGCTGATTTCTGTTACTTTTTTTCATAGAAATTATACAATATAACTTGAGCATTTCTTCTTTTACTGGTGTGAATAAAATGTACCACCCTCACTTCCTCACACCCTACATCCTACCCTTTAATGAACCAGTAAACATCAAGGAGCAGCGTGATGCTGTTTGTTGTACATGAAGTTAAAATGTGCCCTTGGACTTGAGGTCACCTTGAAATAATGAGTGACCTGGTCTCAGAAGGCTCCATACCTCTGAAGGGACACTTATCATTGTCATCTTAGTCAAATCACATGTGGCGGCAGAGGAATCTTACGGCCTCATTTAACAACCCAGGCTCACCTCTGACCTGGGGACATCTAAAAGCCTAATTTTCTAGCCCTTACATCGTTATCAAAATGCTGAGTTCACAGTGTTACTCAGGCACATCAACGAGCTCTTTATTTAACTAGCACTGTCATTGCCCTCAATGTGTGACACAAACTCACATGATTTTGGCCCATACAATGGAAAAATAAGGTTGGTTTTTACTTTAAAATCAATATTAAGTTATTAAAATGATAGCATATCAAGACATGAGTATCTTCCTACCTTCTTTCTAACTTCTGTTTTCTGTTGCTTTTTTTAAAAAAACCTGACTCAAAATCACCCGCTCTTTCCTAATGATCTATTTTGGTCAATATCTCAGTTCCTTTTTGTCTCCTGGTTGTTTTCTCCTTCTTAGGACATATAGGAAAATCTCTTTCTAGAACAAATTGTGTTCCTTTTCGTTACATCCTTGAGAAACTCAGTTTAATGAATCAAAGAAGGTATTTTTAGAGCATCCTACATGTTCTGTTCCCAGGAAGAATGAGTGTACTGGTCAATTTTGATTACACCCTCTGCTTGTAGAAACCTACAGAAGTGGAGACATGGAGAGAAAAATGAGAAGTTTCATTCATTTATGCTGCTTGTTGGAGTTTAAAAGTACTTATTCATGACAGTCTTTATTCATTTATGTATGCATTTGTTCAACAAATTATTAAATACACTTATTTTTATACTTTGAATTTTTAAAAGAAAAGTAGATGGATAATATAATCGTTATTGCCAAAGGAACTGAGAAGGCAAGACAAACAGTGATGCAAATCAATTTCTGGGCAACAGAATGCTGGGGGAAATGTAGGGCCAAAATAATATTGCAACAGCATTTTTCTAGCTTCTTCGTCCCCCTTCTTTATATCCAGGTATCTTCAGCATCTTTAAATCATTCATAACAAACTTGGGTGAGAAACAGAGCAGTGAGTAAAGTCAGGGTTAGCATGTACAGTATAGTGCCTGTGCATGAATTACCAAAATTTGCCCACTCTGGGCAGATGAATTACAAAAAGACAAGTGTATGAAGACCTTTGTCACTCCTAGCTTTTTTTTTTTTTTTTTTTTTTTTTTTTTTTTGAGACGGAGTTTCGCTCTGTCGCCCAGGCTGGAGTGCAGTGGCGCGATCTCGACTCACTGCAAGCTCCGCCTCCCGGGTTCACGCCATTCTCCTGCCTCAGCCTCCCGTGTAGCTGGGACTACAGGCGCGCGCCACCATGCCCGGCTAATTTTTGTATTTTTAGTAGAGACGGGGTTTCACCGTGTTAGCCAGGATGGTCTCGATCTCCTGACCTCGTGATCCGCCCGTCTCGGCCTCCCAAAGTGCTGGGATTACAGGCGTGAGCCACCGCGCCCGGCCCACTCCTAGCTTTTCTATATACTCCCATAAGTCTGCTCAAATATGCCACAGGCTGCATGACACTAGCACCTTGCAAAATTGCCCGCACATCGTAGGTACTTGATAAAAATTTGCATTGACCTTACATTTTCCTTCCTTTTTCCATCCGGCTGTTACTAATATCACTTGTCACAACCCACCACAAACGAGTTGCCGAAGCACAGGGGGTGTCAAGGTTCCCTGACCTGTGGAGTCCGCACTGAAGTCAGTGCAGCTCACAAAAGCCACCATAGACCCCAGCACATTAGAAGCTTGCTGGGAAAATGTTGGACCACCATGCCCCACACCATGGATGCCAAATCTAGCAATTCACAGATTATCATAGTTGCTTCTCCCTAAACCTCAGGCAACTCCCATAGGCTGGGCTGCCAGACAATAGAAACAGACACATGGTGGAAGTCAAAGTTGCCTCTCCTCTCTGTCTTGGGCCTCCATCCTTGAGTCACTTTTATGTGTTTTGCTTCTCTTTTCTCTTGGGAAAAATTTTTTCTGCCAATGTATTTCTGGTGCACCATCTCCAAGTGCCCCAGATATGTTCAAACAGGCTTAAAACTCAAAGGGGGGAAAAATCAACAACTCCAACTTTGAAGTCACACATTGGTTTAAAAGCCAACTCACCCACTTACTAGCTTTGATTTCTAAATTAATTCATTTCCCTGCATCTCGTTATATTCATCAATAAAGAGAAGATAAAAATACCTATTTCAGGAGGCTATTGTGAGAATGAAACAAATGTTAACCAAGCACTTCACACAGTGCCTGGCACATAGTTGATGCAGAAAAACTGGTAGTAATTATTTTTAGTAACACAACATCGGAGCAAGTACATGCAACACTTGTGCTGACAGGTAGATCGTAGTGGTAACATAGCAATGGAAGAAAAAAAGATTTCAGAAGGGAGCTCAGAAGAGTGAAAGTAGTCATTAAAGGTACTTAGAAAATAGGGTGGTCATTATAGGCAGAGAGGGACATTTGAGCAAAAATATAGAGACTACAGAAAAAAACTTTGTTTAGGGAAAGAGTAAGAGGCCAGGTTGTCCGGCGAAGAGCTTTATGTTAAATGCATGAAGAATAACTGGGATTAGTTGGAGAAGTCTGGGGAGTACAGTGATTTATTGTCTTTACCGACCTACTCTCCTTAACTTGCAACTTGGACCATTTGATCACCATTAAGGGACTTTAGGAATCCAAATTTTGGCCTAGCACAGCATGACTCAGGAAATGGTGTTGGGATTGCATCCTCAGGCTATCCCATTGTGGTGATGTGAGCTTGGACTTTGCACATAACCTCTCCCCATTTGTAATGGGGCAATGGTGCCAACCTCATAGAATTATTATGAGGATTAGAAAAGATGTATTTGAGGGCCTGGATCACATAGTCTTTGGATCTAAGGTGCAGATCTTGTGCCAATTCTTAGCGTCTCATCCATGATGTGATTTCTGCTGCCACACCAGTGCCATCTGGAAACATAAAGATTAAGGGAAATATCATCATCCTCAGCTTATGCTGCCAAATTTTATAAATCTTATTATTGATTCTTATCTCCTTTAGAGCTTTCTCCAGTTGTGTGCTAAGAAGGAATTTCATTTTGATTATGAAACCTTTGTGTTTCACATTTGGCTGAGGAGGCATTGTCTTTGACTTAGCAATCTCTTGATTAAAAGACCCTGGAGTTGTTGGAGCCCTGTCAGCGGAATGGGTGGAGTCGGAGAAGTGCCTTCATTCCAGATACCTTCTCTTAATCTCATGTCAGCAGATTTCCATTGTAGGTCCAGAGCCTGTTACAAGAGGATGAAGGATCTGAGCCCTGATAAAGGAATGAGGTCCCTATGCTGGAACTCTAGCACAGGCTTTCTGAGTGAAGTCTGTTCAAAGCCCACATTTCCTGAAAAATCAGTCATCATGAGGAACTGATCTGTGAGGACCAGAGAACAGAGTTGCCAATGTAATTCGATGGAGAGAGGATATTTTTTTCAACAAATTGCTGGAATAATTTGACTATGTAAAAAAGAAATTATTGCCACAACTACCACAACAAAAACAAAAAACACCTCTAACCACAGATAGTACCATATACAAAAATTAGCTAGAAATGGGCTAAATGTAAAACAGGGTGAATAACAACAGTATGCGTACAAACACACACATGCATATGCAAACAATAATTTATAGTTTTTTTGTTGTTAGGCAGGATGAAAAATACAGAGAGTTGAAGTACTGGGTAGAGGAATGGGATGCTACGATCTACTCTAGAAAGTTCACCTGATTCATTATTAATAGACTAATGAGAAGCAAGAGCAGTAGCAGAGAAACCAGGAGAGACTATTGAAATAATCCAGTGAAACCTGATGGCATAACATTAAAAATGGTAAAATGCAGTCAGATTCTGGATATATTTTTAAGTGAAGCTGATAGAATTTTTTTTTTTTTTTTTTTTTGAGACAGGGTCTTTCTCTGTCACCCAGGCTAGAGTGCTTTTTCGCTAATAAAAGCTCGCTGCAGCCTCAACCTCCTGGGCTCAAGCTATGCTCAAACCTCAGTCTCCTGAAAATACAAGTATGCATCACTATGCCCAGCTAAGTGTTTTTTTTTTTTTTTTTTTTTTTAGTAGAGATGGCGTCTTGCCATGTTGCCTGGGCTGGTCTCAAATTCCTGGGCTCAAGTGACCCTCCTGCCCAGGCCTCCCAAAGTGCTGGGATTACAGGCATGAGCCATGACACCAAGCCAGTTTTTTTGACTGATTGATTATGTATTGCGGAAGAAAGAACTCAAGTATGGATTCCAAGATTTCCTCCTGAGCAACTGGAAGGAAGAAATTCTTTTAACTGGGAGGAGAAAACTGGTGGATAACAATGTTTTATAACATGATAGGTTCCCAAAACCTATTAGAAAGCCAAGTGGAGATATTTGATAGACAAGTGGATATATTAAAAAGTCTGAAATTTAGAAGCGAGGTACAAGATGGAGATGTAAATTTTGGATTCATCAGCAGCTGTGTGGTGTTTAAAGCCAACTGAGTATCACCTTGTGAATAGATATAAATGAAGTTGAGACACTGAAGATTCAGCACTGGAGCACTCAACACGTTAAGGGTTAGGAAGATGAGCAGGAATCAACAAAGAGTGAGAAGGAATAGCTAATGGGAGAAAGAGGGTAGCAAACAGTGGAGTCCTAAGAGACCAGTGAAAAATCGTTTCAAGGGAAAAGCAACCTGGCTCAAATTACACAGGGAAGTCAAGTAAGAAGACAAAGGAGAATCGACCATTGGGTTTACTGCCATGGTATTCATCAGTAAGCTTAGAAACAATAAGTCTGGTAGATTGAAAGTGGCTTGATCAGACTTTGTTCGAGGATTGCGAGGGGAAGTAGAAACCATTAGTAGAGATTAAGCAATTGCTATAAAGAGGAGCATAAGGCCGGGTGTGGTGGCTCACACCTATAATCGCAGCACTTTGGGAAGCCAAGATGGATGGATCACTTGAGGTCAGGAGTTCGAGCCCGGCCTGGCCAACATGGCAAAACCCCATCTCTACTTAAAATACGAAAAAAATTAGCCGGGTGTGGTGGCAACATGCCTGCAATCCCACCTTCTCAGGAGGCTGAGGCAGGAGAATTGCTTGAATCAGGGAGGTAGAGGTTGCAGTGAGCTGAGATCGTGCTACTGCACTCCAGCCTGGGCAAAAGAGTAAGACTCTATCACAAAAAAAAAAAAAGGAAGGTGGAGATGGAAGTGGGTTCAAGCAAGTTTTAATTTGTTTTTAAGTGGGAAGTATACATTTTTGTTTGCTGTTAGAATGATCCAGTAGGAGGTGAAAACTGAGGAGCAGGAGAGAACAGGAACAACTCCAGAGCAATGTCTTTGAGTAGGAGAAAAGGACTTCCTTCTCCTTCAAGATCTTTTTATGCAAGAATTGGTCAGAGGTAGAAAGAGGGAAAACGTCTCTTATATCAGAAGGGAAAACAGAGTGTATGGACACAGGAGCAGGGAGATGGATAGATTTAAGAGTGAAGCACATAGAGCTTTATGATTGCCCCTGTATTCTCAGTAAATAAGGCAATCAGGTGAGTGTAGAGAGAGGTGAGAAGTTATTAGAGGTCTGAGATTAAATCATCATCTTGGAGAGTGAGGCCTGTTTGGACCAGGGAAATGTAGGAGGACTGCTGGGCAGCTGTAAGGGAGCCATGGAGTGAGGCGGTAAAGTGAGGGGCAGCAGGGCTGTGTGTGCATGGGTGTGTTACCTATCACATTCTGCTGCTCAGATGCAGTTATGGAGTTGAGTGGCAATTTGGATATATTCAGGGTTTATGTTTTGCCCTGAAGAGCTCAGTTGAGGGTGAGAGAAGCACAGCTCTTTAGAGTTTTGGCACTGGAGTAATAATAACCTTGGGCCTTGAAATCTAAGCTGAGTACGGATCAAAGTGAGGCTAAGAAAGGAAATGAGGGATGAATAGATCAATGTATTGGAGGTCCTGGGGCAGTTGAGGAGCTGTTGAACTGAGAGCACTAGACTGATTAAAGTAAAAAGATAGCATGTGGTAGTCAAAGAAGGGAGAAGTTGAAATTGAGTTTATGAGTTATTAGTAATGGCATGATATAGTATAGCACGTGACTGAATGTTTCTATGTAAAGGTAGATTTAGAAGACAAGGCCATGGGAGAGAGGAGGTAAAGGCAGTGAGAAGCCAGAATACTGGATGCATCATCCAGATGTTTCAACTATCTATCGTTGCAAAGCAAACTCCTAAAAACTTAGGGAGGGGGGAGGGATAGCATTTGGAGATATACCTAATGTTAAATGACGAGTTACTGGGTGCAGCACACCAACATGGCCCAGGTATACATATGTAACTAACCTGCACGTTGTGCACGTGTATGCTAAAACTTAAAGTTTAATAATAAAAACAACAACAACAACAACAACAACAAGTTATTAGTATCTCTCATAGTACTGTGAGTTGGCTGGGCTTGGCTGGGCAGAGCGTCTCTCATGTGGTTGCATCCAGATGCCAGCTCGAGCTGCAGTCTTCTGAACACTCAACTGGCCGGAGGTCCAAGATGCCTCACTCACATGGCTGACAGTCGAGACTGGTTGTTGGCTGGGAGCTGAGAGAACCACCATATGCTCTTTTCATGTGGCTTCAACTTCCCGCATCATGAATGCTGAGTTCCAAAGGGAAGTTTCCCAAGAGTGAGTGCCCCAAGGAACCAAAAGCAGAAGCTGCCAGGCCAGTTAAGGGCTGCACCCCACACTGGTCCAGGGTCATTTTAGTTCTATTCTACTAGTAGAAGCAATCTTAGGGCCCACACAAGTTCAAAGGAGTGGGGAGACTAGAAAAGCGGGGTGACTAGATTCCAACTCTTAATAGGGATGTCAAGGCAACATTGCAGGGGAACATATAGAATGGGAGGTAGTGTTGTGGCTGCCATTGGAAAATAAAATCTATCACCTCAGAGGTACTGAAATCAGTAATAATAATGACAGAACTAGTGTAGAAGGGAGAGAGAGTGAACCAGGTTCTAAAATAATGATTAGGCAAAAAACTCAGAGCTCCACAGATGTCTGTAACTAGGAAGAATAGATGGCAATAAGCTTGCTGACATGAGCAAGACAAGGGCTTAAGGGAGGAGAACGGGACAATGGTGGGCATGTCTTACGAAAAGGTGCTTTCACCCCCATCCCTGTTTTAGCTAGTCCTCAATTTGGTACAGTGTGTGAGGCCCACCTCCAGAGTTGAGTCCCACCTCCTGCTTCAGCTTGAGAACACCTCTTTCCTTTAGCCCTCGCATATGTGGATATTTTCTTTCCTCCTGTGTTACTTGGCCTGGGAGCGAGGCAGGTAGCCTTTTTGTTCCTCTCTGCAACTTTTACACCATTGTGCCGTTCTCCTCCCCTAAGCCCATGGTTCCATTTTGCATCTGGTTTCTTTCATATGGCTAAACGTTTTCAAGGCTCATCGTGTTGTATCATATATCTGCTGCTTGTTCTTTTTACTTCTGAATAATATTTTATTATGTGAATTTGTCACATTTTGCTTATCTCTTTCACAAGTTCATGGACATTTGGGTTGTCCACTTTGGGACTAATCTGATTAATGCTGCTATGAACCTGTGTGTGCAAATCTTTGTGGATCTGTGTTTTCATTTCTCTTGGGTATATATCTAGGAGTGGAATTGCTGGGTCATATGGGTTAAACTCTATGCTTAACTTTGGAAATACTACCAAATTGTTCTCCATAGTGGCTGTGCCATTTTACATTCCCATCAGCCACTTACACAGGTTCACACTTCTCCACATCCTCAGCAACATTTGCAATTGTCTATCTTGTTGATCATATCAACAGGAATTGATGGGCAGTGGCCAAGTGTGAACTGGGGAGCCCCCTCCTGTCAGGGGAGACCCAAACTCCAGAAGCCCCAATAGCTAACTGACAATAAAAGTTTGGGTCAAGGCTGGACATGGTGGCTCATGCCTGTAATTCCAGCACTTTGGGAGGCCAAGGGGGGCAGACACTTGAGGCCAGGAATTTAAGACCAGCCTGGGCAACATGGTGAAACCCCCATCTCTACAAAAAATACAAAAATTAGCTGGGTGCAGTGGCGTGTGCTTGTAGTACCATCTACTTGGGAGGCTGAGGCAGGAGAATCACTTGAGCCTGGGAGGTGGAGGTGCAGTGAGCCATGATCACGCCATTGCTCTTCAGCCTGGAAGTTTGGGTCAGTGGCCATTGAAATAATTGTTTTCTGGGCTAAATTCTTCCTGACTGTACTAAGAAGCAATCCCTACTTAGCTGCATAAATGGACTATATGCTATTAATTATCAAGGCAACCCAAAGCAAAGTTCTAAAAAATGTACCCTCCCATCCCAAATAGTTCATTTTATTGCACAAATGCTACTTGCGTTACAGCTAACAATGAGGCCTCAGAAATAGAGATGATGTACACTATAAAATGGCCAAAGATGCCTTATATTAGTCTAACATTTTGCTTGTGAAAAAGCATATTGTAGGCAAGAATAGTCCTGTGTACTTTATGCAGGCAAAATTCTGTATCATTTTCTTCTATAGTCAGTTTAAAGGATATGTAAGGCTTTCTTTAGCTTTATACAAATATAAATGTTAAAAATATCTATAAGGTACACTATAATTCTCAGAAGCTCTTCGGTTTACTAAGTACAGTGGTTACTTAGTCAAAATATGCTGAGTGAATCTGACCTAAGAATAAATTTACTTTAAAAATGATACAAAATAATGACTTAGTGTGGTAATAAAATGTTGTCAATTTTATTAAAAGCTGATTCCATTTCTTCACACAGTTAAGTACGTTTCTTTCTTGTTTTGTTAAAGCCCATTTCATAAGAGTGAGTTGGCTCTGTGAGACCATCACTGATAAAGACACATACAGTTAGCACCACACATTTATAAATGCAGATAGCCACAATGACCTTTCCAATATGTACAAGCTCCATTTACACATCCACACATGTATTTACAGCTAATAAATAAAATGTAAAGCCAGAACATCCTTGATATATATAACAAAGTTTTTCGGAGCCAGAGTTCCCAGTGCTATGTGCTGCTTTAGTGAATCTTTTAAGTTAATGCACCCTGGGTCACAACCCAAATCCAGAAATTTAATGAATTAATAAAGGGGATGCCAACAACAAATCATACATCATTTTATTTTTAGAGAGAATTCATTCCAAGCCTGATGATGTTAATCACAACATTGGTCCTACTATTTATAGGCACGATCATCTCTCTCAGAGAAAGGGTCGAAGTTCTGGCACATCAGGAACAATTTCTACTCCGACATGTTCCAATACATCCCTTGATCGACTGTTTTCCCTTCCGAATTATGCTGAAGGACAACACACATGCAGAGCTTTCTAGTATGTGTTCAGATATCACATACTTTCACAGTCGGGTTCCCAGCTATAGCCTCTGAGATATTTGACATCTTTATCATTTCATATTTATACGTAGAAGAGCATTCTGAAAAATAGGAGATCTAGTTTATAAATAGTTGTTCACTCACTCTTGATTAGTTGTTAAAAACAACAAATAGCAACCCTCATGGTACTCCATCTGGCTCATTGCACGCGATGGTTTACAAGCACTGCTTAGGAATCCACCCCAGGAACCTCTCCACCCTTTTACTTAGTAAAAACGGTCCTTGTCTAAAATCTGTAGAAGCTCACACAATGCAAAATTTGAACTCAAACCTATCTTTTCATGTCAAAGCCAGGAACAAAAGAGACGCACTGGAAGTACAACTGAAGCATGACCAAGGTAAGCCTAAAACTGAAGAGTAACTGTCAGATATTGAATGATTTTAAATTGATGAAAATCATTTGGAGAATCTAATAATAAAATTACGGTTTCTTTTTTTTTTTCTGCACCATTCAAATTATGTGTCAGCTGAGGATTACAGGCTCATTTTCAACACCTACCCAGAGAACATTATTATAATATAATCTTGAGACAAAAAAGAAGGGGGAGAGAGGGATTAAGCAATAAACGATAAAGCCTATTAAGAATTAATTGATCTAGATTTTATATCTCCTTGAATTTGTAACTTTGTCATGATGCAGGCCAATGGTAGGGACTGTTTAAAACCTCTGTGTTTATCAGACCCTTTCTTCGTCCCTCTCCAAGTTACATGTTCCTGGTTGACGTCTGGACCACATTCCAATAGCAAGAGGGAATCATTCTAAAACATCATTCATACTGCTGTGTAGATGAGTCTGATTCGTGCCGCGGAAAAGCATTTTCTGTATTCTTGGAGACTTAGAGTAAAGTTTGAGAAGGCCTCAGTCCGAAAGATCCAGAATTCCAATTAAAATAGGAGGTTCTAACCAATTATAGGCTATGGCCCAATACGCCACATGAAGGAGCCTTATTTTACTCTGCGCTCAAACAATTATTTCTTTCTCAAAGGACAAAACAGCACTTTTCATGATCCACTGTCTTTTAACGTTGGAGGATGTGCTATTTGGCCACTATACCCCATAAATTGAATTAGCCACTTTTTAGTGCTTGAGACTGTCTCCTAAAATAACTAACAAGGGTAGGGCTGGGATTAATATTCAGGAAAATCCACTTTTGAAACACCCCAAACACTGGGTATGTTTTGTAAAAGTTACTTCCTCCACTTCATTCTTCACAGAATTCACATGCCGTTCTTTGTTCTGTAGATTCGCCCAGTTTCTGAGAAAAAGCACAGGAAAAAGGGCAATTTATTATCTTCTGAGTGTTTTACAATTCCCGCCTGTCCCCCACTGGTTTTAGGATGGAAAAAGCCTTCAAATGGAATTTCAGAACAAAGGTTGTGAGAATAAACCCAGGGGAGATGTGTATAATGGATCAGAGAATGGCAGGTTTGTAGGAATGGAAGACACTGGAGCAACTATTTAGCCCCGTCCCAATAAGGTGCATCATTTTTGGAGGACTGGGCCAAATGACTTCTAAATTTAGAGGATTTCTTATTCTAAAATGTATCAAACGAAAGGCCTGTTCCATTTCATTTCTTGTGATATGAGGTTTCTGAGGAGTTAGCAGAAGGTGTGAGAAAGAGAATCTTTGATTTGATTGATTTTAATCACAGAAGAAAGAAACTGTAGAAGATTATTAGTCTAATTTATAATTACCTCCTAGATAAAGTTCAGGTACGTTTTTAAAAATGCATCTGGCTGGGTGCTGTGGCTCATGCCTGTAATCCCAGCACATTGGGAGGCTGAGACAGGCACATCACCTGAGGTTAGGAGTTCAATGACCAGCCTGGCCAATATGGTGAAACTCCGTCTCTACTAAAAACAGAAAAATTAGCTGGGCATGGTAACGGGCACCTATAATCCCAGCTACTTGTCAGGCTGAGGCACAAGAATCACTTGAACCCGGGAGGCAGAGTTGCATTGAGCCGAGATCACGCCACCACATTCTAGCCTGGGCAACAGAACGAGACTGTCTCAAAAATAAATAAAAGTAAAAAATAAAAATAAAACGCATCTGAACATTCTCTGTCTAAATAACTGTTCTGTCAGTAATCCTATAATCAGACAAGGAATGCTTCATTAGGCTTTCTCAGATAAAGTCTTGTAACATATAAAAAATACGACTGGACGTGCTTTACAAGCAGCTAGAGTTATTTACTAATTTAATGAGGTTTTATTTTCACATTCACATGTAGATTTAAAGTTGTAGATGCTCTGGCAGAATATGCATGCTATTTATGTGTAATACAAATGCATGTATAAAACTGCATCTAGGGCCGGGTGTGGTGACTCACACCTATAATCCCAGCACTTTGGGAGGCCGAGGCAGGTGGATAACCTGAGGTTAGGAGTTCAAGACCAGCCTGACCAACATGGTGAAACCCTTTCTCTACTAAAAATACGAAATTAGCCAGGTGTGGTGGCGGACACGTGTAATCCCAGCTACTTGGGAGGCTGAGGCAGGAGAATTGCTTGAACCCAGGAGGTGGAGGTTGCAGTGAGCTGAGATCGAGCCACTACACTCCAGCCTGGGCAGCAAGAGCAAAACTCCATCTCAAGAAAAAAAAAACCAAAACAAACAAAAAAAACTTCATCTAAAAGTCTCTTTCTAAGAACTGAAGAAAGTATGATATTGCCTCAGATTTGTGATGAGGAAAAACAACGTAATAACCTCTTAGAAGAAAAGTCTCCAGTTAGATAAGAATTGCGTTATTTTGCCTGGCTCAATACCACTAACTATTCTCCATTTTGAGTTTATCCTGAATGCTCTTACATTAATGCTTTTGATCCAGATGTTCTCATCTAGTCATTCAGAGTATATACACCATAATTCTATTTTTGTAAAGGACGAAAAACATATAAATATTATGTATATATAAAGTCCGAAAGAATATAAATAAAAACGTTAATTGGGGTTGTCTCTGAGTGATATGGTCACAGTGATTTTATTTTATTTTTGCTTATTTTTCCTAATCTATTTATAGTAAACATGTATAAAATCTATTATAAAGTAGAATTTAAAAACATTAAAGATGTTACACATAGGGTCTTTAATATACTTTTCCTAATAGGCATGTTTTTTTTTTTTTTGAGATGGAGTCTTTCTCTGTTGCCCAGGCTGGAATATAATGGCGCGATCTCATCTCACTGCAACCTCTGCCTCCCCGGTTCAAGCAATTCTCCCGCCTCAGCCTGCCGAGTAGCTGGGATTACAGGCATGTGCCGCCACACCCAGCTAATTTTTATATTTTTAGTAGAGAGGTGGTTTCGCCACGTTGGCCAGGCTGGTCTCAAACTCCTGACCTCAGGTGATCCACCTGCCTCAGCCTCCCAAAGTGCTGGGATTGCAGGCATGAAGGCAATTCTTATTCTATACATTTGTCCCAAATGCAAACTAGGAAAAGAACAAACCAAAAGCAATTGCTTTTCCTGTTTCCAGATGACACTGTGTCTAGCCTTTCCCTTCATTTCTTGTGTCACTGGCTTGTATGACATGATCTAATATTTCTCCCCTTTGTTCCTGTAACCCATTAGCACTTGCTGTCTGGCAGGGGATGTGTGGAGGGTTGAAAAGGGCATATTCCTGGAATTCAGAACAGGAGTAGTGAAGGTCACATGCTTAGTGTCCTCTCAGTACTGACGCTCTGGAAAGATGCAGCTAACAGCTGCCACATGGATTAGCCCTAAAGGTCAGGTAGGAAAGAGGCACAGAGTTGTTTGGAGATAGAAGAGAGAACAGTTTCCTATAACTCTCATTCTGTTTGCTTGGCAGCTTTGAGGGTTTTGAGATGGGTGCTTGGGGCAGCCCTGTTGGCTGTGTGTCCCGGAGTATGCTGGCACTTGGAGAATCAAGAACTATGTGGCTGCAGGTGATGCAGTGAGATCTTTTTACTTCCCTGAATACATCCTGGGAAGAGCTGCACCCACAGCCAGAACGGCAACTACTAAACTTGTGTTACATGCTCTGCAGATGGCATCTGCAAAGTCAGCAGAGACGCAGTAGAGAAAAAAGGAGAAGTGAAGATTCAGGGGTAGTTCAAGGAGTAAAATAAAACCTAAAATGTGTGCCTGGGTTGAAGGTCCGGGCTGGGAGAAACAAGAGGAGAAAGAAAAAAAGAGGAAGTATTGCATAAAGCAACAGACCCATTTGATACATATGCAGAAGGACTAAGAAAGACTGATTGAATGCTTTGATCACATGAGTCAGGGCAAGCTGCTGGTGATGGGGTGAAGAGGAATGCATGAAGCTGCCTCCCTTAGGGTGCAAGCTCAGGATGCCCAGTCAGCTTTAGCCCAGAATGCTCACCAGCCTGACTTCTTATTCAGAGACTTGTCATGGCATTTCACAAATACCGCAGGTGCCTTTCCTTTCTGCAAATGAGACACTTTCTCCCTAGAACAGAAGATCACCCTGTGGAAGAAAATGGATGTGAATATGCCATGTAGAACAATCAAAAGCACTGTTCACAAAGGTACAGTTCTGTCAGGACTGTTTAAATAATACATGATCATGCTGGGTAATTGTTTTGATATTCCCAATAATTAACTGTCACACTCAGGCCACATCAGAATCAGAGGGTAATTTGAGAGCCTAACCTGGTGTTCAGCAACCAAGCTAGTTAATTTAGATAGACAGGCATGCAGACAGCCTAGAGCAGTCTTATGTTACTGGGCTTTCACCAAGAGATGATAAAAGATCAACTCTGCCATCTCTTAGCATCTGCATTAAGGAATTAGGGCATCTGCCTTCAGCTAGACATTGCTAGTGTAAAAAAGATTCTTTATAACATTTCCATCCCCAAGATCTTTTTCTTTTTTTTTTTGTTTGTTTGTTTGCTTCTTTGGTGATACAAGCAAATGACTAAAGAGAAATAATTTGTCAATCCTAACTTAGAGTTTTTTTAAATTAACAATAACAGCACACTATAGTTTGCAAAATCCCAGCACATTTAGTATAAAAGCTTTAAATCCTATAGCGATCTCTGTGTAATTCATTTTATGGGTACACATGGGTGGGGCTGCGGAGACAGGTTGAGATTATCTTGGAATCTCACCCTTCTTGAAGAGGTTGGTTTGAATCTTTGATTATCCAGGTAGCATCTCGGAGGTTTGTTCCCTAACTATTTTGTACTTACAAGAAACAGTGCCAAATGAGAAGCTGAGATTCCTGACTTCTAATCCCAGCTCTCACTGAATAACTGTGAGCGATTCAGGGCTTATGTTTTCCTTACATGAAATACAAAAATACTGTCACTTCCCCCCCCCTGCCCCCCAAAAATAAGAAAATAAAAGAAGACTCCTAAAGAAAATCTACATCATACAGTAATAAATACAAGGTTTCCTAAAGCTCTCCCTGAATTGTGAAGGCCCCTGAAATACAGCCCCTAGGTCCTGACATCAGGTGGGGGTCTAAAGTGAAGGAAGAAAAATACATTTAATTACTTTTTCTGAGTCTCTCCTGCTTTTACTCTGATCTTCTGAATGGCGAAGCCGGGACTGCTCCACCAGTCTGACCAGCTAAAGTATGAATCACTCTTCCATTTGAGCTTCAACATGAGTAGTTCTCCAATATCTACCTCTGTGTAAATTAGGAAGGAGTAGGTCTTATTTGTGGAAACTTCAGGCCTAAACAAAAAAGCAATAAATTTGGTTAGTTATAGAGATCAGCTCTCCCTGCCCCCCACTTTTTTTTCTCCTCTCCAAATATAAATAGCTTTATTATTTAGGGGATATTTTAAAAATGCACAAAAATGTCCAACAAAGAACTCAAAATGAAGGTCGATGGCATTTAGTATATTTTAAATTATATCCACATTCCAGCATTTATCCTAATGACATGAACTATTTAATACAATTCTAAAAGAAAATCCTGAAGTCAATCATTCAGAAATATAATTTTCATTTTCATGTATTCCTTTTCAATTTGTGTTGATACTTGAACATTATTTAGCTACAATCATAGCACACATACGATTCTCTATTCTTTATTCTCTTCAGATTTTATATTCCATTTTTTACTATGTTTTCCTGGGTTTCCTACAATTATAGTTTTTAAAGGCTAGATTGATTTTAATGACTTGATAAACCACGATTCATTTACCCACTGCCTCAATGTTGGATACTGGGTTTCTAATTTATGCTAGTATAGGTACGACTGTAATTGATGTTTTTAAAAATGTTTGTTGACTATTTCTTTAGGATAAATATTAGAAAAAAATCACTCCCTTCTATGTAATAATATTTTGTAGCTATGGAAAGTTATTAAAATACTACCTTCCGCACCTGGAGGGTTCTAGCCGTGAATGATGCATGGTAGGTTCGCATGTTCTGCTTCACCACCTTGTCTGCACTGGCTATTTTTAAAGATTTGTTCATCTAGTAATTGTAAAAGTATCAAGTTGCCTTACTTTTATTTCTTTGATTAGTAGTAAAGGGTAGGCTGGGCATGGTGGCTCACACCTGTAATCCCAGCACTTTGGGAGGCCGAGGCGGGTGGATCACCTGAGATCAGGAATTCAAGACCAGCTTGGCCAACATGGTGAGACCCTGTCGCTACTAAAAATACAAAAATTAGCTGGGCATGGTGGTGGGCACCTGCAGCCCCAGCTACTCGGGAGGCTGAGACAGAAGAATTGTTTGAACTCGGGAGGTAGAGGTTGCAGTGAGCTGAGATCGAATCACTGCACTCCAGCCTGGGCAATAGAGAGAGACTCCATCTCAAAAAAAAAAAAAAAAAAAAAAAAAAAAAGAGCTAACACTTTGTCATGGACTTCTTACTACTTATATTTTCTGTACATATTATATGTACATCTATAGAGTGGTTTCCTGTTACCATTGCTCATTTTCTTTAATGTCAAACCTTTTGAGATAGTTTAATTATATTGTTTAACAGCAGCTTTATAAAAGAAATAAACAGATATAAGATGATAAATAAAAAAATATAACTAGTAAGTGAAAATAAAATGGCCAATTTGAAGCATTTTTTTCTCAATATCAAATAGAGGAAAGACCTCAATTTTGAAATTCTGATTTTTTTAACTAAAGACTTGTTTTCTAGGCATCGCTCTCTGCTTCTGCTGCTCAGACCAAGGGTTATGGCAGGAGAGGGACTGGTGCCATGATGACCGCCCCCCTGTGCTACTCACAGAGTGAATGGGATGTTCTCACTCTCGGCCACGGTGCCATACAGAGAAATCTCAAAGGCCTGATTGGTATGGGTTTCACTCTCAGTCCCAGAAAAATGAATCTTTACTTGGTAATGGAAGACTGTTGGGGAGGAAATTCGAACATGTTGATCAATCTTTATGAAAATATCACAACCCCAAATAGTCAGGCAATTCAGAACCACAGAAGTATCTCACTAGCACTCAAACCGGAAGTGCACACACATGGAACCACTGGTGTGGCTTGGAAAGACTTCATCATGCACAGTGTTCATACCTAGAAAATGCAGACCTTGAATTCTACTCCCTTTCAGAAAAGTGTGGTTATATGCATAGGAAAAACCCAAATGTGTCTGAATTGCCAAGCAGCATTAGGAAGTAGCCATCTTTGAGGGGTGCTAGGGAGATCAAATCAGAAGGCCAAAACACTCATGATGCTTTCTCCATGAACTCCGCCATCCTTGGCCATCTTGTGCCTTAGCATCTGGAGCAAGCATATTTGACATTTGCTTCTGTGTCACTATATGTCACTGTGTTTGTTTCATGAGTAGGTCTGTCCTCCACCCTGACTGTAAGCGGGCTTCCGGTCACAGGATCATGCCCATGCTCTTAATTCCCCCACCATCTAGCGCAGATTAGGTGTCTAGTAGGTGCATCATAGAACTTATTTCGTTGATTTTTCCATTCCGTAATGGGCACACCAAAATCTCACAAATCACTACTAAAGAACTTACTCATGTAACCAAACACCACCTGTTCCCCCAATAACCTATGGAAATAAATAAAATTTTTTTTAAAAAAGAACTTATTTCATTGAGCCATCAGTGAGGCCACAAGGACTGCCTTGTAAAGCCAGCCCCTAAAGTATTCTATACTAGGGACAGCCTCTGGAAGCAGGTAGTTGAACTTCTATATCTCCTCCCTGCCCCTCCTCTGGTCTCTACCAAAAACCCTGAGCAAATGGGCCTGGGGAGAGGTTAAAAGGAAAGGCAGCAGGACTAAAATAGAACCATGATGATGGAGGAAAAAAGAGTTCTTGGAGGCCAGGCATGGTGGCTCATGCCTGTAATCCCAGCACTTTGGGAGGCCTTGGTGGGTGAATCACCTGAGGTCAGGAGTTTGAGACTAGCTTGGCCAACATGGTGAAACCCTGTTTCTACTAAGAAAAATACAGAAATTAGTTGGGCGTGGTGGCGGGTGCCTGTAATCCCAGTTACTCAGGAGGCTGAGGCAGGAGAATCGCTTGAACCGGAAAGCAGAGGTTGCAGTGAGCTAAGATTGCGCCGCTGCACTCCAGCCTGGGTAACTGAGCGAGACTGTGTCTCAAAAATAAATAAATAAATAAATAAATAAATAAATAAATAAATAAATAAAATAATTCTTGGAATGTTTTTTCTTCTATATCCCACTATCCTTGGTCAGATTTTTTTCTTATTTGTGTTACTGTCTATTAAATGTATTTTCTCTTAAGCTGAGACACAGATCTCTTAAGACTGATGGTTTAGAATATAGCAGACCATATTTTTATGCTGCTTTAGACTCTTGTCCAGGTGAAAAAATTTTTAATAAATGTTGTGAACTTCTGATAACAATCTCTATTTTGTTTAGATACATCTCTTTTTATAATTAAAAAGTAGTCAGATACTAAGCAAAAACAGAAGAACAACAACAAAACCCCACAGCTGCTAAAAGATGAAGAGACATTGAATTGAGAATTAAGCAAAACCCTTGCAGGCAGCAGGACAGGCCAGAGCTGAAGAAGCTGGGAGTGGTGAGGTGCCCCTAGGGGACACTGACAGAGCCTTGAACCCACTGGTGCAGGAGGCAGGGATGAGTGAAGCCTGTCTGTGTCTTCAAGATTATGGTCCCACAGTCCTCTCTTTACCTCATACGCATTGCCTGATTTTGAAGAGTTAAGGTTTCCTTGAAGCACAGGTGCCTCAACCTCTATACCACGAAAGACACCTCTACAGATTCTAAGAATCACCTTACACATGGGTGCCATATGTTTTACCTGGGGCCACTGTTCTTTAATATCATCCCTTCCCTCAGGTTTCCATCTGGATTCCACAAAAGCCACCCTTCCTGAAGTTGGTCCCTCTCACCGGATTTATCCGAAGACCTCCTCTCTCATTTTCCGACCATTCCTTTAGGTCTGCCTCTAAACAAGAGGCCAAGCTTGAAATTCAAGTGTGAAACAAACTCCTGGCAAAATGGCAGTATCTTAGAAGGTGTGAGATATTCTTGCCTTCCAGGAATAGTTGCATTTAAAAAGACAGATGAGGCCAAGGAGGGCAGATCACCTGAGGTCAGCAGTTCGAGACCAGCCTGGTCAACACGGTGAAACCCCCTCTCTACTAAAAATACAAAAATTAGCTGGGCATGATGGTGCATGCCTGTTATCCCAGCTACTCCGGAGGCTGAGGCAGGGGAATCATTTGAACCCGGGAGGCAGAGGTTGTGGTGAGCCAAGATCATGCCCCTCTCCTCCAGCCTAGGAGAAAGCTAGACTTCATCTCAAATTAAATAAATAAATAAATAAGACAGATGGTCCTTGCCTTTATGTAAGTTGTGAACATTCTGTAAAGGGCCAGGGAGTAAATATTTTAGGCTCTGTGGGCTATCAACTCTGTTATGGTGGCATGAAACCAGCCTTTGACAATATGGTAATGAATGTGTGTGGCTGTGTCCTAATAAAACTTTGCATGAGCACATAGAGGGGAACAACAGACACTGGGGCCTCCCAGAGGGTGGGAGGAGGGAGAGCTTCAGGAAAAGTAACTAATGGGTACTAAGCTTAATACCTGGGTGATGGAATATTCTGGACAACAAACTCCCATGTCACAAGTTTACCTTTTTAGCAAACCTACATACGTACCCCTGAACTTAAAAGTTTTAAAAAAACTATTTACAAAAGCAGGAAGTAGGCTGGATTTGGCACAAGGGTTATAGTTTGTTGACCCGAGGTGGATGGTTCCAAATGAGCTCTGAGCTCTGTGCTGATAGCCTAGCCCATGCTAATGGCCACATTTACAGGGGAGGGCAGCGAGCAAGGCTGCAAATCCCACACTGAGCACTGGGACCTTGCTGACAATGGGAATTAGAAGCCTCAGACAAATGGATCAATGCAACCCCCTATCAACAGAAACACCAGGGCTCAGGGTTTAGTAACACCAGTCATCATCTCTGTTCCAATGGACAGAATCAGTACATGTGATGCAGTGAGCATGATGAAATAGGACTCCTTGGTTTCCTTATTTACAACAGTCTCCAGCCTACCTTTGTAGGGCATCTGAGAACGAGTCTTCAGGTACATTTTGCTGCTTCTTTTGGCTCTGACTTTATTGATCTCATAGCCCAGATTGTTGCAGCGGTTCTTTCTACAACTCAAGCAGAGCCCTTTCTCAAAGGCTTCCTTGGAACTGCACCTGTAGGCCTTACTTGGATTTTCTTCATTCAACAGAGAGTCGATGAAGAGATGAATGGAGCGCTCGTGGGAGCACTTCACTAGCTGGTCCACATCTGGGTAAAAAAGAGACACCAAGATTGTATCTCGGCAGAAATTCACAAAGAGTGTTTCATTTGGCATGTCTAAAATAGGTGAGATGTGGTGTTAGAGTAGAATCACCCAAGGATATAGTCCTGTGCATTTATGATTGTAGGCCCTATTTCAGGAGATATTCTTGGTGGTAGCGGCCCACCCACCTTCAAGAGAGTGAAAGTTGCAAGTTCACAGGGAATTTTTGACTTTTGTGCTTCTTATATTTATGAGTATGTTTATGAAGCTGTAATAAGCCTCCAAGGTGGAGGTTGATTTCCTTGTTTATCTCATCCTTCTCTTACATTGAAAGTGTCTAACACTTCTAGGTGCTTCTAGAAACATATACCTGCCCCTTGCCTTACAATAAATTCTTCATAAGTCAAAAATACTGTAAGTCAAAATGCACTTAATACCCCCAAAACCCATCATAATGTCAAAAAGTTTTAAGTCAAACCATCACGTGCTTCTCAACTTAAAATGGTGTTACAGCCCAATTGTAAAGTTGGAAAACTGTAAGTTAGGGACAATTTGTATTTCTAGAAACCACATCTTAAGAGGGTAATTGTTAAATGAATTGTATTTTATCATTGATATTATGTACAATTGAGGGTTCTGCCCCTACTAACACTCTTTTATATCAAATGAACATAGAAATAATCAGCAATGCCATAAGAATGAATTCCTTGTAAGTTTTTAGGACAATCGAAAATAGTAACAATATGCTCTAAGTTCTATTACGTGCACAAAAATAACGAGAATATCCTAGGTAGGTCCCAATGTCTATAAAGTATGCAAGGGGCTCTTAAAAATAAATCGTAAACTGGGCGTGGTGGCTCACAGCTGCAATCCCAGAACTTTGGGAGGCTGAGGCAGGAGGATCACTTGAGGCCAGGAGTTTGAGACCAGCCTGGGCAACATTGCAAGTCCCTGTGATTGTGTGACTGCACCCCAGCTTGGGCAATAGAATAAGACTCTATCTCAAAAAACAAACAAACAAAAATCATAAATTTAACACAAGCTAACATTATTAAAGTAAAACATTAAGCTAACATTATGTTCTGAACATTTTGGAAGATTTATCCTAATTAACATCTTCTGTTCCAGTAACATCTAAAATCTTTCCATTGGCTTTGCAGCTACATTCAAGGTATGACAACATGTGGCCAGATAGCATTTTATGATGCCATTATTGAGGTCAGTGGAGTCTTCCTGTCTAAAATCCCACCTTTTTCTCTTGCTACTGTAAGTGCACTGCTCAGTGTAGCCTACAGTATAGTAAATAAAAGATAAAATGGCTGTCTGCCTGGCTCTAAGGTGGTCATGCTGAACATTGCAGAATTCTTCAGAAACATAATTTGGCCAAATGTGTATATGAAAACTACATACTTTGAAGCTACTGAGTAGGACATTGGGTCAATAAGGGTTAAGGATAAGAGTCACATTTAATTCGCTTCTAAATAATATTTACCTCCAAGTCCTCTCTCTGCAATCACGCGGATAGCTTCTCCAATGTTACATCCTGGCTGAAAAGTACCTCCATTCGGGTAAATGTCAACATGCCCAACTGGTTTCTGGATTCCAATGCTTCGACCAGGGGACCCTCTGGTGAATGTGTGTAAGACGTCTACAAAATCTGCATCATCAGGAGAAAGACGACTCGGGGCTTCTGCATACTCAAAGTTAGGTCCAGCTGGATCGAGGCCTTAAAAGGGAAAAAAGCAGGAACACAGATTTGTAAATTTCCATTCGTATGACATTCGCATGTCACTGCTCATCATTTGAATGCACTGGCAGCTATTTAGATTCTTATTAGCTCCTATTCTACAGTCATGGTATCTTTACTTAGAGAGACATAAAAGGAGGCTTGGCTCCTTCTAAAATGAATTTGAGTCTCTTAAACTAGCCTTATGCAGCAGTTTCCACTCAGGATGGCTGGATTTCCTTTTGTAGATTATTTCTGAATATGTCGAGAAGATGTATAAACAGTGGTGGGTTCTTTCTCTCTGTGTGTATGCCACACCTTTGCCTAGATGACGGTCTTCTTTCGAAGTGGCCTCTGGAATTGGTCCTTCTTCTTTTCTCCTAGTACTGATGTGCATTTACACTACTAAAACACAGAGCTGAGAGTGGGAGGAAACAGGCTTCCCAGAGAAATCTGCAGGCATTGTGTGTAATTATGCTTTATTTCTGTGCTATTGCCAGTGGATAGTAAGCCAGTGAGAGCGTCTGTGTTTTTTCTTATCCCTAATAAAGAGCCCTACAATGAGATAATCAAGTGCTGGTCATGTCTCCGGGAAGAACACCACACATGTGGGTATTTAACAAAATTTGTTCTGATTCTCTCTCAGAATGACAGTCTTTTCACCTCTTATGATAAGACCAACGAAATTGCTTTCTTACCAGTAATTCTGTTGACTTTCTTATTGGTCAGACTTCCTGCAATGCCAGCAGCATGGGCTCCAAGGCTGTATCCCAAGAGATGGACATTGTCCAGAGGGTAGTTAAACTCCTCCTTTGGAAGAAAAAGAAAATGAAGGTGCTTACAGTTCTGCCAAAAATAAAACTAAAAGAAACAAAATGAATATAAATATTGTTTTCCAAATATAGGAAATACTGAAAACTAATTCTACTTATTTTAATTTTGTGTTACAGGTAAGAGAGAGAAAATATTCTCTAGTGTTAAAATTGTCTTTTTCTTTTGTTTCACTTTTCCGTAAACAAATCCAGAATTGATTTTCTCTTTCTTTAATAGCAGATTTAAATTACAAAGTTTTTCCATGCATCTGAAATAGTATTATTTATGTATATAATATATGCATATGTTTGTATATGTATATGTATTTGCATATATAACCATATACTATACGTACAAACATATACACATATACATATGCGTATACATTTATATGCATGCATATATGTATATGTGTGTATGTTTGAATGTATAGTATATGGGTATATATTTTCCCATTATTCCTTACTCTAAATATCTGTATCACTTTATCATTGAAGGTTAGCCAAGCAATGACAGACTCAGGAAACATTCAGTGGAAGGGACCAGAGGTACATGGTCCAGCCCCTCATTTAACAGGTGAGAAGCCTGAGCCCCAGGGAGGTGATCCCGTTTGCCCATGTTCATTTGCCTGGTCAGCAAAAAAGACAAGAAAAGAACTTTTGTCTTTTATGATCAGTCTAATAAACACAGCTTATTTTTTACTTCCAATTACCTGGTTAAAATAATTTGCCTTGGTCAGAGTATCAGCTTCTTTCCAACCCCAAGATACTTTTCAGAGGTACTTCTCAAGGGATCGTGTGAAAAAGTGGGTCTCTTGCAGCTAAGTCAGAACTCCAGACCTCAGTTCCCTTCTATCCTATGCACCTTCCCTTCCAACATCTTCCTAGCTCAATTCCATCACTCTCCCAATGCTCAACAAAAACGTTCATCCTATTTCACACTAAAGAATAAGTACTATTAATATTTTCATGAAAGAGATTGGTATGTCAAGGTGAGGATAAGATGTCCACAGGCCAGCCAACTGGTAGGGAAGGGTCTGGCTGAACATGCCATCTTTCCTCTGTCCGAAAATCACAAGCTTTTTTCTGTTGGGCCCACTTAGTTATTGGTCTCAGCAGATCTATTCACTGTGAAAATATCAAACGATAGAGCAGGGCAGGACTATTTATTGGCCTTATAGTCTATTCTTATCAAAATGTTGCTTTTGGATATAAAATAATATCCACGCTGATTCTGAAGATTTGAATGCCCCCAGAAAATATTTAAATCTAAGAGAAAAGGAAGAAAGAACAGCCGGTTTTCTGGCTCCAGTCAAAAACACTGTTTTGGACACATAAGTCTCCTTCTCCCAGTCTTACCTCCATCCAGTTGATAAACCGGGCCACATCCTGTCCCACCAGTTTGGTGTAGCCCGCGGACACTGGGTAATGCTCCTGAGCCCGTGACAGCCAGTCCACCACAATGACATTGGAGTCTGGTTCTCTCTTGTACAGGGCGGCCACAAGTTTTGGCACCCAACTCTCATACATTCCTGTTACCTGAAGATGATGACACAAGCTTTCTTAAAATACCCACCTACCACTTGTCATAGATACATCAGCCCAATACACCTGCATGAAATGGAAAAAACAAACTTGATTGGAAACCCATTGGCACAGATAGAAAAATCAAATAACAGAACAGTGTTCAGAGACAGGTCTGTCCCTTCCAAGGCAGATCTAAGTAAGCCAGGAAGGCATTGAGTTGAGTTGAGGAACGGCAGATTGGGGTTCACCATGCTTCCCATTTAAAAAGTATATTTTAGACATTCAATAAAATTTTGATCATTTATACTATTAAAAGGAAAGATTGGTCTGAATGCAAAGTGGGTCTTTGAGGAAACTAGCAGGAGCACCTGGCTAGGAGCAGAACCCTGTTGAATTGGTCCAGTCCCACTCACCTTCGCCTCCCTTCAAGGTTGGGGTGTTGGGCACCCTTTGTAGTTGGCTTTCAAGATCAGGAGAGGTTGATGTCATTTCTTCAGAATGTAATGTTAATGTCTCCCTGTTTCAGCCAGGATCCCCTACTTCACAATGGGAACCCTGTACTTAAAGCCAGTGACATCCAAGCAAGTGGCAAAGCTCCAAGATAGCTGTGTCTAAGCAACCTGCTGGGATGTATCACATGCATGCTACATGCTAAGCATTCCTTTGGGTGTCTCATGACACAGCTGGAGAGCCTCCTCATTTCCCTTCGTCTGTGCCTGTGAGTCCCCAGGCAGCTTATTTCAGATAAGGCAAGAAAATCGGGTTTACTCTAGGCCTCTATCAGAAGTTTTTCTGTACTACCAGTGTTTCTCTTTTCTTTGTTCTTCCTTCCTTTCTTCCTCCCTCCCTTCCTTCCTTCCTTCATTCCTTCCTTCCTTCCTTCATTCCTTCCTTCCTTCCTCCCTCCCTCCTTCCCTTCCTCCTTCCCTTCCTTCCTTTCATTCCTTCCTTTCTTTCCCTCCTTTCTTTCCTTTCTTTTGGCAGAGTCTTACTGTCTCGCCCAGGCTGGAGTGCAGTGGCATGATCTCAGCTCAGTGCAACCTCCGCCTCCTTGGTTCAAGCGATTCTCCTGCCTCAGCCTCCTGAGTAGCTGGGACTACAAGCACATACCACCACACCTGGCTAATTTTTTTGTATTTTTTTAGTAGAGATTGGGTTTCCCCATGTTGGCCAGGTTGGTCTCAAACTCCTGACCTCCAGTGATCTGCCTGCCTTGGCCTCCCAGAGTGCTGGGATCACAGGCATGAGCCACCGCTCCCAGCCCAGTGTTTCCAAGTTAAGCAATCTAAAAAGGCTGGACATCCAACTTACTCCTACAGTGGCTGACATTTTTATTAACCGAACAATAGCTAATTGAATCCTTTCTTTCTGATCAACATAAAATACTGATGTAAGTAATCCCAAACAAAGCAAATGAAAAATCTAAGTACTCACCTTTCTCAACTCAAAAAGGGTCTTATTCTAAGTTCTTTCAATCTGAGTTTTTCTTCTGAGGTTCAATAATTACTATGTTTTAAATCTTTGGTTTTCAGACACGCAGCTGAACTGAAGCCCTCCCTGCTGCCTATACCAGGTGGGCCACCTGACCCTGCCAGTGAGTTCACTGAGATAATCAAGATCAGTGTGGCTGGCTTAGTTCTTGCACAGACCCAACTCAGTCCCACAGCCAGACAGCAGTCTCTGTGCTCAAGCACTCAAAATGTCAGGACACATGATGTGAAAGATACAGGTGGGCTTAGTGAGGCAGTAGGACCAATGATAGGAAGTGGCACCGTCTGTTGATATTGGGTTGGTCATGTCATCTTAGTATGAAAAAGAACCATTTTTTTCCCACAACTTCCCAAAGTATAAAATTCTCTCAGGGATAAGATTGAGATGACTGAGATACTCAATTTATTTCTGTTGTATAAATGCGTTTATTAAGCTCAGATTTTTTGAAAAATTTTAAAATCCAAGTTCTGTATATAACCAAAGGGCCTCTAAAGATTCCTTTTTCTGGGCCAGATGCAGTGGCTCTCGCCTGTCATCCCAACACTTTGGGAGGCCAAGGTGGGTAGATCACTTGAGGTCAGGAGTTCGAGACCAGCCTGGCCAACAGGGTGAAACCCTGCCTGTGCTGAAAATATAAAAATTGGCCGGGTGTGGTGGTGGGCGCCTGTAGTCCCAGCTACTCGGGAGGCTGAGGCAGGAGAATCTCTTATGCCCAGGTGGCGGAGGTTGCAGTGAGCCGAGATCGCGCCACTGCACTCCAGCCTGGGCAATAGAGTGAGCCTCCATCTCAAAAAAGAAAAAGATTCCTTTTTCCTACTTACACCTATTAAAATATTAAAGGATTTATGTTTAGGAATTTGAGATTTTATCACAAAATATTGAATTTACTATGTTAACATAGTAAATGGCTATATTTTGTTAAACATCTGTGTGAATTCTGTTAGTAGTAGTCTCATCTCTATAAAAATTGTAGCGATTGTCCTCTTCAGTCAATAACAAAGCCACTTAAATTATGTAGGAAAAGAAATGTGGACTAGATGAATGTTATTTTTAGTTAGTTCTCACTAGAAATTAGTATTATAATATTCACAAGCTCTGACATAATGGATAGATAATATATCTTTAACAAGCCATTTTACACAAATCCTTTTAAATAAATTACACAGTCTACTCACTTGGGATTGAAACATTTTAAAACAAACTAAGCAAGAACTACATAATCTAAAGTGACTGTGTGACATATTAGAGAGGGGACTTTTAACAATTTTTTAAAGTAAATTTAATCACAGTTTCACTTTTTCTAATCATCTGGCATGTCAGCATGTCAGTTCCCTGCCCAGCCCTTTTTTTTTTTAATTTCCAGAAAGGCTCCCTAAAGTTTACAACTGGAAAATTTTGGAAGTAGAGTGTTTTTAGGGACATCTAGTGCAACCTCTGCTTTACAGATCAGTAAATGGAGGCCCAGAGATGACAAGTGACTTGATCCACAGCACAGAGCTGGAGAATGGCAAAGCCAGCATGGACGCCACACTTCCTCACTCCACTCCAGCCCTCTCCTCACTCTTCCATGCTGTCTTCTTTAGAAAGGTTCTCCTGGCAATGTGCTGGGTGATGCGGGATCATGCCAGGGTTCCACCGGTTCCCCACAGCAATCACCTATCTTCTGCTCAGTAGCTGGGCAGAGCATCCTTTACCAACCTCGCAGGAAGCTCTGGCTCAAGGGCACCAACCAGGTACAGTGTTAAAATGAAGGCTGGCACTGCCTAGGGGGAGTTCTCATGAACCTGTGGCTTCAGATCCCACCTGAGCCAGAACTGTCTTTATTCAAGTGTAAGGAGATCCACGTGAGATGTGGGGTGCGGACCCATCACTGGGTCCCCAACAATTGGGCAGGCCAGTCAGGATACCTCACCACCCCAATCCACTCTTCCCCAAAGAGCCTCCCTTACCGTCCAGCCATGGATCACCATGAAGGTTTTGCTGCTGTGATTGAAATGACAGGTAGCCACGGACTCTGCTACTCCGGGAATGAGGTGGCAAGTGTCCTCAGCTGTGTCTTCAGGGGTCCTTAGGGCAAATTTACTTTCGATGTCGATAAAATCTCTTCTTTCTGGAAAGGAAAAATTGGATATGAGGTTAACTGGAGGGTTGCTTGATTTTATTCATTGGAATGATATGTTTTAGGTTCACAGGCAACCACCGCTGATGCTATTTTTGTTTCTGAAGTGTTTTCGAAAACGAATGTGGATTGCAAGAGAACAACAGATGCTCCAACGTTGAGCAAAGTTGACAGAGAGACAACCTTAACTCTGAATTAAGATTGTCACCATTGACCTCTCCTAAGTCTTCCAGCCTTTCTTGAAGCTCTCCTTAGTCAGGGTATGTGTGTGTACGTTTGTGATTTCAACTAAGGGAACTGCTGTTTGGGGATTCCTTAGTTAATTCTGTCTTCTCTCAAGACATGAATTTAAGTGACTTGGCTGAGGCTACCCTGGTATTAGTGGGAGGGTGAGGATCAGAGCCCGGTCTCTCAGTTCCACTTTGAAGCTTGCTTTCGTGGAGAACACTGACTCATGCATGGCTCTTGTGTGCTATAGTTCCACTATTTGTGTGTGTGTGGGGCGGGGGGGGGGTTGTTTTGTTTTGTTTTGTTTTTTGAGACAGGGTCTTGTTCTGTGTCCCAGGCCAAAGGAGTGCAGTGGTGCGATCTTGGTTCACTGCACCCTCGAACTCAAGTGATCCTCCCACCTCAGCTTCCTGAGTAGCTGGGACCACAGGTGCGTGCCACCACGCCAGGCTAACTTGTATTTCTTGTAGAGATGAAGTTTGGCCATGTTGCCCAGGGTGGTCGCTATCTCCTGGGCTCAAGTGATCCACCCGCCTCAGCCTCTTAAAATGCTGGGATTACAGGCATGAGCCACCGGGCCTGGTTAATTTTTGGATTTTTAGTAGAGATGAGGTTTCACCATGTTGGCCAGGCTGTTCTCAAACTCCTGGCCTCAAGTGATTTGCCCACCTCAGCCTCCTAAAGTGCTGGGATTACCAGTGTGAGCCATCGGGCCGGGCCTCTATTTTTAATAAAATAATTTAAAAAAAATTTTTTAAAGAAAAGTTGGAAGCATGAGGAGGCTTTTGTATGAAACTGTTCCCACTCCTATGGCAAGATATACTTCAAAATGTTCTAAGAAATAATTTAGTAGGTTGTTCAGAAATACCCGTGCTATGTATCAGCCATGGTTAATTCTCTCCCCAAATATTTCTTTTCCCACTATGTCATTACAATGTTCCACACAAAGGCAAAACTTGAAAACCACAGCAAACCTTGTTGTTGAAAGGGTTCACTTTGGTTCTTCATAGTTAATCCCAAACTTGGTGAGAAGAGAAAGACAACCTAGTTTTTGAAACTATGGACAATAGTTATAAATGCTGCTGAATCTTCATGGGGTACAGTGAATAGTTGAAGTAAATTATATTGCAAATAAAATCAGACTTCATGAAGCAGAGCACAATCAAAGGGAAGTTATGTTAAAGGGAAATCATTTAATTCCTTTTCAAGTAAAGAAGTTAAAGAAAACGACCCATAACACCCACCTATTTACTGTAAGAAGGTAATAACTTGTAGATTTTAGATTTTGCCGTTCGAAATTTCAGGAGATTCATGAGGCTGCGAGGACTACTTCTCATTCCTTAATCTAAATTTGCTCTTTTTTTTCAACTCAAAATTTAAAAATCTGTAACTTCAAAATAACTGCGGAAGTCAGGCCAATAATAAAAATAAGAGTGTCATAGTGAGAACAGTGAAAGAATAGGCATTTGAATCAGCCTTATCTAAATATCTGAGGATTGGCCAACATTTTCCTATTGAGTAATTATTTTCTAAAATTCCTTAAACAATATTGTGGTTTAAGAAATATGCAATGAGTTGATCACACACACATACACACACACGTGCACACACACCTCCGTCATCTAAAATGTAGGAGAAATTTCTTAATGATTCTAATTATGAGAAAAGGAGTTTTGTTACAATGGGTAAACACTCCAAGATCACTTATTCAAATAAGAGTCTTGCTAAACTATTGATCTTTAAAGCTCTTTTCATTTGCATATAGTAAAAGTACACGTGAATCCATTCATCCACCAAGAATATGCTCTACTTCTCATCTTTATTTGAAGATGTTGGTAGCCTTCTTCCTTCCCAACCAGAAAGCACTCTAGTAGCTTTACTATTTCTCTGATAATGGAAGAGTATTGAATACTTTTAATCTAATTCTGCCTTCAGTGCCCAAGAACTTCTTTTCCTGTTAAAAAGTGCTTTAGAAAATTTAAAACTAATTTCACCCTCTCCCACACCTTTCCACCTTAAATAGCTCATACCTCCTCTCCACAGGTCTTATTTTAACATATTCTATGATCAATCTTTTTAAAGCAGAGATGATGTGAACAATCTGGCAGACAGATCTCGCTTACCACCTATTTGCCAAATTGACATTTTAAGAATAATGCTCAGTATAACTCCAGAGGCTGCCATTCACTTTTAGTCCACTTTCCCCTAGAATTATGCAACTTGGTGTCCCTGGAATTGCTGGTGGTTTTGAAATGACCACAAATTTTCTTTGAAATGACTAAGACTGGCTTTGTGTAGTTCCATGAAAAAAAGTCTATTCAATCCATAGATCCTGTACCAGATTGCATGTATGGCTCACTGACAGCTCCAATTTCCCTCTGTTGGGTCCAGAGTATGTAATGAAAAGTAGGAAATTTACACATCCTCTAGTAAATTTGTATTTAGAGACTTTCATTTCACTTTTAAAGAAAATGATTTTCATTTGACAGGAAAATATACCACTCTATGTGCTCTGTGATGGTTTCAATTCTATGTCAGACATGACATCATAAATCTTATCGGCACTTAGTCAAACTTTCCTTTTCTTGGATGTTCTGATAATTTTCACACTACCTGTGTTTGCAACCCCCCGAGGATGTCTCAGTGTCGTAAGATGAATATGCTTCCCAAACTTCAGTCAGCTCTCCAGTAACTGACTTAGACCATGTGGCTGTGGGGCAGTCAGTATATTTATTTGTCCCAATGCATCCTGTGATTGCTATTGGGCAGCAGGTGAACTGATTTGATGCAATTGTTACTAAGGAAACAGTTATTTTCCATACATGGAAATAATATTAGTGACTGCACTCATCCAACTAGACTGTCTTTTGCCATGTCCCTTAGAAATTAAGGCCACCTTAGAATTGAGAAAGAAGAGGAGTACAGGAGGGAGGGATGGAGGGAAGGAAGGAAGGAAGGAAGAAGGGGAAGGGGAAGGAAGGAGGGAAGGAAAGGCAGGCCTTCATTCTGAATTTAACTTAGCATCACCGTACCACCTGCCCATCAGGCCTCGTCAGAAATGTCCATATTAAGCCCTTAGGGGAGAGTTTTGGGTAACACGCAAGTTATAAATTGTGCCTTTCCTGACTATGGAATCTTTATTCCTAAATTCCTAAATAAATAACTACAAATCTGAGTGTGTAAACAAAGACAAAGAATTTATTCTAACATAGATAATAACTCACAGAGACGAAATTAGGCTGAGAAGTTAAAGCACGTAGAGAAAGATAAATGTATAGAGGGGAAGAGTGGTAATTCTTGTTGCTAGAAAGAGGGAAGTGTTGAGCATCCCAGGAAAGCAGCAGATGGTGCTTTAAAGGCAGATCAAAGTCATCACGTGAGTAAGATGAACATTTATGCAATGACATGAGGTACAAGAACTCAATGAGAATGCAATTCTCTTTGGAATTTCTGTTCTCCTGTTATCCCCCCACCCCTTTCTCTCTCTCTCCCCCCTTTTCTCTCACTCCTACAGGGCTTCCTCAGTAATTCATTTGCTCTCTGAGACTGATAGTCATAGTTATCGACTCAGGCAGTGTCTGTAGGATATCGAAGAACAAAGTGAATTACTGATGTGGTCGATTTGGTGAAGAAAAACATCAATATCATGATCAGACTGAATTGATTGGTCTGTTCAGATATTCTAACGTAAGTAATGCTCTTGACTTCTCTAACATGCAGCTTTACTTTATTTCATTTTATTTTATTATTATTTTTTGAAACGGAGTCTTGCTCTGTCACCCAGGCTGGAGTGCAGTGGCACGATCGTGACTCACTGCAACCTATGCCTCCTGGGTTCAAGCCATTCTCTGCCTCAGCCTCCCGAGTAGCCGGGATTACAGGTGCCTGCCACCACGCCTGGCTAATTTTTGTATTTTTAGTAGAGATGGGGTTTCACCATCCTGGCCACGCTGGTCTTGAACTCCCGACCTCATGATCCACCCGCCTCGGCCTCCCAAAATGCTGGGATTACAGGAGTGAGCCACTGTGCCAGCCTACTTTTTATTTTTATAAAAGTTGTTTTATTAATGGAATAGGAAAAATAAATCCTGTATGAATCATCTGAATTTTACCCTGAATTTTCTCCAATATTAGGGCTAACCTTCCACACTACTGAAAAAGAGGGGTTAAAAAATAGGTTCAGAGATGTGTATTAAAATTGCCCCACTGAATGAGACCATCAAGTGTGAATAAGCCATCATTATTTAAGGAGATCTTGTGGACTGGTTAATGAAATAATTTGGTTGAGTGTCATCACATAGGCATATTTCAGTCAAGATTTTTTAAGTGAAATACAAAATACTTACCTGGTTAATCTGAGACTACTTTCTTCTTGTTGCTGAGGATGGCAAATGGAAACATCCAGTTGTCTCAAACTAACACAATGAAAGTCCATGATTACTTTGCCAACAATTGTTTTATTGGAGGGAGGGCTGAATAAACATGGGGACGCTATTCTTTTTAGTTAAAATGTAAGTGCTAACTCCTATACTGTTTTTCACCGTAATTAATTCTGCAGCCAATTTTTTTTCAAAGGTACATTATTGATGTCATGATAGCTGTATCTTGAATGAAGGGCTGTTGAGGATCTCTAAGTGCAGATCCATTTACCTACATTCACCACCATCCCTCCGAAAGCATCTGACTTTTCATGCTACTTAAAAGCTTCTCTAAACTTTGTACTACACTCAAATTAATCCAAGCCAGAATGGTATTACCCCTACCTGACTGCATAGAAAGAGACTTCAACATTTACGAAAATACAGATGAGCGCACACACCAAAGTGGGTTGAGTGCTGTGAGCAAGGTGGCTGGATTAGACACAGTGTGGCCACGCCAACTGGGTCATCTTTGTTCTATTCTACTGTCAAATAATGGTGGGAGACGTTTTCGTTTATTCATTCAAACAGTCAAAATCACCACACTACTTAGATAGCATTTGATCATTCTGAGAGCACAGACTGGGAAGAGCAAAAGGAATGAATTGGCACAAGTTTAATAGGCTCACTTCCGGCAGAACTTACATATATATATAGCACCTAAGATAATCCATTCCTTCCTTCCTAGTAGATACCTGTTGTTGAGTACGCAAATGGTGTCAGTGCACACAGACAATCTTAAAATGGCCACAAGACAGCAAACTGCAGTCACGCAGTCTAGTGAACAGACATCGTTCAGAGTAAATTTCAAACTCTTAGCCTCTGAGTAAGTTGGAACCCTATCCTATTAGTCCTTCAGAAACTATTGGAGCCTTCAACTTTTGCAAAGACAGAATGTGACAAAAGCACTGTGACAAGAATTTTACTCCCAGGTTAGAAAGTCTCTGTTGATAAAAGGTATTTAGTTCACTGTGGTGACAAACTCATTTAATGGATAGATGATCCCAAAGCTTTACACTGATAAGTGTTTTTGTTGTTTTTATTGCCATAAAAGTTGGAATTTACCTTATTAGTAAATCCAAATGGTCTCTTCATCCAGACCTTAAAAAATCATGATACTCATGTCTTGAATACTTTCCTTACACTTTGTGATCCAAAATCATCACCAACCATCATTTTGATGGCTGGAACATCTTCATATTTAAGTCAATGCAGTCTTTGTGGTGGTCACGGAAGAAACTAGCTGCAAAATATTGTAAGTTGCAAGGCATTTTCTTGAACAATCTGGCATAAGGCAGTAAACTCTATGGCCCAATTTTTCCTCCATAATAAAGCAAGAACAGAAAGCTGAGTTAAAAATAAGCTGCTGAAAGAAAGCGAAAATTTTCCATCGCCGCTCTTCCCCCGTACCTGACTCCCACCTTTCAATACAGCTATTAATCAATCACTCCCTCGCTGAGCTCTCCTTCAGTGACATCTGCTATTTTGCTCTCCTTTGCCATCATGTTCAACTCAGAAGACAGCCTGGAAATTCACGATGGCCAGGCAAGTGGAACTTCAGCTGCTAAGCACTGACCATACTCTCCCTCTCCTAGCTCTTCACGTTTCCTAATTGGGGCCATGCAGAGATGGTGGTGGCTCCCAGGACGAAGTGCCTGAGGACAGTGCCTCTTGTCCTCATATTCTTGTTAGAAAGAATCCAGAATGAATAAGTAAACTCAAGAGCCCAGAGGAGGTGATCCCTGTCTTTCTACCACGGTGACATCTTTCTCTCCCTGAAATTCTTACCTTCCTAGATGAATGCATCTGGAGGAGAAAGAGGGAGAAAGTTGCTGTGATGGGAGAGGCATGATATATTGGGTGAGTAGAGTGAAAGTGGAGGGGATGGGAGGGCATCGTTTCCAGTCTACTTGGAAATAATCCTTCCTTAATATATTTACAGCTAGGAAAAGCATGTGTTGGCTACAACTCAATTAAACTAATTAATCACATAAGTGTCCACTTAAAGAGGCAAGAGTTACACCAGGCTCAGAGAACATTGGCCTCATCCAAACTCATTGCAGAGTTGAGGAACCTAAACCCAGAGAGGTGACACTGACTCCCAAGAATTTAGGATCTTGAACCTGTAAGGGAGCCTAGGAAAAACTTGAATGTGATGACATATTTCGGTGCTTGTTTTGCAATGAAAATGACGTTATTCTATGGTGTGCTTTCTGAAATAAGAATTTGGAGTTGGCTCCTACCATCTTCTTGTCAGCATTAAGCAGTACGAAGGGAAACATACGAAACATACCCCACCTAAGATGTTGAAGACTTTCTCATCAACTCTCCAGTGTTTTCAAACTGATCCAATAGAAAAGATACTTTTTTTCTTATCCAATTTTGCTTTGATGGAATCTATACTTAGTGTTTGTTTTGTTTTGTTTTAATTTTATGAGACAGGGTCTCACTGTCACCCAGGATGAAGTGCAGTGGGGCAATCACAGCTCACTGCAGTCTACTGAAACTCCCTGGCTCAAGTGATCTCTCAGCCTGCTGACTATCTGGGACCACAGGCACAGGCCACCACGCCCGGCTAATTTTTGTATTTTTTTTTTATAGAGACGGTGTCTCCCTATGTTGCCCAGGCTGATTTCGAACTTCTGGGCTCAAGCTGTCTTCCGGCCTCGGCCTCCCGAAGTGCTGGGACTACATGGGTGAGCCACTGCTCCCTGCCAACTTTTTGTTTTTTAACCTAACAAAAATGTTTCACAAATTAATGCCAAAATAAAACAAACGTTTAGCGGCCATCAAAGCTATGGAGAGACTCTATTATAACTTGAACCGCTGGGGACGTGCCGCCTGAGAGCACATCCAAGCGACACCGCCCTAATTGCAATTCCAGCATGGAAGAAAAAAGGAAATGTTGTCCCGTGTTATGAATGGCTTCAGCTGCTCTCTATGCTGCTGTTGCATGTTTACTGAATCGAGGTTCGAATTAAGCAGGCTGCCTCCATTGCGGACAGGTCTGAGACATTCTCATTTGGCCCCGAACGCCTGGACCCCAGCGAGCGGGCGGTTCCCTGGCGGCGGTGACCACCGTTGTGCTCGCTGCCTCCACGCGGCGCCCGTCAACCCCACGTGCTCGCAGCCGCGCGGCGGGGCCGGGCGCCCGGAGCTGACCTCAGCCCCCAGGACAGAAAGGGTGGCCAAACGCAGACCTGGCAACCCCCCGAGTCGGCGACCACAGATTGCTGGTGGCTGCGCCACGGTTTCGGGAGGGTCAGCCCCTCGCTGGGTTCTCAGGGCACTAAGAAAAGAGGGGCATGCGAGCCTGGAAGCTGGAGAGAGTCCGGGGCTCCCCAGAGCGGGTGGGACGCCGCGTCCCCAGGACTCCGCGCCACGCGTACTTTCTCCACCCCGACACCCACTGCCACTCCCACAGCGGAGCGAGGGGCCCCGCCGAGGGCGAGCGTACCCCGTGCGGCTGAGATGCCCGGAACGCCTCCCCGCGCCCCGGCTTCCCCAGAAGGGGCCACAGTCGGCCCGCGAGTCCCCGGGCGGGGGCTGAGCCGCAGTGCCAACCAAGGCGAGGTCACCTTGGCCCGCGCGCCTTTCATTCCAGGGCCCCTCCGGCAGAGAGGTGACTGCAGGTCACCGCCAGCCGGGCCCTTACTCCCCGCCTCCGCCGTCCCGGCCCCCACACCCCGGAACCTCCCCGGCGGAGCCTGCGAGCCCGGGAACGCGGTCCCAGCCAGAGTGGAAGGGATAGCGCGGGAACCCGGCAGAGAGAAAAAGCGGGAACTGGGCGCCGCCGCTTCACGATCGGGAGGAGATTCCCTCCCGGCCCCTCCTGGATCCCACTCCGGGGACCGTTTCGGGGCTAGAGCCCAGGCTGGGAGAGTCCCTGGGCGCATCCACCGCCCCTTCCAACTTCCTTCTTCTCATCCTCAGTTCGGGTGGCAGTGGCCACCCGCCGGGTCTGCAGGTGGAGGGGAGTTTGCGCGCAAAACTTACGGTCGGCGGCGGCCACCCCTCCGCGGGAGGCGGTCAGACTCTGGAGCCACACGGCCAGAGTCAGCACGAGCAGGGCTTTGCTCTCCATCTCGGGGCGCGTCCCTCTGGAGGAGCTGCAAGGCGCGGACCGACTGATGAGCCGGCTGAGCCGGAGGCTGGAGAGGGCTGGAGCCGCGGTTTGGCGCTGAGCAAGTCGCCCTTTAAAGGGGATGGCAGGGCAGCTAGAAGTGGGCAGCTTTCCCTTGAGGAGGAGGAAGAGGGGGAATCGAGTCTGACACTGTTTTCACGCCAAGGCTGCTTATGTGACTGGAAATATGCAAATAAACCTCATCACCTATTGGCTATAAAATCATAAGTTGGGGGGAGGGACCTAAATTCACTTCTAAACGTTTGAGCAAACAGTAATGAGGATCAACCCTGCCAACGAGAAGAGGGGGAAAGGGCAGACGGAAAAATTTGCTTTGTTAGGCTCCTGTTCGCTTAGCTTAAGGGGTTCCACTCTACCCGGGGGCCCCCTGTCTAAGCACCAAACACAGGTTTACATCGATTCACGTTAAATACTCAACAATCACCTGTTTTCCAAGGAGGGAAAGTTTAGCTGTTAAATTACATTTGATCGGCACTTTAATACACCTCTCTTTTGACGAATCCTGTTTGTCACTTGCAGTCCTCCCTCACTCACCCCGCACCCCATCCCCACCCCCGCAAAGTCAATGTAGGGATAGAGGGACACACATTGCGTCCCAGCTTGTGCTTGTACAATCTGGTGTTTTAACATTGGCAAGATGGATCAGCTTATGTGATGGAGAAAAGCCTACTTGCTCTAACTAGTTTCTAATTTTTGTCTCATGCAAATTATTCTCAATCCTCAAACTCATCAAGGAATGCAAGGATAATATTTTATGTTCAGAGGCAGAACATCGAGGTCAAATAATCTAAAGCCGTATTGAGTTATGATAAGTGAAAGAAGATAGTCGCAAAAGACACATATTGTATGATTCCATTTAAAGTGTCCACAAATAGACAAATCCATAGAGACCAAAAGTAGATCAGTGCTTGCCTGGGGCTGGGTAATTAATAGGGGAAGGGAAGAATAGAGATTTGGGGGTAGTTGATGACAATGTTCTAGATTACATTATGCTGATGCTGCACAACTCTGTAAATATACTAAAAGCAACAGAATTATGCACTTTCAATGGGAGAATTATATAGTGTGTAAATTATAGGTCAGTAAAGCTATTTTTAAATGGATAAGAGGCATGCACATAAAATAAGAAAAAAATAACATTAGATACTATGCTTTTCTGCCAAAATGCTTGGAATACTTTTAAATATCTTTTTAAATATAAGGGATTTACATTAGCCAGGAAGGACAATGAAGTGTATCCCCAACCCCCTCTCAGTTTATGGCTGAGAAACTGGCTCATCAAATCAGAACCTCCAATCTACTATATTTATGGTCTGAATATTTTTAATGTCCCCTTTTATTCATCCCACCCTCCGTCACACACACACAAACATACAATGCACAATTGTAGGTTAGAACAATGAAATGCTTTTTAAAAAACTGGGCTCACTTTTTAAGTTTTTCTCAAAAAATGAAATAAAAGTTGATAATACCCAAATATTTCAAAGGTCTCTATTCTGCATAACAATTCTATCTTTAAGTTGATGCATTCCGTGCCACAACACAACACACCGTCTTGTATTGCAATTATTACACAATATACTGTGCACGTTCACTCTAACCTACAAAGTATGTAGAGAATCTTGAAACCTGCCAAAAATTAAACTTCGCAGAACTTTAGAAGTGGCAGAACAGACCATGCAAGGGATGAATAACTATGATATGGCCGTCCTCCAAAAATCATGTAGTAAACTCTAATTTTAAAAAATGACAGAAGATGAATACAATTGCATTGGATGTGTTCATGGTGTGAATGGCATATAAACAGACGTGCAGAACTGCCTGCTATCTTATATAGAATACTCCTGCAGCCTATTTTCATGCATAAATGTCCTTTGATAAGACAACCAAATCAAACTGCACTTCTGTGCCTTTCAGAAAACTGCAAGGAGATTTTATATAATTGCTAAGGGAAAGTCTGATACTTATAGCGTATTTTTAAAATGATTTCCCAGGCTAACCAGATAACAAAATTAAAGCACTCAAGAGTTGGAGGATATGTAATATTTAAATATGAATCCAGTTTGGAGTGAACTGTGCCATTAGCACGTCCAATAGAGTTGCTGAGATTTCCAGGAAGACTTAATTTACAGCAGCTTAGCCTGGTTAAAAAAAAAAAAAAAGCAAGACAGGTTGGCTCCTCTCCCAGGGCCAGCGCGGAGCAGGTGGGTGTGGCGGCAACGTTCTCTCCTGATTGGCTGCACTGGGAGCCATCAGGTGCCCGCCTTCTAACGCAGAAACTCACATGATCTCTAGGTCAGGATTGCATGTGCATTAGTGAAGCGACTCATCCAAACTTTGGCGAGGTTACTCGGCCTTCAGTAGCTCAAGGCTTGACTTTTTCCATAATTGGCATTTCCTTTGTAACAAACTAAGTTTTAGGTGAGAAGAAGCTAACAGTACCCCTTTAGCAGGACACTTGCCACTGGGACACATTTAAAATTACCTAAGTAAAAACTTGAATGTGCATATCTAATGAAACAACTGGAAATTCTGGATGTAGGGAAGCATTATTTAGCTGGCCAGCCAGCTAGCTAGCTAGCTTGCTTATTTTGATTGAAGGCCTGCTAATTGCACTGGGCACTTTTCATCTTCTACTGTGTTTAATCATTACAAAAGCACTCCAAACTCAATAATATTCCCCTTCTACAGATGAGGGAAGATGAAGCTCAGGGAAGATTAAATAACAGCAACCACAAATCATAAGATGTTTTTTCTTTGGCGATCCTAGCCGAGAAGCAAATATGTATTTGATGTGCTATATTTTAATGTTGCAGCAATTGCAAACAGGAATAGGCTGGGAATCAGATTTTTTTTGTACACACATATTTTAATGTAGATTTTTATTTTGTGGCTTTCTTACTAAAGTAAAATACAATGAAATGTGTAAGTAGGCTCTAAAGAACATCAGTACTGAGTCGGATCTTGTCCTTATAAAAAGTATAATTAATGTAAGAAAACATACTAATACAAATAAAATGTATAAATACAAAGTCATAATTATTTAAAAATATTGTAAAATCTATTGAATTTTTAAAACATTTTATTATTATTATAGTTTGAGTTTTAGGGTAAATGTGCACAACGTGCAGGTTTGTTACATATGTATACCTGTGCCATGTTGGTGTGCTGCACCTATTAACTTGTCATTTACATTAGGTATATCTCCTAATGCTATCCCTCCCCCTCCCCCCACCCCACAACAGTCCCCAGTGTGTGATGTTCCCCTTCCTGTGTCCATGTGTTTGCATTGTTCAATTCCCACCTATGAGTGAGAACATGTGGTGTTTGGTTTTTTGTCCTTGTGATAGTTTGCTGAGAATGATGTTTTCCAGTTTCATCCATGTCCCTACAAAGGACATGAACTCATCATTTTTTATGGCTGCATAGTATTCCATGGTGTATATGTGCCACATTTTCTTAATCCAGTCTATCGTTGTTGGACATTTGGGTTGGTTCCAAGTCTTTGCTATTGTGAATAGTGCCACAATAAACATACATGTGCATGTGTCTTTATAGCAGCATGATTTATAATCCTTCGGGTATATACCCAGTAATGGGACGGCTGGGTCAAATGGTATTTCTAGTTCTAGATCCCTGAGGAATCACCACACTGACTTCCACAATGGTTGAACTAGTTTACAGTCCCACCAACAGTGTAAAAGTGTTCCTATCTCTCCACATCCTCTCCAGCACCTGTTGTTTCCTGAGTTTTTAATGATCGCCATTCTAACTGGTGTGAGATGGTATCTCATTGTGGTTTTGATTTGCATTTCTCTGATGGCCAGTGAGCATTTTTTCATGTGTCTTTTGGCTGCATAAATGTCTTCTTTTGATAAGTGTCTGTTCATATCCTTCGCCCACTTTTTGATGGGTTTGTTTGTTTTTTTCTTGTAAATTTGTTTGAGTTCATTGTAGATTCTGGATATTAGCCCTTTGTCAGATGAGTAGGTTGCGAAAATTTTCTCCCATTCTGTAGGTTGCCTGTTCACTCTGATGGTAGTTTCTTTTGCTGTGCAGAAGCTCTTTAGTTTAATTAGATACCATTTGTCAATTTTGGCTTCTGTTGCCATTGCTTTTGGTGTTTTAGTCATGAAGTCCTTGACCATGCCTATGTCCTGAATGGTATTGCCTAGGTTTTCTTCTAGGGTTTTTATGCAGTTAGATCTAACATTTAAGTCTTTAATCCATCTTAAATTAATTTTTGTATAAGGTGTAAGGAAGGGATCCAGTTTCAGCTTTTTACATATGGCTAGCCAGTTTTCCCAGCACCATTTATTAAATAGGGAATACTTTCCCCATTTCTTGTTTTTGTCAGGTTTGTCAAAGATCAGATAGTTGTAGATATAGGACATTATTTCTGAGGCCTCTGTTCTGTTCCATTGATCTATATCTCTGTTTTGGTACCACTACCATGCTGTTTTGGTGACTGTAGCCTTGTAGTATAGTTTGAAGTCAGGTAGCGTGATGCCTCCAGCTTTGTTCTTTTGGCTTAGGATTGACTTGGCGATGCGGTCTCTTTTTTGGTTCCATATGAACTTTAAAGTAGTTTTTTCCAATTCTGTGAAGAAAGTCATTGGTAGCTTGATGGGGATGGCATTGAATCCATAAATTACCTTGGGCAGTATGGCCATTTTCACGATATTGAATCTTCCTAGCCATAAGCGTGGAATGTTCTTCCATTTGTTTGTATCCTCTTTTATTTCCTTGAGCAGTGGTTTGTAGTTCTCCTTGAAGAGGTCCTTCACATCCTTGTAAGTTGGATTCCTAGGTATTGTATTCTCTTTGAAGCAATTGTGAATGGGAGTTCACTCATGATTTGGCTCTCTGTTTGTCTGTTATTGGTGTATAAGAATGCTTGTGATTTTTGTACATTGATTTTGTATCCTGAGACTTTGCTGAAGTTGCTTATCAGCTTGAGAAGATTTTGGGCAGAGATGATGGGGTTTTCTAGATGTACAATCATGTCATCTGCAAACAGGGACAATTTGACTTCCTCTTTTCCTAATTGAATACCCTTTATTTCCTTCTCCTGCCTGATTGCCCTGGCCAGAACTTCCAACACTATGTTGAATAGGAGTGGTGACAGAGGGCATCCCTGTTTTGTGCCAGTTTTCAAAGGGAATGCTTCCAGTTTTTGCCCATTCAGTATGATATTGGCTGTGGGTTTGTCATAGATAGCTCTTATTATTTTGAGATACGTCTCATCAATACCTAATTTATTGAGAGTTTTTAGCATGAAGGGTTGTTGAATTTTGTCAAAGGCCTTTTCTGCATCTATTGAGATAATCATGTGGTTTTTGTCATTGGTTCTGTTTATATGCTGGATTACGTTTATTGATTTGCATATGTTGAACCAGCCTTGCATCCCAGGGATGAAGCCCACTTGATCATGGTGGATAAGCTTTTTGATGTGCTGCTGGATTCGGTTTGCCAGTATTTTATTGAGGATTTTTGCATCAATGTTCATCAAGGATATTGGTCTAAAATTCTCTTTTTTGGTTCTGTCTCTGCCAGGCTTTGGTATCAGGATGATGCTGGCCTCATAAAATGAGTTAAGGAGGATTCCCTGTTTTTCTTTTGATGGGAACAGTTTCAGAAGGAATGGTACCAGCTCCTCCTTGTACCTCTGGTAGAATTCAGCTGTGAATCCATCTGGTCCTGGACTTTTTTTGTTTGGTAAGCTATTGATTATTGCCTCAATTTCAGAGCCTGTTATTGGTCTATTCAGAGATTCAACTTCTTCCTGGTTTAGTCTTGGGAGGATGTACGTGTTGAGGAGTTTATCCATTTCTTCTAGACTTTCTAGTTTATTTGCATAGAGGTGTTTATAGTATTCTCTGAGGGTAGTTTGTATTTCTGTGGGATTGGTGGTGATATCCCCTTTATCATTTTTTATTGCATCTATTTGATTCTTCTCTCTTTTCTTCTTTATTAGTCTGGCTAGCAGTCTATCAATTTTGTTGATCTTTTCAAAAAACCAGCACCTGGATTCATTAATTTTTTGAAGGGTTTTTTGTGTCTCTATTTCCTTCAGTTCTGCTCTGATCTTAGTTATTTCTTGCCTTCTGCTAGCTTTTGAATGTGTTTGCTCTTGCTTTTCTAGTTCTTTTAATTGTGATGTTAGGGTGTCAATTTTAGATCTTTCCTGCTTTCTCTTGTGGGCAATTTAGTGCTATAAATTTCCCTCTACACAGTGCTGTGAATGTGTCCCAGAGATTCTGGTATGTTGTGTCTTTGTTCTCGTTGGTTTCAAAGAACATCTTTATTTCTGCCTTCATTTCGTTATGTACCCGGTAGTCATTCAGGAGCAGGTTGTTCAGTTTCCATGTAGTTGAGCAGTTTTGAGTGAGTTTCTTATACCTGAGTTCTAGTTTGATTGCACTGTGGTCTGAGAGACAGTTTGTTATCATTTCTGTTCTTTTACATTTGCTGAGGAGTGCTTTACTTCCAACTATGTGGTCAATTTTGGAATAGGTGTGGTGTGGTGCTGAAAAGATGTATATTTTGTTGATTTGGGGTGGAGAGTTCTGTAGATGTCTATTAGATCAGCTTGGTGCAGAGCTGAGTTCAATTCCTGGGTATCCTTGTTAACTTTCTGTCTCGTTGATCTGTCTAATGTTGACAGTGGGGTGTTAAAGTCTCCCATTATTATTGTGTGGGAGTCTAAGTCTCTTTGTAGGTCACTAAGGACTTGCTTTATGAATCTGGGTGCTCCTGTATTGGGTGCACATATATTTAGGATAGTTAGTTCTTCTTGTTGAATTGATCCCTTTACCATTATGTAATGGCCTTCTTTGTCTCTTTTGATCTTTGTTGGTTTAAAGTCTGTTTTATTAGAGACTAGGATTGCAACCCCTGCCTTTTTCTGTTTTCCATTTTCTTGGTAGATCTTCCTCCATTCCTTTATTTTGAGCCTATGTGTGTCTCTGCACATGAGATGGGTCTCCTGAATACAGCACACTGATGGGTCTTGATTCTTTATCCAATTTGCCAGTCTGTGTCTTTTAATTGGAGCATTTAGCCCATTTACATTCAAAGTTAATATCGTTATCTGTGAATTTGATCCTGTCGTTTTGATGTCAGCTGGCTATTTTGCTCGTTAGTTGATGCAGTTTCATCCTAGCCTTGATGGTCTTTACAATTTGGCATGTTTTTGCAGTGGCTCGTACTGGTTGTTCCTTTCCATGCTTAGTGCTTCCTTCAGGAGCTCTTTTAGGGCAGGCCTGGTGGTGACAAAATCTCTCAGCATTTGCTCGTCTGTAAAGTATTTTATTTCTCCTTCAGTTATGAAGCTTAGTTTGGCTGGATATGAAATTCTGGGTTGAAAATTCTTTTCTTTAAGAATGTTGAATATTGGCCCCCACTCTCTTCTGGCTTGTAGAGTTTCTGCCGAGAGATCCGCCGTTAGTCTGATGGGCTTCCCTTTGTGGGTAACCCGACCTTTCTCTCTGGCTGCCCTTAACATTTTTTCCTTCATTTCAACTTTGGTGAATCTGACAATTATGTGTCTTGGAATTGCTCTTCTCGAGGAGTATCTTTGTGGCATTCTCTGTATTTCCTGAATCTGAATGTTGGCCTGCCTCGCTAGATTGGGGAAGTTCTCCTGGATAATATCCTGCAGAGTGTTTTCCAACTTGGTTCCATTCTCCCCGTCACTTTCAGGTACACCACTCAGATGTTGATTTGGTCTTTTCCCATACTCCCATATTTCTTGGAGGCTTTGTTCATATCTTTTTATTCTTTTTTCTCTAAACTTCTCTTCTTGCTTCATTTCATTCATTTCGTCTTCCATCACTAATACCCTTTCTTCCAGTTGATCGCATTGGCTACTGAGGCTTCTGCATTCATCAGGTAGTTCTCGTGCCTTGGTTTTCAGCTCCGTCAGGTCTTTTAAGGACTTCTCTGCATTGGTTATTCTAGTTACCCATTCGTCTAATTTTTTTTCAGTTTTTAACTTCTTTGCCATTGGTTCATACTTACTCCTGTAGCTCGGAGTAGTTTGATCATCTGAGGCCTTCTTCTCTCAACTTGTCAAAGTCATTCTCCGTCCAGCTTGTTCTCTTGCTGGTGAGGAGCTGCATTCTTTTGGAGGAGAAGAGGCACTCTGATTTTCAGAGTTTGCAGTTTTTCTGCTCTGTTTTTTCCCCATCTTTGTGGTTTTATCTACATTTGGTCTTTGATGATGGTGACATACAGATGGGTTTTTGGTGTGGATGTCCTTCCTGTTTGTTAGTTTTCCTTCTAACAGACAGGACCCTCAGCTGCGAGTCTGTTGGAGTTTGCTAGAGGTCCACTCCAGACCCTGTTTGCCTGGGTATCAGCAGCGGTGGCTGCAGAACAGAGGATATTGGTGAACCGCAAATGCTGCTGCCTGGTCGTTCCTCTAGAAGTTTTGTCTCAGAGTAGTACCTGGCCGTGTGAGGTGTCAGTCCACCCCTACTGACGGGTGCCTTACAGTTAGGCTACTTGGAGGTCAGGGACCCACTTGAGGAGGCAGTCTGCCTGTTCTCAGATCTCCAGCTGCGTGCTGGGAGAACCAGTACTCTCTTCAAAGCTGTCAGACAGGGACATTTAAGTCTGCAGAGGTTACTGCTGTCTTTTTGTTTGTCTGTGCCCTGCCCCCAGAGGTGGAGCCTACAGAGGCAGGCAGGCCTCCTTGAGCTGTGGTGGGCTACACCCAGTTTGAGCTTCCGGGCTGCTTTATTTACCTAATCAAGTCTCAGCAATGGCAGGCGCCACTCCCCCAGCCTCACTGCCACTTTGCAGTTTGATCTCAGACTGCTGTGCTAGCGATGAGCGAGACTCCGTGGGTGTAGGACCCTCTGAGCCATGTGCGGGATATAATCTCCTGGTGTGCCGTTTTTTAAGCCCGTTGGGAAAGCACAATATTAGGGTGGGAGTGACCCGATTTTCCAGGTGCCGTCTGTCACACCTTGCTTTGACTAGGAAAGGAAATTCCCTGACCCCTTGCGCTTCCCAGGTGAGGCGGTGCCTCGCCCTGCTTCGGCTCGCGCATGGTGCGCTGCACCCACTGTCCTGCACCCACTGTCTGGCACACCCCAGAGAGATGAACCCAGTACCTCAGTTGGAAATGCAGAAATCACCCGTCTTCTGCATTGCTCATGCTGGGAGCTGTAGACCAGAGATGTTCCTATTTGGCCATCTTGGCTCCTCCCCTATTGACTTTTTAAATAAGAAAGAACAAAGATGTTTACTGAAAGTTGTCATATAAGGCTTTCCCACCACCACCCACTCACATCTGTCCTTTAAATTGTAGCACAAACTGGCTCTGAACAGAGATGATAATGTGTTGCTGAAGGTAAGGATGAAGTTGAGATTGGCAGCCCTTGGACCTGGAAATATGGTGGGATGTGGGGAGCACTGCTTCAAACCATAAGTGTAGAATGACCTGGACACATTTTAAAGATTTTAGTTGTCCTGAGTTGGGGATGTTCATGCCCTGCCCCTTTCCAAAAACTATGGAAAAACAAAACTACTTTAAGAGAGAGGAAGAAATAATATAATCATCATTAAAAGATTTGTCTGAATAAAATTAAGAAGGTAAATTTCAAAACAATTTTTAAAAAGAGAGAATTCTTTAAAAAGCCAGTGCATTGCAATAATGCCTCCAGGAAGAGACTTCATGTTAAGGGGAAAGGGAAAGAGCATGGCCGGGTGCGGTGGCTCATGCCTGTAATCCCGACACTTTAGGAGGCCAAATTAGGAGTTGAGACCACCTTGGCCAACATGGTGAAACCCCGTCTCTACTAAAAATAGAAAATTAGCCAGCAGTGGTGGCAGGTGCCTGTAACCCCAGCTCCTCAGGAGCCTGAGGCCCCAGAATTGCTTGAACCCAGGAGGTGGAGGTTGCAGTGAGCTGAGAGCACACCACTGGACTCCAGCCTAGATGACAGAGTGAGACACTGTTTCAAAAAAAAAAGGAAAGACAAGAAAAAGAGTAGAGCACACTATCCAGGTGATGTCCCAGAGGAACTGGGGAACCAAGGGCGAGCACCTCACACACACACACACACACACACACACACACAAAGAATATCCCACAAATAACCCACTGGATTTCTAATTCATGTTCGTTTATAAGTAGTTTCCCCCCTTTTCAAAACAAAACGAAACAAAATAAAAAATGTAAGTCCATGTAGAAGATTAAAGAAAACTTTGAGACCCAGCTAATGATTGGAATATGGAACATCATGAATGTTTTTTGCTGATGGTTTCACTTTCAGAGGTAACTTCAGACCCATGTCAAAGGCCTGCTCTGAAAACGAGCTTAGCCCCATTTAGCAGAAGATGAGTTTGAGATGCCCCCTGCTGACTTCCTGGTGATACTGTAATATCCCAGAAAAGCCCTTGTAACAGGCTTGAAACAGAACTGACTTACTTGAGCTTTCTTTTTTTCTTTTTTCTTTTTTTGAGACTGTCTCGCTCTGTTGCCCAGGCTGCAGTGCAGTAGCACAACCAGGGTTCACTGCAGCCTGAAACTACCAGGCTCAAGCAGTTCTCCCACCTCAGCCTCCTGAGTAGCTGGGACCACAGGTGTGCGCCATCATGCCCGGCTAATTTTTGTATTTTAGTAGAGGTGGGGGTCTTGCTGTGCCCAGGCTGTTCTCGAACTCCTGGGCTCGAGTGATCCACCTGCCTCAGCCTGCCAAAGTGCTGGTATTACTAGCATGAGGTACTGGGCCAGATCTGAACTTTCTTGTTTGTTTTTTTCAACCATAAATAACCTGAAGGAAAGTATTGTTCTTTCCCTGTCTGGGGTATTTCCCACAGCATCTAATGGTGCTGGGAAGTTAGGAGGTTCTTAGCCAATTGTTGTTGCATGAATTAACAACACTGAGTAAAAGATGATCCAGTGTCAAATGGGGGAGAAAGCAGGGTTCCTTTTATTTTAAACTTTTACTAGATTTATTAATTATGAAACTACAACCACAAAACCACACACACACACACACACACACACACACACACATACACAGACACATAATTAAGTTTACGTAGCTCAAATCTGGGTTGGAAAAATGGAGGACAACTTCATTTGATTGGAAATTTTGCTGGCATAGTATCTTTCTCTTTGTTTCTTTCTTTCTTTTCCTTCCTTCCTTTCTTTTTTTTTTTTTTTTTTTTTTTTGACAAAGTCTTGCTCTGTCACACATGCTGGATGGAGTGCAGTGACGCAATCATGGCTCACTGCAGCCTCTACCTCCTGAGCTCAGCTCAGGCAATCCTACCAGGCTCAGGCAATCCTCCTACCCCAGTCTCCTGAGTAGCTGGGACTACCAGCATATTCCACCACACCTGGCTCATTAAATTTTTTTTTTCTTTTTGTACAGATAGAGGTGTCCCTGTGTTGCCCTGGCAGTCTTGAACTCCTGGGTTCAAGTGATCCTGCTGCCTCATCTTCCCAAAGTGCTGGGATTACAGGTGTGAGCCACCTTGTTCAGCCTCTTCTTCTAATTAACTCTTTAGTTGAAAAAGTAATCTGTTGTTAACCAAAACAAAAACACTAAAATCGAAATTTCAAACAGTACAAAATTATGTACAAGCAAACAAAAATCTTTCTCTAACCTAAGACTTCCAATCCCCTAGTCATTCTCCACATGCTGCTAGTTTCCTTTCTTATAAAGTTTACCTTTCCAGAAAAGTCTATGAACACGCAAGCATAAATGTGTTTGTAAATGTGTGCATATGTGTGTATTTATCCACACACATACAACTTACTTTTTACAGTAATGTCAGCGTACCATGAGCAGTCTTCTGCAATTTATATTTTTCACCTAACAATATGTCTTAGAGATTAGCTCCTTGAGGAAGAGATATTTTGTTTCTTTCTTCTTTGGGCCACATAAGATTTTCTTATTTGGTTTTGTCTTCATTTATTTAATCAGACACCTGTTGATAGTTATTTAGATATTTTTGTAATATAAACCATGCTATAGTAAATACAAATTCTTTAAAATTATTGAGTCAAAAAGCATAAGTGTTTATTATTCTAATAAGTAAAGTCACCTCTCTGCCAATGAAACTGCACAAATTTACATTCTACCTACAGTGTAGAATGATTGATTGTAGACATTCTGGCCATTACTGTGTGAGGCTGAACTATTTAACAATTTTGCAGGTATAACGTGGTCTCTTCTTTAGTTTATATTTTATATCATCGTCATCATCATAATAACTAACTTTCATATAGCACTTACTATGTGCCAGGCATTGTTCTAAAAGCTTCACATATATGAACTACTTTAATATATAACAGGTCTGTTGAGATATAGTTTAAATATACAATTCATCTACTTAGTATATAATTAAATGGTTTTTAGTTTATTCGCAGGAATATGCAACCATCACCAATTTTAGGCCATTTAGTCACCTCCAAAGAAGCTCTGCACCCATTAGCACTTAATCCCCCCTCCCCTGCCTCCAACTGTAGGCTAGTTTCTGTCTCTATAGATTTACCTATTCTAGACATTTCATATACACAATCATATAATACGTGGTTCTTATAACTGGCTTTCAGTTAGCATATTATTTTTAAGGTTCATCCATGTTGAAGCATCTATCAGTACTTCATTCCTTTTTATTGCCAAATAATATTCCACCATATATCATGCATTCTATTTATCCATTTATCAGTTGACAGATATTTGGGTTGTTTCTTCTTTGGGGCTATTTGATTAATGCTGCTATGAACAGTTGTGTACAAGTTTTTATGTGGACAATATGTTTGCAGTTCTCTGGAATATACAGGAGTAGATTTGCTAAGTCACACGGTAACCGTGTGTTTAAGTCTTTGAGGAATTGCTAGACTTTTAAACACCTCTTTCTCCATGGAATTTTCCAGGTTTCCCTCTGAGAGTTAGTAACCATCTCCTTGTGTTACAAATTGGTGTTCATATCTTGATTGTTGTACTTATAATATCATATTATTCACTGTCTGTGTATTACATGAAATTGTGACTTCCCCCAAGTTGGGGATGAAATCTCATTTATAGTCCTGGTATCCTTACCAGTGAGAGTAGAGCTGGGTAGCAGAGTATGTACTCAAACATTTACATGAACAAGTGATTGAATAAAGGAAGAAGTAAAAGTGTGAAAGGTAAAAATCAGTATATACTGCCAGCTATTTAATTTATCTTAAAACTCAATCTTTAGTTTTCTTCACGAAATAATTAAAGAGCCAGAATTAAAAATGATAAATTGAAATCTTTGAGTTTTAAAGCAGTTTATATATAAATGAACATGGCAGTGTGATCCTATTTATAATTGAATACAAGAAATCAAAACCAAAAAAGAAGATTCAGATCTGAGCTTACATTGTCATAGACATTGTTAATTATATGGTACCATTTTTATTTTTATTATGTGACTTAAATGCATTGTAGCAACTGATACAATTTCATAGGTAACATTTTACTCTTACTTCAGCTGATATTTTAATGTAAGGCTAATCGCCATTTTTATGAAATGTTTATGAATTTATTTTTCATCACTGTCAGAGTACTGTTTTACCCAAAAAATTATTTTATGTTGTCCAGTACCAATATCTTTGGCTTGAGATATTTAAATATTCTAATAATAACACAATGTGTTACATACAAGCAGACTTCACGGTTGTGAAAACAAAAGCATCACACTCAGAATTGAACATTTGCCTGGGCTTGGCCTTGATTCTCAAACAACTGTCCAGGAAAATCAGCACACAGATTGATCTTGAGAATTATGTCTAAAAGCTCTACTCTCAGACGTCACACATCAATCACCTCTCAGTACGCAGGCATTTGATTGACCCATGTCCAACATTCTCCACCACCATCCCAAGCTTTCTGCACACACTCTACCCTAGACATACTCCTGGGATCATTTCATGTTTCAGAAGGTCAACCCAGTTGACTTATTACTTAATAGCAATGTAACAGTGGCAGGAATCTGCCAGGACCTAGATCCTACATTACGAAGGCCTTCTCTAGAGGCCTTGAACGTAGTTTGTCTGCTTAACTGGCCAGGAGAAATTAGGCAGTCTCATCAGCTCAGTCTTCCGTGAATGAGGGAAGTTTTTCCGTCTCAAACTTCGGCTCTAGCAGCTTCAGTGAAGAAAAGTGCCGAAGAAAACCAACCTCATTAGGACTTGATGGAGAAGACTGAGAATAGGTGGTAAGGCCTACAGTGAAAGGGCAGGAGACCACAGAAGTTGGAGCTCTGGGCTGATTCCTGGGCCAAGTTGGAGTGGGCCCCAGGGTCACTTGGATATCAGCAATCTCAGGTATTTAAGATAGAATGCCCTGTTCACTCAAGCACTGTAAATCTTCACATGTAACGTGCTGAAGCTGACTGACATCAGCTTGAGAAAATTAATGGAATACTGTATAGCCATAAAAAAGAATGATTTCATGTTCTTTGCAGGGACATGGATGAAGCTGGAAACTATCATTCTCAGCAAACTAACTAACATAGGAACAGAAAACCAAACACTGCATGTTCTCATTGATAAGTAGGAGTTGAACAATGAGCACATATGGGCACAGGGAGGGGAACATCACACACCAGGGCCTGTTGGAGGGTGGGGGGCAAGGGGAGGGATAGCATTAGGAGAAATACCTAATGTAGATGACGGCTTGATGGGTGCAGCAAACCACCATGGCACATGTATACCCATGTAACAAACCTGCACGTTCTCTACATGTATCCCAGAACTTAAAGTGTTAAAAAAAAGATTTTAATTTTGATTAAGTCATATTTATCTATTTTGTTCTTTTATTGCCTATGCTTTTGGTGTTATATCTAAGAAACCATCACCTACGCCAAGGTCACGAAGGTTTACTCATGTTTTATTCTAAGAGTTTTATAGTTTTAGCACTTACTTTTAGGTCTGTGATCCATTTTGAGTTAATTTTTTATGTATGCTGTGAGGTAGGGATCTGAGTTTATTCTTTTGTCTATGTGACTCAGCACCATATCCAGTGACTCCACACTGCTTTTGAAAAGACTCTTGTTTCCCCACCCTCCTCAAAAATCTATTGACTATAAATGTATATATACATTTGACTATAAAATTGACTATAAAAATCTATTGACTATAAATATATATTTATTTCTGGACTGTCAATGCTATTCCATTGACTATATGTCTATCCTTTTGTCTCTACCACACAGTCTTGATTGCTGTGGTGTTACAGTAAGTTTCAAATCAGGAAATTGTCCTCCAGTTTTGCTCTTTTTAAACATTCTTTTGGCTATTTTAAGTCCTTTGAATTTCTATATGCTATAAGTTTATAATCTCACTGTGGTCAGAGAACATACTTTGAATAATTTCAATCCTTTTAAATTTACTCAGGCTTGTTTTATGACCTCACATATAGTGTCTCATAGTGTCTCCTGTAGAATGTCCCATGTGCCCAAGAAAAATGAATATTTTGCTGTTGTTGGATAGAATGTTCAATAGGTATCTATTAGATCTAGGTGGTTTACAGTGTTGTCCCAGTTTTTTTTTTATTCTTCTACCTAGTTGTTTTATCTGTTATTGAAAATGGGGCATTGAAGTCTCCAACTGTTATTGGTTTTTGTTTTTGTTTTTTGAGACAGTGTCTCACTCCATCATTCAGGCTGGAATGCAATGGTGTGATTATAGCAACCTTGACCTCCTCCAGACTCAAGCAATTCTTCTACCTCAGCCTCCCAGGTTGTTGGGACTACAGGCATGCACCACCACTCTGGGCTAATTTTAAAATTTTTTGTAGAGACAGGGTCTTTACTATGTTGCCAGGTTGGTCTCAAACTCTTGGCCTTAAGCAGTGCTCCTTCCTTGGCCTCCCAAAGTGCTGGGATTACAGATGTGAGCTACCATGCTCGGCCTCCAATATTATTGCTGAATTGCCTACTTCTCCCTCCAATTCTATCAATTTTTGTTTCATGTATTTTGGGGCCTCTTTTTAGATGCATATATGTCTGTAACTGCCAAATCTTCCCAATGGATTGAACCTTCTATCAATATAAAATATCCCTCTTCATCTCTAGTAGCTTTTCTTTTTGTTTTAAAGTCTATTTTTTGAGTATTTGTATAGCCACTTCAGCTTTCTTATGGTTGCTATTTGCATGATACATCTTTTTCTATCCTTTTAGTTTCAACTTATTTGTATCTTGAAATCTAAAGTGTGTCCCATACATAGCATTAGTTGGCCTTGTTTTTAAAGTTAATTTGACAATCTCTTCGTTTTGATTGTTTAATCGGTTCACGTTTAATGCTGTAATTGGTACAGTTGGATTTACATATGTCACTTATTGTTTGCTTAGTGTCACATCTTTTGTTCCCCTCTATTCATCCTTTACTGCTTCTTTTTCATTACCTGAATATTTCTTTCTTTTTCTTTTTGAGGGCGAAGGGGCGGCACGGACAGAGTTTCATCCTTGTTGCCCCGGCTGGAGTTCAATGGTGCAATCTCAGCTCACTGCAACTCCCCTGATCTCAGGCCATCCGCCCACCTCAGCCTCCCAAAGTGCTGGGATTACAGGCATGAGCCACCACGCCCGGCCTCTGCTTTCTTTCTCTGTGATTTGACTATTCCAGATCCCTCATGTAAGTAGAATCATATATTATTTGTCTTTTGTTTTGGGTTTATTTCATTTAGCCAAAGACAAAAATTTGCTCTTCAAGGTTCATCCATGTTGTAGCGTGTATCAGATTTTCATTTCTTTTTAATACTGGATAATATCTCATTGTATATATAGGCCATATTTTGTTCATCCATATTCTCATCACTGAATATTTTGGTGGTTTTCACCTTTTGGCTACTGTGAATAATGGTCCTAGGAACATTGATATACAAATATCTGTTCTAGTTCCTACTTTCAATTCTTTTAGGTTTATATCCAAAAGTGGAATTGCTGGATCACATGTTAGCTATATGCTTAATTTTTGAGGAAACTTCTTACTGTTTTCTGTAGTAGCTGTATCACTTTACATTCCTGTTGGCAGTACACAGGGATTCCAATTTCTCTGCCTCCTTGCCAATACTAGTTATTTTCTGGGTTGGGGTTATGTATTTTTAGGGAGAGTCGTTCTGAAGAGTATGAACTGTCCCACCAGCTTCTGCTTGGGGCCTTAGGTGCCATTGTATGTCTCCACCCAGAATCTCTTGCTCCAGGTATATTAGAGAGGGTTCTCCAGAGAGCACAGGAGATATGTATGTATGCATGTATCTATCTTGCTACCTATATATGATTCATTTTACACATATATGCTTTATTATTATAAGATATTGACTCACATAATTATGAAGGCTGAGAAATTCCATAATCTGCCATCTGCAAGCTGGAGACCCAGGCAAACCAGTGATGTAGTTTCAAGGTTCGAGAGCAGAAGAGCATGGAATCTATTTATCATTTGGGGTGAGCTGACGTCTTAGTATCCACATCCTTAACAACATTTATTTATTTATTTATTTATTTATTTATTTATTTATTTATTTAGAGATGAGGTCTCACTCTGTCACCCAGGCTGGAATATGCAGTGGCGCAGTCACTGCTTACCACAGCCTCAACCTCCCCAGGCTCAGGTGATCCTCCCACCTCATTTTTTGTAGTTTTATTAGAGATGGGGTTTCACCATGTTGCCCAGGCTGGTCTCACATTCTTGGGCTCAAGTGATCTGCCCTCCTCAGCCTCCCAAAGTGCTAGAATTACAGGCGTCAGCCACCACACCCAGCCAATGCTTTTCATCTTTCATCTTTTTGTTAATCATTTTACCAGTTGTGAGGTAATATCTCATTGTGGTTTTCATTTGCATTTCTCTGATGATTTGTGATGTTGAGCACCTTTTTCATGCACCTGTTGGCCATTTGTGTATCTTATTTTGAGAAATGTCTATTCAGGTCTTTTGCCCATTTTTGGAATCATATTATTTTTAATTTATTATTATTATTATTTTATTATTTTTATTATTTATTTATTATTTATTTTGCTGTTGAGTTATATGAGTTTATTGTATTTTTTGGATATCAACCCCTTATCAGATATATAGTTTGCAAGTATTTCCTCCCATCCTATAGATTGCCTTTTAACTCTGTCAATTTCTCCTTTGTTGTGCAAAGCTTTTTAGTTTGATGCAAGCCCACTTGTCTATTTTTGCTTTTGCTACTTGTGCTTTTGGTGTCATGACCAAACAATCTGTGCCAAGACTAATTTCAAAAAGCTTTTTCTCTATGTTTTCCTATAGTAGTTTTAGAGTTGCAGATCTTACGGTTAAGTTTTTAATCCATTCTGAGTTGATTTTTGTTTATTCTGTGAGATAAGGATCTAATTTCATTCTCCTGCAAGTGGTTATCTAATTTTTTTAACACCATTTATTGAAGAGACTATCCTTTCCCTATTGTGTGATCTTTGCACTCTTGTTGAAGATCAGTTGATGGTAAATGTGTGGATTTATATGTCTCTATTCAGTTGCATTTATATATGTGTCTGTTTTTATTCCAGTGGCATACACTTATGATTACTATGGCTTTGTAATATATTATAAAATCAGAAAGTGGAAAATATTTATCTTTGTTATTTCTCAAAATTGATTTGGCTTTTTGGGGTCTTTTGTGTTCCTCTACGAGTTTTTGGTTTTTTCTACTTCTGTAAAGAATGCCACTGAGATTTTAATAGGGATTGCATTGACTACATAGATCACTTTTGGTAGCATGAGTATTTTAGCAATTTTAATTACTTCAATTCATGAACAAGGGAAGTCTTTTCATTGTGTCTTCTTTAATTTCTTACATCAATGTTTTATACTTTTTAGTGTGCACATCTTTCTTAGTTCATTTTCTGCTGCTATAACAAAACACCACAGAGTGGGTAATTTCCAAAGAAAAGAGATTTATTTGGCTCATGGTTCCGGAGGCTGGGAAGTCCAAGGCAATGACTCTGGCATCTAATTGGTCATCTATTAACACTATGGGTCATAACATAGTAGAAAGCATCACATGGCAAGTAAGCACTAAAGACAGAGAGAAAATGGGACTAAACTTATCCTTTTATTAGGAGCCCACTCCCACAATAACTAACCCACTCCTGCAATAATGCCATTAATCCATTCATGAAGACAGAGCCCTCCTGACCTGATTACCTCTTAAAGGTCTCACCTGTGGCTTGACCAAGTGGCTCACACCTATAAACTCAGCACCTTGGAAGGCTGAGGCAGGAGGATTGCTTCAGGCCAGGACTTCAAGACTACCTTGGCCAACATAGCAAGACCCCATCTGTATAAAAAATAGAAATTAAAAAATTAAAAAGGTCTCACCTACGGACACTATTACATTGGAGATGAAGTATCCAATGCATGGACTTTGGGGGAAACATTTAAACCATAGCAAAGTTTTTCACTTCTTTAGTTTATTCCTAAGTATTTTATTCTTTTTATTGCTATTGTAAATGAGATTGTTTTGTTAATTTCCTTTTTGGATAGCTCCTTGTTAATGTATAGAAATGCCACCATTTTGTGTATGTTTATATCATATACTGCAACTTTACTGAATTTGTTTGTTAGCTTTAACAGTTTGCAGTTGTCATTGAGTATTGAGAGTTTTCTATATATATGATCATGTTATCTGCTAACAGATAATTTTACTTCTTTCTTTCCATTATGAGTACCTTGTTTTTCGTTTTCTTGTCTAATTGCTCTGGTTAAAATTCCAGTACTATGTTCAATAGAAGTAGTGAGAATGAGCATTCTTGCCTTGTACCAGATCTTTGAGCAAAAGCTTTCAGTTTTTCCTCGTTAATTACGATGTTACCTGTGTGTTTTTCATATGTAGACTTTGTGGCATTGAGGTAAGTTTCTTCTATAACTATTTTGTTGAGAGTTTTTGTCATGGATAGATGCTGACTTTTGTCAGATGATTTTTCTGCATCACTTGAGATAATCAAGTGGTTTCTGTTGTTCATTTTATGTTAATGTGGTATATCACATGTATTGTTTTGTGTATGCTGAACCACCTTTACATCCTAAGAACAAATCCCACTCGGTGTGTAATACTTTTAATATGCCATTGAGTTTGGTTTGCTGGCATCTCACTGAAGATTTTTCTGTCTGGATTCATTAGAGTTATTGGTGTGTAGTTTTATTTTCTTGTTATGTCTTTGTCTGGCTGTAGTATCTTGGTAATGTTGGCATCATAAAATGACTTTGGAAGTGTTCCCTCTTCTATTTTTTGGAAGAGTTTAAGAGGACTGGTATTAATTCTTCCTTGAATGTTTGTTAGAATTCACCTTTGAAGGTATCTGATCCTGAATTTTTCTTTGTCGGGAGGTTCACGTTTATTGATTCAATGTCCTTACTCATTACTGCTCTGTTTCTTACTGCTTTCTATTTATTGCTTCAGTTTTGGTAGGTTGTATATTTCTAGGAATATATCCAATTTCTTTTAGGTTATCCAATTTGTTGGCATATAATTGTTCATAGTAGCCCCTATGATCCTTCTTATTACTGAGGCAATCATTGTAATGTCTCTTCTATGATTTCTGATTTTATTTACTTAAGTCTCCTCTCTTTTTTCCTGTTAGATAAAAGTTTACTGATTTCATCTTTTCAAAAAGCCAAGTATTTGTTTTACTGATTTTTTCTTTTGTTTTTCTATTCTCTGTTTAATTTCTGCTCTAATATTCATTTCTCACCTTCTAATAACTTTGAACCTAGTTTGTTCTGTTTTTAGTTCTTTAAAGTAGAAAGTTACGTTGTTTATATGGTGTCTTTTTAATGTGGGCATTTTGCTACACACTTACCTTTTAGAACTCCCTTCTTTTGCTGCATGCCATACACTTAAGTGTGTTGCACTTGCATTTTCGTTTGTCTTGAGATATTTTTAAAATTTCCTTTTGATTTCCCCTTTGATTCAATGATTGCTGAAGAGTGTGCTGTTTAGTTTTCACGTTTGTAGTTTTTTTTCTATTTCTCACTGTTATTCCTTTCTAGCTTCATTACATTGTAGCTGGAAAAGATAGTTAGTATGATATCAGCCACTTAAATTTGTTAAGACCTGTTTTTGTGACACAACATGTGATCTATTCTGGAGAATGTTCTGTGTGCTTAAGAAGAAAGTGTGTTCTTTCACTCCTGAATGGAAAGTTCTGTATATGTATATTAGGTCCATCTGACCTATAATGTTTTTCAAGTCTGCTGTTAATTTTTAAATTGATTTGCTGCCTGGATATTCTATTCAGTATTGCAAGTGAAGTATTAGAGTCTTCTACTATTATTGTATCATTGTCAATTCTCATTTCAAATTTGTACATATGTCCTTTATTCTATACTGTTTCTTAAATCTATTTATGCATCCTTATCCAAGTATTGCACTGTCTTTATTGTTACTTTTCTGTTAATCTTGAAATCATGTAATTTAAGACCTCTAATTTTCTCTTTTGTGAAATTATTTCAGCTACTTACTAGGTCCTTTGAATTTCCTTTTAAATTCTTCAATTATCTTGTTGATTTCTACAAAACTTCAACTAATATTTTTTTTTCAATGACATTGGACCTATCTATCATTTTGGGATGAACTGACATCTTAGTACTGAATTTTCCAATCTATGAACACTCTAGCCTAGGTACATCCAACAAAATTTGATATATTGTATTTTCATTATCATCTAATCCAAAATATTTTCTAATTTGTCTTGTTAATTTTCTTTACCACATGAGCTTTTAGAAGTAATTTCCAAATATTCATAAGTTTCCTAGATATTGCATTAAAATGTCTTAAATTTTGTTCTTTTGTGGTCAGAGGACATACTCTGTATGATTGCAATCCCTTGAAATGTATTAATAATTGTTTTATGGGCCACCATATGTTCTCTCAGTAAATGTTCCAAGTGAATTTGAAAAAGAAAGTATATTCCGCAGTTGTTGCGTATAGTGTTCTACAACTATTAATTAGCTAAAGTTTGCTGAAAGTGATGTTTAGATCGACATCCTTACTGATATTTTTAATCTACTCATTTTATCAATTACCAAGTGAAGGATATCAAAATCACCAAACATGATTGTAGATACCTCATTTTAGTTCTGCCAATATTCACTTTATGCATTTTGAAGCTCTGTTATTAGTTGCATATGTATGTAGGATTATTATCTCTTTTTCATAAGTTAACCATTTTTTCATCAGCAACTGATCCTCCAGTGTGGCATCCAGGAACAGGTAAAAAGAAAAAAATTACTTCATGACGCATACACAAGTATCAATAGCCGAATTGATCAAGCGGAAGAAAGGATACCAGAGATGGAAGATCAACTTAATGAAATAAAGAGAGAAGACCAGATTAGAGAAAAAAGAATGTAAAGGAACAAACAAATCCTCCAAGAAATATGTGAAAAGACCAAATCTACATTCGATTGGTGTACCTGAAAGTGACGGGGAGAATGGACCAAGTTGGAAAACACTCTTCAGGATGTTCTCCAGGAGATCTTTCCCAACCTACCAAGACAGGCCAACATTCAAATTTGGGATATACATAGAATACCACAAAGATGCTCCTCGAGAAGAGCAACCTCAAGACACATAATTGTCAGATTCACCAAGGTTGAAATGAAAGAAAAAATGGTAAGGGCAGCCAGAGAGAAAGGTCAGGTTACCCAGAAAGGGAAGCCCATCAGACTAACAGTGGATCTCTTGGCAGAAACCCTGCAAATCAAAAGAGAGTGGGGGCCAATATTCAACATTCTTAAAGAAAAGAATTTTCAACACAGAGATTCATATCCAGCCAAACTAAGTTTCATAAGTGAAGGAGAAATAAAATGCTTTACAGATAAGCAAATGCTGAGGGATTTTGTCACCACCAGGCCTGTCTTACAACGGCTCCTGAAGGAAGCACTAAACATGGAAAGGAACAACTGGTACCAGCCACTGCAAAAATATACCATATTGTAAAGACCATCGACACTATGAAGAAACTGCATGAACTAATGGGCAAAATAACCAGCTAGCATCATAATGATAGCATCAATTTCACACATGACAATATTAACTTTAAATGTAAACAGGCTAAATGCCCCAATTAAAAGACACAGATGGCAAATTGGATAAAGAGTCAAGACCTATCAGTGTGCTGTATTCGGGAGACCCATCTCACATGCAAAGACACACATAGGCTCAAAATAAAGGGATGGAGGAATATTTACCAAGCAAATGGAAAGCAAAAAAAGCAGCAGTTGGAGGGAGGTTCCAAGATGGCTGAATAGGAACAGCTCCAGTCTACAGCTCCCAGTGTATGTGACGCAGAAGATGGGTGATTTCTGCATTTCCAACTGAGGCACTGGGTTCATCTCACTGGGGCTTGTCAGGCAGTGGGTGCAGCCCACGGAGTGTGAGCCAAAGCAGGGCGGGGCATTGCCTTATCTGGGAAGTGCAAGGGGTCGGGGAATTCCCTTTCCTAGCCAAGGGAAGCTGTGACAGACAGTACCTGGAAAATCGAGACACTCCCACCCTAATACTGCACTTTTCCAATGGTCTTAGCAAACAGCACACCAGTAGATTTTATCCTGCACCTGGCTTGGAGGGTCCCACACCCATGGAGCCTCGCTCACTGCTAGCACAGCAGTCAGAAATCGAACTGCAAGGTGGCAGCAAGGCTGGGGTAGGGGCATCCGCCATTGCTGAGGCTTGAGTAGGTAAACAAAGTGGCTGGGAAACTCGAACTGGGTGGAGTCCACCACAGCTCAAGGAGGCCTGCCTGCCTCTGTAGATTCCACATCTAGGGCAGGGCATAGCTGAACAAAAGGCAGCAGAAACTTCTGCAGCCTTAAACGTCCCTGTCTGACAACTTTGAAGAGAGTAGTGGTTCTCCCAGCATGGAGTTTGAGATCTGAGAATGGACAGAATGCCTTCTCAAGTGGGTCCCTGACCCCTGAGTAGCCTACCTGGAGCCTAACCTCCGAGTAGGGGCCAACTGACACCTCATATAGCTGGATGCCCCTCTGAGAGGAAGCTTCCAGAGGATGGATGAGGCAGCAACATTTGCCGTTCTGCAATATTTGCTGTTCTGCAGCTTCTGCCAGTGATACCCAGGCAAACAGAGTCTGGAGTGGACCTCCAGCAAACTCCAACAGACCTGCAGCTGAGGGTCCTGACTATTAGAAGGAAAACTAACAAACAGAAAGGACATCTATGCCAAAACCCCATCTGTACGTCACCATCATCAAAGACCAAAGGTAGATAAAACCACAAAGATGGGGAGAAACCAGAGCAGAAAAGCTGAAAATTCTAAAAATCAGAGCACCTCTTCTCCTCCAAAGGATCGCAGCTCCTCCCCACCAACAGAACAAAGCTGGATGGAGAATGACTTAGTCAAGTTGAGAGAAGAAGGCTTCAGACAATCAGTAATAACAAACTTCTTTGAGCTAAAGGAGGATTTCGAACTCATCACAAAGAAGCTAAAAACCTTGAAAAAAGATTAGACGAATGGCTAATCAGAATAAACAGCTTAGAGAAGACATTAAGCGACCTGATGGAGCTGAAAACCATGGCATGAGAACTACGTGATGCATGCACAAGCTTCAATAGGCAATTCGATCAAGTGGAAGAAAGGGTATCAGTGATTGAAGATCAGATGAATGAAATGAAGCGAGAAGAGAAGTTTAGAGAAAAAAGAGTAAAAAGAAACAAACAAAGCCTCCAAGAAATATGGGAGTATGTGAAAAGACCACATGTACATCTGATTGGCATACCTGAAAGTGACGGGGAGAATGGAACCAAGTTGGAAAACACTCTGCAGGATATTATCCATGAGAACTTCCCCAATCTAGCGAGGCAGGCCAACATTCAAATTCAGGAAACAGAGAGAATGCCACAAAGATACTCCTCGAGAAGAGCAACCTCAAGACACATAATTATCAGACTCACCAAAGTTGAAATGAAGGAAAAAATATTAAGGTCAGCCAGAGAGAAAGGTCGGGCTACCCACAAAGGGAAGCCCATCAGACTAACAGCAGATCTCTTGGCAGAAACACTACAAGCCATAAGAGAGTGGGGGCCATATTCAACATTTTTAAAGAAAAGAATTTTCAACCCAGAATTTCGTATCCAGCCAAACTAAACTTCATAAGTGAAGGAGAAATAAAATCCTTTACAGACAAACAAATGCTGAGAGATTTTGTCATCACCAAGCCTGCCTTACAAGAGCTCCTGAAGGAAGCACTAAACATGGAAAGGAACAACCGGTACCAGCCACTGCAAAAACATGCCAAATTGTAAAGACCATCGATGCTAGGAAGAAACTGCATCAACTAATGAGAAAAATAACCAGCTAACATCATAATGACAGGATCAAATTCACACATAACAATATTAACCTTGAATGTAAATGGGCTAAATGCTCCAATTAAAAGACACAGACTGGCAAACTGGATAAAAAGTCAAGAACCATCAGTGTGCTGTATTCAGGAGACCCATCTCATGTGCAGAGACGCACATAGGCTCAAAATAAAGGGATGGAGGAAGATCTACCAAGCAAATGGAACACACAAAAAAGCAGGGCTTGCAATCCTAGTGTCTGATAAAACAGACTTTAAACCAACAAAGATCAAAAGAGACAAAGAAGGCCATTACATAATGGTAAAGGGATCAATGCAACAAGAAGAGCTAACTATCCTAAATATATATGCACCCAATACAGGAGCACCCAGATTCATAAAGCAAGTCCTTAGAGACCTACAAAGAGACTTAGACTGCCACACAATAATAATGGGAGACTTTAACACCCCACTGTCAACATTAGACAGATCAACGAGACAGAAAGTTAACAAGGATATCCAGGAACTGAACTCAGCTCTGCAGCAAGCAGACCTAATAGACATCTACAGAACTCTCCACCCCAAATCAACAGAATATACATTCTTCTCAGCACCACATCGCACTTATTCCAAGATCGACCACATAGTTGGAAGTAAAGCACTCCTCAGCAAATGTAAAAAACAGAAATGATAACAAACTGTCTCTCAGACCACAGTGCAATCAAACTAGAACTCAGGATTAAGAAACCCACTCAAAACCGCTCAACTACATGGAAACTGAACAACCTGCTCCTGAATGACTACTGGGTACGTAACTCAATCAAGGCAGAAATAAAGATGTTCTTTGAAACCAGTGAGAACAAACACAACATACCAGAATCTCTGAGACACATTTAAAGCAGTGTGTAGAGGGAAATTTATAGCACTAAATGCCCACAAAAGAAAGCAGGAAAGATCTAAAATTGACACCCTAACATCACAATTAAAACAACTAGAGAATTAAGAGCAAACACATGCAAGAGCTAGCAGAAGGCAAGAAATAACAAAGATCAGAGCAGAACTGAAGGAGATAGAGACATAAAAAACCCTTCAAAAAATCAATGAATCCAGGAGCTGGTTTTTTGAAAAGATCAACAGAATTGATATACCGCTAGCAAGACTAATACAGGAGAAAAGAGAGAAGAATCAAATAGACGCAATAAAAAATGATAAAGGGGATATCACCACTGAAATAGAAACTACCATCAGAGAATACTATAAACACCTCTACACAAATAAACTTGAAAATCTAGAAGAAATGGATAAATTCCTGGACACATACACCCTCCAAAGACTAAACCAGGAAGAAGTTGAATCCCTGAATAGACGAATAACAGGCTGTGAAATTGAGGCAATAATTAATAGCCTACCAACCAAAAAAAAATCCAGGACTAGACGGATTCACAGCCAAATTCTACCATAGGTACAAAGAGGAGCTGCTACCATTCCTTCTGAAAATATTCCAATCAATAGAAAAAGAGGGAATACTCCCTAACTCATTTTATGAGGCCAGCATCATCCTAATACCAAAGCCTGGCAGAGACACAACAAAAAAAGAGAATGTTAGACCAATATCCCTGATGAACATCGATGCAAAAATCCTCAATAAAATACTGGCAAACCGAATCCAGCAGCACATCAAAAAGCTTATCCACCATAATCAAGTTGGCTTCATCCCTGGGATGCAAGGCTGGTTCAACATATGCAAATCAATAAACATAATCCATCATATAAACAGAACCAATGACAAAAACCACATGATTGTCTCAATAGATGCAGAAAAGGACTTTGACAAAATTCAAGAGCCCTTCATGCTAAAAACTCTCAATAAACTAAGTATTGATGGGACGTATCTCAAAATAATAAGAGCTATCTATGACAAACCCACAGCCAATATCATACTGAATGGGCAAAAACTGGAAGCATTCCCTTTGAAAACTGGCACAAGACAGGGATGCCCTCTCTCACCACTCCTATTCAACATAGTGTTAGAAGTTCTGGCCAGGGCAATCAGGCAGGAGAAGGAAATAAAGGGTATTCAAATAGGAAGAGAGGAAGTCAAATTGTCCCTGTTTGCAGATGACATGATTGGATATTTAGAAAACCCCATCATCTCAGCCCCAAATATCCTTAAACTGATAAGCAACTTCAGCAAAGTCTCAGGATACAAAATCATTGTGCAAAAATCACAAGCATTCCTATATACCAATAACAGACACACAGAGAGCCAAATCATGAGTGAACTCCCATTCACAATTGCTACAAAGAGAATAAAATAACTAGGAATCCAACTTACAAGGATGTGAAGGACCTCTTCAAGGAGAACTACAAACCACTGCTCAATGAAATAAAAGAGGACACAAACAAATGGAAAAACATTCCATGCTCATGGATAGCAAGAATCAATATTGTGAAAATGGCCATACTGCCCAAGGTAATTTATACATTCAATGCCATCCCCATCAAGCTACCAATGACTTTCTTCACAGAATTGGAAACAACTACTTTAAAGTTCATATGGAATCAAAAAAGAGCCCACATTGCCAAGACAATCCTAAGCCGAAAGAACAAAGCTGGAGGCATCATGCTACCTGACTTCAAACTATACTACAAGGCTACAGTAACCAAAACAGCATGGTACTGGTACCAAAACAGACATATAGATGAATGGAACAGAACAGAGCCCTGAGAAATTATACCACACATCTACAAGCATCTGATCTTTGACAAACCTGACAAAAACAAGAAATGGGAAAAGGATTTCCTATTTAATAAATGGTGCTGGAAAAACTGCCTAGCCATATGTAAAAAGCTGAAACTGGATCCCTTCCTTACACCTTATACAGAAATTAATTCAAGATGGATTAAAGACTTAAATGTTAGACCCAAAACCTCAAAACCCTAGAAGAAAACCCAGGCAATACCGTTCAGGACATAGGCATGGGCAAGGACTTCATGACTAAAACACCAAAAGCAATGGCAACAAAAGCCAAAATTGACAAATGGGATCTAATTAAACTAAAGAGCTTCTGTATAGCAAAAGAAACTACCATCAGAGTGAACAGGCAACCTACAGAATGGGAGAAAATTTTTGCACTCTACGCATCTGACAAAGGGCTAATATCCAGAATCTACAAAGAACTTAAACAAATTTAGAAGAAAAAAATCAAACAACCCCATCAAAAAGTGGGCGAAGGATATGAACAGACACTTCTCAAAAGAAGACATTTATGCAGCCAACAGACATGAAAAAATGCTCATCATCCCTGGCCATCAGAGAAATGCAAATCAAAACCACAATGAGATACCATCTCACACCAGTTAGAATGGCGATCATTAAAAAGTCAGGAAACAGCAGGTGCTGGAGAGGATGTGGAGAAACAGAAACACTTTTACACTGTTGATGGGGCTGTAAACTAGTTCAGCTATTGTGGAAGACATTGTGGCAAATACCATTTGACCCAGCCATCCCATTACTGGGTATATACCCAAAGGATTATAAATCATGCTGCTATAAAGACACATGCACACGTATGTTTATTACGGCACTATTCACAATAGCAAAGACTTGTAACCAACCCAAATGTCCATCAATGATAGACTGGATTAAGAAAATGTGGCACATGTACGCCATGGAATAGCATGCAGCCATAAAAAAGGATGAGTTCATGTCCTTTGTAGGGACATGGATGAAGCTGGAAACCATCATTCTGAGCAAATTATCGTAAGTACAGAAAACCAAACACCTCATGTTCTCATTCATAGGTGGGAATTGAACAATGAGGACACTTGGACACAGGAAGGGGAACATCACACACTGGGGCCTGTCATGGGAGGGTGGAGGGATAACATTAGGAGATATACCTAATGTAAATGACGAGTTAATGGGTGCAGCACACAAACATGGCACATGTATATATATGTAGCAAACCTGCACGTTGTGCACATGTACCCTAGAACTTAAAGTATAATAAAAAAAAATCAGGAGTTGCAATCCTAGTCTCTGATAAAACAGACTTTAAACCAACAGAGATCAAAAGAGACAAAGAAGGGCATTATATAATGGTAAAAGGATCAATGCAACAAGAAGAGCTAACTATCCTAAATATATATGCACCCAATACAGGAGCACCCAGATTCATAAAGCAAGTCCTTAATGACCTACAAAGAGACTTCGACTCCCACACAATAATAATGGGAGACTTTAACACCCCACTGTCAATATTAGACAGATCAACGAGACAGAAAATTAGCGAGGATGTTCAAGACTTGAACTCACCTCTGGACCAAGTGGACCTAATGGACATCTTCAAAACTCTCCACCCCAAGTCGACAGAATATACATTCTTCTCAGCACTTCATCGCACTTGTTCTAAAATTGACCACATAATTGGAAGTAAAACACTCCCTAGCAATTGCAAAAGCATGGAAATCATAACAGTCTCTCAGATCAGACCACAGTCCAATCAAATTAGAACTCAGAATTAAGAAACTCACTCAAAACCGCACAACTACATGGAAACTGAACAATCTGCTCCTGAATGACTGCTGGGTAAATAACGAAATTAAGGCAGAAGTAAAGATGTTGTTTGAAATCAATGAGAACAAAGACACAATATACCAGAATATCTGGGACACGTTTAAAGCAGTGTTTAGAGGGAAATTTATAGCACTAAATGCCCACAAGAGAAAGCAAGAAAGATCTAAAATTGACACCTAACATCAAAATTAAAAGAACTAGAGAAGCAAGGGCAAACAAATTCAAAAGCTAGCAGAAGATAAGAAATAACTAATATCAGGACAGAACTGAAGGAGATAGACACACGAAAAACCCTTCAAAAAATCAATGAATCCAGGAACTGGTTTTTTGAAAAGATCAACAAAATAGATAGACCGCTAGCCCGACTTATAAAGAAAAAGAGAGAAGAATCAAATAGACATAATAAAAAATGATAAAGGAGATATCACCACTGATCCCACAGAAATACAAACAACTACCATCAGAGAATATTATAAACACTTGTATGCAAATAAACTAGGAAATCTAGAAGAAATGGATAAATTCCTGGACACATACACCCTCCAAAGACTAAACCAGGAAGAAGTTGAATCCCTGAATAGACGAATAACAGGCTGTGAAATTGAGGCAATAATTAATAGCCTACCAACCAAAAAAAAAATCCAGGACCAGATGGATTCACAGCCGAATTCTACCATAGGTACAAAGAGGAGCTGCTACCATTCCTTCTGAAAATATTCCAATCAATAGAAAAAGAGGGAATACTCCCTAACTCATTTTATGAGGCCAGCATCATCCTGATACCAAAACCTGGCAGAGACACAACAAAAAAAGAGAATGTTACACCAATATCCCTGATGAACATCGATGCAAAAATCCTCAATAAAATACTGGCAAACCGAATCCAGCAGCACATCAAAAAGCTTATCCACCAAGATCAAGTCGGCTTCATCCCTGGGATGCAAGGCTGGTTCAACATATGCAAATCAATAAACATAATCCATCACATAAACAGAACCAATGACAAAAACCACAATGATTATCTCAATAGATGCAGAAAAGGACTTTGACAAAATTCAACAGCACTTCATGCTAAAAACTCTCAATAAACTAGGTACTGATGGGACGTATCTCAAAATAATAAGAGCTATCTATGACAAACCCACAGCCAATATCATACTGAATGTACAAAACTGGAAGCATTCCCTTTGAAAACCAGCACAACACAATGATGTCCTCTCTCACCACTCCTATTCAACGTAGTGTTGTAAGTTCTGGCAAGGGCAATCAGGCAAGAGAAAGAAATAAAGGGAAGTCAAATTATCTGTTTGCAGATGACATAATTGTATATTTAGAAAACCCCATCGTCTCAGCCTGAAATCTCCTTAAGCTGATAAGCAACTTCAGCAAAGTCTCAGGATACAAAATCAATGTGCAAATATCACAAGCATTCTTATACACCAGTTACAGATGAACAGAGAGCAAAATCATGAGTGAACTCCCATTCACAATTGCTACAAATAGAATAAAATACCTAGGAATACAGCTTACAAGGGATGTGAAGGACCTCTTCAAGGAGAACTATAAACCACTGTTCAAGAGAAAAAGAGAGGACACAAATAAATGGAAAAACATTCTATGCTCATGGATAGGAAGAATCAATATCCTGAAAATGGCCATACTGCCCAAAGTAATTTATAGATTCAATGCTGTCCCCATCAAGCTACCAATGACTTTCTTCACAGAATTGGAAAAAACTACTTTAAATTTCATATGGAACCAAAAAGAGTCTACATAGCCAAGACAATCCTAAGCCAAAAGAACAAAGCTGGAGGCATTGCGCTACCTGACTTCAAGCTATACTGCAAGGCTACGGTAACCAAAAAAGCATGGTACTGTTACTGAAACAGAGATATAGACCAATGGAACAGAACAGAGCCCTCAGAAATAATGCCACACATCTACAACTATCTGATCTTTGACAAATCTGACAAAAACAAGCAATGGGGAAAGGATTCTCTATTTAATAAATGGTGTTGGGAAAACTGGCTAGCCATATGCAGAAAACTGATACTGGATCCCTTCCATACACCTTATACAAAAATTAATTCAAGATGGATTAAAGACTTAAACGTAAGACCTAAAACCATAAAAACCCTAGAAGAAAACCTAGGCAATACCATTCAGGACATAGGCATGGGCAAGTACTTCATGTCTAAAACACCAAAAGCAATGGCAACAAAAGCCAAAATAGACAAATGGGATCTAATTAAACTAAAGAGCTTCTGTACAGCAAAAGAAACTATCATCAGAGTGAACAGGCAATCTACAGAATGGTAGAAAATTTTTGCAATTTATCCATCTGACAAAGGGCTAATATCCAAAATCTACAAAGAAATTAAACAAATTTACAAGAAAAAGTAAAAAACCATCAAAATGTGATCAAAGGATAGGAACTGACACTTCTCAAAAGAAGACATTTATGTGGCCAAAAAACATATTTTAAAAAGCCCATCATTACTGGTCATTAGAGAAATGCAAATCAAAACCACAATGAGATACCATCTCATGCCAGTTAGAATGGTGATCATAAAAAAATCAGGAAACAACAGATGCTGCAGAGGATGTGGAGAAATAGAACGCTTTTACACTGTTGGTGGAAGCGTAAATTAGTTCAACCATTATGGAAGGCAGTGTGGTGATTCTTCAAGGTTCTAGAACCAGAAATACCATTTGACCCAGCAATCCCATTACTGGGTATATACCCAAAGGATTATAAATCATTCTACTATAAAGACACATGAGACCGGGCATGGTGGCTCATGCCTGTAATCCCAGCACTTTGGAAGTCCGAAACGGGCAGATCATGAGGTCAGGAGTTTGAGACCAGCCTGGCCAATATGGTGAAACCCTGTCTCTTCCAAAAATACAAAAATTCGCCAGGCATGGTGGTGTGCGCCTGTAGTCCCAGCTACTCGAGAGGCTGAGACAGAAGAATTGCTTGAACCCGGGAGGTGGAGGTTGCAATGAGCCTAGTTCATGCCACTGTACTCCAGCCTGGGTGACAGAGCGAGACTCTGTCTCAAAAAAAAAAAAAAAAAAAAGACACATGCACACATATGTTTATTACAGCACTATTCACAATAGCAAAGACTGGGAACCAACCCACATGCCCATCAGTGATAGACTGGATAAAGAAAATGTGGAACACATACACAATGGAATACTATGCAGCCACAAAAAATGATGAGTTCATGTCCTTTGCAGGGACATGGATGCGGCTGGAAACCACCATTCTCAGCAAAGTAACACAAGAACAGAAAACCAAATACCACATGTTGCCACTCATAAGTAGGAGTTGAACAATGAGAACACATGGACACAGGGAGGGGAACATCATACACTGGGGCCTGTTGGGGGGCGGGGGGCTAAGGGAGGGATAGCATTAGAAGAAATACCTAAGGTAGATGACGGGTTGATGGGTGCAGCAAACCACCATGGCATGTGTATACCTATGTAACAAAACTGCACGTTCTGCACATGTACCCCCGAACTTAAAGTATAATAAAAAAAGAAAAAAATTAAAATTAATTTTACAAAGGGCTTGGACAGGACAGTAAGGCAGAAAAAAAGTGAATTTGCACTTTCTCTGGAGCTGGGACACCCATCTTCTCCTGCTCTTAGATATCAGAACTCCAGACTATCTGGCGTTTGGACTCCAGAACTTGTGGCAGTGGCCTCCAGGTTCCTAGGCCTGCTGCCTTGGACTGGGAGCGATACCATCAACTACTTTACTTTTCAGGTCTTTGGACTTGGACTGAGCTATGCAAAAGGCATCTCTGGTTCTACAGCTTGTAAATGGCATATCATGGGACTTAGGCTGCATAATGGTGTAACCCAGTGCCCATAATAAATCTCCTCTCATCTGCCTATCTACCTACCTATCTATATCTATCCACTTACTTATCTGTCTCCTATCAGTTGTTTCTCTGAGAACCTTGACTAATACACTAATACTGTGTTTTTGAGAATTGGGTATCATGGTTTGTTTATCCATTAAGCACTTGAATTATAATTTAGTTGTTTAAAACTTTTAATGATTATGAATAAAGCCAGCATCAACATTTGCATACAGGTTTTTGTGTGAATATACGTGTTCACTTCATTTGAGTAAACATGTAAGAAAGAGATTGTTGTGTCATATGATGAGCATATGTTTAACATTATAAGAAGCCACCAAACTATTTTCCAAGTGGTTGTGCCACTTTTCATTACCTCCAGGCATTGCTCTATATCTTTCCTAGCAGATGGTATGGTAAAAATTTTTAAGGCATTCTACCAGGTGTATAGTGATACATCACTGTGGTACTTATTTGCATCTCCCTAGTGACTTCTGATGTTGCAAAGATTTTCATGTGGTACTTCATCACTCGTGTACCTTTTATTGGTGCAGATATTTTAAAATATTTTGCTTATTTTTAAATTGGTTCATTTGTTTCCATATTACTGAGTTTATAAAAATAAATAATTAAAACTTAATCATAATTTGTGGAACCCTAAAATTTATGTTGAGCCTTGAAGGAAATATGAGCATGTGGTCTAAGCTATGCAATAAGTAGCTGCAACTTCTGCTTCTCCTATTATAGATTAACTCTCTTCCTCATTGCTCTTGTTCTGTAAATTGAGTAAGAAAGACTAAATGGTGCCAGAGATGCCACCTTCTCCCCTCCTGCTTGCTGACCTTTCTTCCTTTATTATCTTCCACCTAATTCAGACCAGGTGGTGCAAAAGACCCCATCATTGTTACACCCTCCATGTGGATTGTTAAATATGCCTTTCCCAAAATGAACACTGTTCCAACTATCATATTAGTTGAACTATAGCTAATCATATTATAATATGATTAGTCAAACTTAACTCATCATATTCATTGAAGGCTAGTACTGTAACTATGTGCTAGCCTTGTGAGGAAAATGTGGAAACCTAATTAAGGTTCCCAAGCCTTAGCTATAAACAACCCCAAACTTCCCCACTTCGGAGCACTGACTTCCATTCTTTCGAATCTGTGTTCCCTGGTGGCCGTTTTCAAACTTTGTACTAGAATGAACTCAATACTTAATAATATTTTCTCAATCTCTTTATTTTAGGTTATCAAGTTTTTATAGTGATTTATATATTCTGTAAACAAACTTTACATATAAGTTTTTGCAAATATTTTCTTCCAGTGTGTGGTTTTCATTTTATTAACTGTGCCCTTCTAAATAGTACCAGTTTTATAATTTGGTAAAGTCATACTCAGCAACTTTTAAAACTTTGATCATCTATTTCAGTGTTCATTATTTGTCATAGATTTAAATTTCCATCTAGTATCATTACCCTTCAATCTAAATAACTTATTTTTGTAGTTTTTTATAGTGTGTGTTTGCTGGCAACAAATTATCCCTGATTTTGTTTACTAGTCTGAAAATATCTTAACGTTGTAGGATATTTTGTTGAGTATAAAATTCTAAGTTGCCAGTCTTTTGTTTGTTTTTTAAAAATGTCTTTTTTTCATCTCTAGTTTTTGTGATGAGAAATCACCTTCATTATTATCATTGTCTACATGTGTCCATGTCTTCTTTCTTTTTTGGTTTTCAGCAATTTAATTATGATGTTTGCAGGTATGAGTTTTGTTTTTTGTTGTTTGGGGGTTTTTTGTCTTTTTTTTTTTGCATTTAACTTTCTTGGGATTTGCTGGGATTGACCGATGTGCAAGTTGCTCTTTTTCATCAAATTTAGAACAGTTTTTGTTGGCCAGGCATGGTGGCTCACACCTGTAATCCCAGCACTCTGGGAGGCCGAGGCAGGTGGATCATGAGGTCAGGAGTTCAAGACCAGCCTGGCAAAGATGGTGAAACCCCGTCTCTACTAAAAAATACAAAAATTAGCTGGGCGTGGTGGCGGGCACCTGTAATCCCAGCTACTTGGGAGGCTGAGGCAGGAGAATTGCTTGAACCTGGGAGGCGGAGTTTGCAGTGAGCCGAGGTCGCACCACTGCACTCTAGCCTGGGTGACAGAGCAAGACTCTGCCTCAAAAAAAAAAAAAAAAAGAAAAGAAAAATTTTTGTTAAAATTTAAATACTTTTTCTGACTCGTTCTTGGTCTATTTTGTTCTAGGGCTCTATTTACACATGCCTTAATACCACCTTGAAGGTTATTTTGACTGTTTTAAGTCCTTTTTCTTCCAGTGCTTTACTTAGGATGATTTAAGTTGATCCAATTTCAAGCTCACTTATTCTTTCTCCTTTATGTAAAATCTTCTATTAATACCATCCAATCAATTTTTTTTGTATAAAATTTTTTTTGCTCTAAAATTTTCACTTAGTTTTTTATTGTGGTTACCCTGATACTCCTTACTCTTGCCACATATATCCATCTTTGTACATTTTTAAACATATTTTCATAGTTATTTTAAAATGTTTGTCTGCTAATTCCAACATCTGGGTCATCTGTGGGTCTATTCTGCGTTATACTGTTGTGCCTACCAAGCTGTCATCTCTTCTCTAGGTTCTTCATTGCCTTGGCCCAGATATGTGTAGTTCAGAAGTCAGCAAGGGACTTTTGGTATTTATATGTAAATATTATTAATCATTTTTCATATTATACTATAACAAACTATATATTTTGAAATTAAGGTTATCTTAATTTATAATAAGATTCCAAGGGTTAAAATTATATTTTGGGTTGAGGTACTATGATAATTACATAATAAATCACATATAACACAAATGTTAATAAGTGGTAAATATAAAAAAAAAATTTTATGAGAAAATCACTTTTAATGAGATGGATGGGCTTTCTTTTGACCTAGTCTCGCTCTGTAGCCCAGGCTGGGGTGCAGTAGCACGATCTCAGCTCACTGCAACCCCTGCCTCCTGGGTTTAAGTGATTCTCCTGCCTCAGCCTCTCGAGTAGCTGGGAGTCACCATGCCCAGCTAATTTTTGTATTTTTAGTAGAGATGGGGTTTCACCGTGTTGGCCCAGCTGGTCTTGAACTCCTGACCTCAAGTTATCCGCCCCCTTCAGCCATGCAAAGTGCTGGGATTACAGGTATGAGCCCCTGCGCCTGGCTGGATAGGCTTTTTAAAGTTTAATTTACTGATGTGTTTGTTAAACGTTAGTTATTGCTAGAATGATTCAGTGTTCAGCATCAATTTTATTCTTATTCTACTTTCATACGTGTAAGCATATGGAATACTATTGTATGTAAATAAATAGATAACAATGGAAGAAAATTTGTTAATACTAATGCCATTCTGTTCTTAGAATTTCTTCCTAGTTACATGCTAAAAAGTCATAAACTCTTCTAACATTAAAAATGATTTTCAAGAATTGTTTGCTTACAGCTGGATTAGGGCCTCCTACATTTTTTTCTTTAGAAAACAAGGAACTAGAGACAATTTTTTACCCAGTGAATAGAGTCATTTATTTTCTCAAGACCAGAAACCAGTATTTTGAATTGTCTCATTGTTTGGTGTCCTGGAGGACTTTATGTCCCAGGGCTCGGTACTCAATAAATGGTAGCTATTCTCACTGTTTATGGGCCCCAGAGACCCTCAAGGCACTGACTATACCCCTACTGTGGCAGTTTCCTCTTATTCCCTTCAAAATATCCAACATGAATTCACAATTTCTTTTAGACTATTCAGATCTATGTAGATAATCTCTTACCTTCTTTATGAAATTGTCCTTAGCACTTCCAGCCCTCAGAGATCTTTTCAGAACTCTTCCAGCATACAAACTGTTCTACATCATTATCAGGGTTACTTACATAATGTTGTATACTGTTTTCTTTCTCTGTTAATCATGTGGCCCGAATAAGATTACACCCTTTCTGAGAACAGCAGTTCTGATTTATAATTCTACAAACTACACACATACCTCATTGCTGAATATTTAATTGGGTTTTAAATGACATATGTGCCATTTCACATTTTAATTCTTATAGTATATCTTGGCTTCTGATCAGCATAAGCTGGACTCCTAACAAGAATTTGCCCATTGCACTTGATTGTGATTTGCCCCAAATTTCCAAGAAACTCAGTCTCAGGAATTACACAGTGCTTCAGTTTCAATCTCAAAACTAAAGAGAGAGAAGGGAAAGAACATTTAACTCCTACATGGAGGAAATAGTATTTACATAACTAAAATTGTAAGCAACTGCTTTATATTCTTGATCATTACTATACTTGAGTATTGTGAATTTACTGATAAACAGAAGAATGCGATATGTAATAATAGGTAGATAAATTATCAAATTACTCTGATTGATTTTATATTATTTTGAAATGATAGCAGGGTTAATACAAAACTATGGGATTCCTAGGGGAAATGATTAGCTGGTACTTCATCCTAACTTTCCTGTAATAATTTTGGATGTCTGAAGCAGTGTCAATTCCGGCAAACCCTGCTGAAGAAATGAATTTGTGTTTCTTCATGAATCACTTCCTTTTTTATTTTTCATTCATTATGCATTTATTGATAATGTGTGAGTCACACGAAGGTGAATATAATATGTGGTCCCTGCCTTGACTCTCTTCTTTGTTCCTGGCTAGTAATGGGTTAACTGGAAAGTTACTCTCCTCCTGCCATCTCCATTTCCTCCACCCTTCCCCACAAACAGATAAATATGCTGAACCCCCAATTATTACATGGTATATTCAAAGTCACCTGAAAGTTTAGGAATGTGGCTGACAGCACAATTTCTCAATCTTTTTAATACTTACTATCCTTTTGAGGATCTTAATAGACCTTTTTTCTTTTATTTTATTTTATTTTTTTTTTTTGAGACAGAGTCTTGCTCTTTTGCCAGGCTGGAGTGCAGTGGCACAATCTCGGCTCACTACAACCTCTGCCTCCTGGGTTCAAGCGGTTCTCCTGCCTCAGCCTCCTGAGTAGCTGGGACTACAGGCACGCGCCACCACGCCTAGCTAATTTTTGTATTTTTAGTAGAAATGGGGTTTTGCCATGTTGGCTAGGATGGTCTCGATCTCTTGACCTCATGATCCGCCTGCTTCGGCTTCCCAAAGTGCTGAGATTATAGGTGTGAGCCACTGTGCCCGGCCGATCTTTCTTTTCTAACAGTGCCCCACCCATGAAATTTTAATACCACAAACAGACTGTATTTCTTTTTTTAAATTTTTTTTTTTTTCAGACAGAGTCTCGCTTTGTTGCCCAGGCTGGAGTGCAGTGGCACAATCATGGCTCACTGCAGCCTTGACCTCCCAGGCTCAAGCTATCCTCCCACCTCAGCCTTTCAAGTAGCTGGGACCACAGGCATGGGCCAACGCACCTGGCTAGTTTTTTAATTTTTTTTTGTAGAGATGAGGTCTCCCTATTGTTGCCCAGGCTGGTCTCAAGCTCCTGGCCTCAAGTGATCCTCCTGCCTCAGTCTCCCAAAGTGCTGGGATTACAGCTGAGAGCCCCTGGCACGTGATGCATACTGTGTTTCTGTTTAGTGATGTTGGCCTTTCAGAGGGCCACAAACCATTATAATATGAGAGATTCTTTTTACTCCCTAAAAAACAATTATTGCCCCCTTGGCAATGCTGCTTCTCCCATTAATCATGCATGGTCTTGAGTGTCAGCCACACATATTCTGTTGGATGTCTCGCTGGCCCTCAGTGTTGTCCCTTGACTTTAAATAAGAGGTCACTGGGAGGATCCAGAAACCGCTAAGTGCTAGGAATGTATCTTTGTGCAAGATAGTCATTGTCCTTGTCTTTGAAGAAAATAAAAATATTTTTCCCCAAAATATTTTTGACATATTTTGCAATGGCTGTTCGGAGAGTCAGCAAACACATGTAACCCTACAAAGCTGTTTTTATTGGGGAGGGTTAGTTTTTCAGGGCTGGGCACATTACCCAAATCAAGCCAGTGATTACCAAGTGCATCTGTAGAGAATCTGCATTGAGGCAGCCAGGCCTTCCCTTGGCCACATCTAGGGAAGATGAACTGAGAATCTGATGCTTTTAAACATGTGAAAGAAACATTTGCCATCTTTTCTGTCTGAGAGCTGCTACCTGTGAGGTCTCATGTACATAACAAGACCACCTTTGCCAGCCAGGCCTCCTCTTCTCCATCACCATAAACTGTTTGGCCATAATCCAAGACCCCATTCTTTTTGTAACCCTAAGTGGGTATATAAACTTCTAAACCCCGTTGTTGTGGGGGGTGGTAATCACTGTGATTCTCTCCCATGTGCACATTAATGAATTTGTATGCCTTTTCTCCAATTAATCTGCCTTTCGTGAGTTGATTTTTCAGCGGAACTTTTAGAGGGCAAAGGGAACATTTTCCCTTGGCCCCTACATCCTCATACTTATGGTGTTGTACAGTTTATTAAATTGCAAAAATAATTAAATTACAAATATGAGGCTGGGCATTGTGGCGCTCTTGCCTATAATTCCAGCACTTTGGGAGGCTGAGTTAGGTGGACCCCTTGAGCCCAGGAGTTCAAGATGACCAGCCTAAGCAACATGGTGAAACCCCAACTCTGTAAAATACAAAAAAAAAAAAAAATTAGCTGGGTATGGTGGCACATGCCTGTGGTACCAGCTACTTGGGAGGCTGAGGTGGAAGTATCTCTTAAGCCCAGGTAGGTCAAGGCAGCAGTAAGCCATGATCTCGCCACTGCACATCAGCCTGGGTGACAGAGACAGAACGTGTTTCCAAAAAAAAAAAAAAAAAAAGTACAAATATGGCTTCTGCATCTAAGTAAGATGTAATAAGTAGCAGAAAGTTATTACTCCTACTGCAACATAAGGAATTGCTCACTTTTCCTCCCGCCGTGGACGGACTGTTCCTGGGTACGGTAGTTTTATATCATTCTCAGGAGATATCCTGCAAGATCAAGCAGCCAGCTTGTCCAGTTCTATGAGGCACTTCTTTGTATTTGTGTTTCCTCCTTCCTTTGCCTCACTTCCTCTTTTCGCCTTATTCTTATTTCTCTGGGATTGCGTCTCTCCCCCAACCCCCATAAAAGTAACAGCACATACAATTTTGATTCAAGCATTGTTATTGTTTTCTAGGGAACCCAGGACAAGTTATTAGGGAATTAATTTATAAATCTGTCTCCATAGTTACGAGGGTTAGGAGTTTTATTTAGTAAAATAGGAGCCAAGAAAGTTTCATTTTCTAGATTTTTCACTTCCTAACTCTCAACTATTAGTAGTAATAGTACAAACCATTTGAGACTCGAATCCCCTTTCCAGCCTGTTTCTTTTAATAAGGCAGACATTATTTAAAGGGCACTGTTTTTGATAAGTTCCTATGCATTGCCTCCTGAGGGAGGCCCTCTTTTTTTATGTGAGTTGAAAAAGCATTTAACCCTAACAAACTGTGTTTAGAACAGTATTTTTTCACTGAATTTTTTGAATGCCTAAGAGGGCAGCTTTCATGTTGGATGATAACCAAGACAAGCAAGTTTTCTCCAGGTCAGGTATAAATTCATCTGAAGCAGACAATCTTTCTAAGAATGTTGATGATAGCATTCTACAGGAGCAAGAGGGAGAGGAGTGAGGAAGGTTGGAATTAGCTATTTAAGGAAGGCAGTGGTCTATTCTGTGTCAATGAAAAGAGGTCAAATTCTATAAAATATTTGAAGAGATTTATTGTGAGCCAAATATGAGTGACCATGGCCCATGACACAGCCCTCAGGAGACCCTGAGAACATGTGCCTAAGGTGGTCAGGGCACGGCTTGGTTTTATACATTTTAGGAAGACATGAGACATCAATCAAATACATTTAAGATATACATTGGCTTAGTCCAGAAAGGCGGGACAACTCGAAGATGAAGGGTGGTTCCGGGTTATAGGTAGATTTAAAAATGTTCTGATTGGCAATTGGTTGAAAAGTGAAATGTGTAGGTTATGATAAGAGGTTGTGGAGAGCAAAGTTTGATCATGTAGATGAAACCTCCAGGTAGCAGGATTCAGAGAGAGTAGATTATACATATTTCTTATCAGACTCAGGGTCTGTGTTGATGTTAAATGCTGGTCGGCTTTTCCTGAATTCCAAAAGGGAGGAGAGCATAATGAGGCATGTCTGACACACCCACCCTTCCCATCATGGCCTGAAGTAGTCTTTCAGGTTAACTCTGGGGTCCCCTGGCTGAGGAGGGAGTCCATTCAGATGGTTGGGTAGGGAGGTGCTTAGAATTTTATTTTTGGTTTCCACCTGAATCTTTAGTGTTGTCCAAAGGGACCATGGAGTAGAAGCAGTGAAAGAATAACATATAGGTGCAGCCATAAAAATAAAATGAGTTCATGTCCATTGCAGGGATATGGATGAAGCTGGAAACCATCATTCTCAGCAAACTAACACAGGAACAGAAAACCAAACACCACATGTTCTCACTCATAAGTGGAAGTCAAACAATGAGAACACATGGACACAGGGAGGGGAACATCACACACTGGGGCCTGTCAGGGGTTGGAGGGAAGAGGAGGGAGAGCATTAGGACAAATACCTAATGCATGTGGGGCTTAAAACCTAGATGATGGGTTGATAGGTGCAGCAAACCATCATGGCACATGCATACCTATGTAACAAACCTGCACATTCTGCACACATATCCCAGAACTTAAAGTAAAATTTTAAAACAATGGAAATTTGTCTTTACTTATAAAATTGAAACAAAAGTTTCCTCTTTATAATATTGAAAAAAAGGGAATAACTTATAGGCACAACATGGGCAAATTCATAGGATTCTTTTTGTTTGTTTCAGTCAAGTTTTTTACATATAAACTTAGTAGAAGTTCAATGTGAAGTATCTGTGTAAAAGGACGTGTTCTCTCTCTTAATGAGAATTCTTAAGGAATTCTCATTTCTTTTCTCAAAACAAGTTGAGATAAGAAACGAGAATTCCTGATACCTAGTTACAGTGCTAAGTAGCATCCACCCCTGGAAGCAGTATAAGTTAGGTCTGTGCTTCCCAGGATAGACCATCAGACCAACTTATTATTGTTATTATTGTTGTTGTTTTACAGATCAACCCCTGTATTACATCTTTTCTATTTATTTATTTACTTTTGACCATCTAGACTCCCCACTTTTGGTCAAAGCACTCTAAATTTTTACTACCACTCCAATATAGATCCATGTTTAGGAGTAGAATTAATCCCTACTTCTGGATCTAGGGTTGAACATGGGATCCTAGTCTAGCCAATTAGTATCTCCCACCCCTTAGTCAGCGGGTTAGTTTTTCAGGGCTGGGCAGATTATTCAAATCAAGCCAATGATTATCAGGTTTGAAGGTCAGATAGCGAGAAGAGCCTGCCTGAACAAACCCAACAAAGAGGCAGGCTGGCACAAGTCTACGTCCTGGTCTCCTTCTGCGGCCTCTGCATCTGGTCCCACCAGAGCTTTTTGCATTAGTATCACATCCCTAGTGAAAGAATGGAGGATTCAGAGTACCAGATATTTTTCATCTTTGGTCTTTGATTTTTCTATGTAAAGTGACAAAATATCAACACGAAAAGTGAAAAATTCAGTCACTGATTCATGTTGTCTACATATTTTGATGCATATAAATGTACCAAACAAAATTGTACATAGTTTGATATATGTGAATATTCAGTGCTATTTAAGTAAAATGTATAATTTCAGCTTATTATCTTAAGCACTTGATATCCCCATCACTGAACACATCACAGGCCCTCAATAAATATTTACTGATTTTTTTCTGTGTAATATTCAAATGAGTATTAAAGAAAACAGTTACAATTTGCCCTTATGTTTATGTATTCTGAAATTAGTTGTGGTCACCAGGGGTCAAGAATCAAGGGTGTTATGTTATTATTATCAATATTATTATTATTTTGTTAAGGAAAATGAGATACATGAACAATTACTATTGAATGCTACTGAGAGGAGAAGGTTTAAGTCCTTATTTTTCTATTAATAATGTCAGCTGAGGGTTGGCGGTTGACCTCACCAGTCTGAGCCTCTCAGTCTCTTTATTTGTAAAAATGACATTATAATATTTTCCCTGCCTACCTTATGAGAGTGTTTTGAAATCAAATAGGGTCATTTTTAAGAGGAACTTGTGAACTGAAGAGTACTATATAAATGTTGCTGTTTAGGGATTATTTGTACCTTCTTAATGATGTTTCTTCCTTTTGAGGTATGACACAGTATCATTTTGAAATGTTATCTTGCTTTCCAAAAAGTAAACCTCCCAAGCTAATAAGTAAAAATAATGACAAGAAATAAGTTGCACATTGTATTTACTCAAATTGATGACATATCTGAAACTGTGCTGACACCTGACTGGAAAGTGAATTCCACTCAGAATTGCTCTTGCTCAGTTTCTACTACAGCGACATGCAAGAGCTTTTCCTAAGTCTCAGAATTTTACCCTTGAAAAATTACAGTCCTAAGAAATACACCAGGAAATGGCTTTGGAACCCAGAGCCCAGAGGCCAATTCTCAGTATGGGAACTTAGAGAAAATGTAGAGATAATGCTTTATATGTGTTCAAAGTCAACCACCCCCACGGTGCTGGTCCTTAAATGGATTGATTTCTGTGCTTGTGAATTTCCTAGAGCATGAAGTCTTATAGGAGAGCTGTCTCTTGCACTCTGCTACTTATATGTCACCCTGGAAGAGTCCATCAGGAGATAAGCCTGTTTGACGCCTTAGCTTCTTATTTATATTGTCTTTAAGATGCTCTGGAGGCATCTGTTTAGATGGTATTTGTGAATATGGAGACTTCGGAAGGACTTAGCAGGCAGTTTGTGGCCACTGACCTTTGTCCCTTCATTTTGTTGGCAGCTTGACTTCTAATTCCCAGTGGTCTGGATCGAGGTGAGAGGTGGTGCTCCCTGGAGTGAAACCTAGACCAGAACATCATAGGCATCGAATTTGTTGCTGGACAGGTCCCAGCTTTGCTTCTCCTCTCTTGTTTGCTTTGCCTTGCAAAAGCCCTAATGAATATAAATAATCCGAACCCTAAGTTCCTAGAATGATCTCAACCAGGAGAACAGAGCGAGGAGGTTTTTCCTTCAGAGCAAGACTACACTGTATTCCCAAATATGATCTTTTATTTCTTAATCTCACAGATTCCTGTTGGGTGCTTGTCTATCTCCTAAAACTAACACCTCATTCATCTTATGAGAGAGAACTTCTTGTTTTTAGATCTAATTGATTGGAAAGGAAGAAATTAATTTTTGTCTATTTTACTGTTTTTCTCTATTACAAAATGGCATTATTCTTTTTATATATATAACACATATATAATATATAGGCATAATTCTTTATATATATAATATACATTATGTAAATTTTATATATATATATGGATTGAGGTGAGAGGTGGCGCTCCCTGGACTGAACCCTAGACCAGAACATCATAGGCATCAAGTTTGTTGCTGGACATATATACACACATACTCTAAGTTCTGGGATATATGTGCAGAACTTGCAGATTTGTTACACATATACACGTTATAGGTGTACACGTGCCATGGTGGTTTGCTGCACCCATTAACCCATCATCTACTTTAGGTACTTCTCCTAATGCTATCCCTCCCCTAGTCCTCCACCCCCTGATAGGCCCTCATGTGTGATGTTCCCCTCCCTGTGTCCATGTGTTCTCATTGTTCAACTCCCACTTATGAGTGAGAACATGCGGTATTTGGTTTTCTGTTCCTCTGTTAGTCTGCTGAGATTGATGGTTTCCAGCTTCGTCCATGTCCCTGCAAAGGACATGAACTCATCCTTTTTTATGGCTACATAGTATTCCCTTGTGTATATGTGCCACATTTTCTTTATCCAGTCTATCATTGATGGGCATTTGGGTTGGTTCCAAGTCTCTGCTATTGTGAAGAGTGCTGAAATAAACGTACATGTGTATGTGTCTTTATAGTAGAATGATTTATAATCCTTTGGTTATATACCCAGTAATGGGATTGCTGGGTCAAATGGTATTTCTAGTTCTAGATTCTTGAGGAATTGCCACACTGTCTTCCACAATGGTTGAACTAATTTACACTCCCACCAACGGTGTAAAAGCGTTCCTATTTCTCCACATCTCTCCGGCATGTGTTGTTTCCTGGCTTTTTAATGATCACCATTCTAACAGGCATGAGATGGTTATCTCACTGTGTTTTTGATCTGCATTTCTCCAATGAGCAGTGATGATGAGCTTTTTTTATATATTTATTGGCCACATAAATGTCTTCTTTTGAGAAGTGTCTGTTCATATCCTTTGCCCACTTTTTGATTTTTTTTTCCTGGTAAATTTGTTTAAGTTCTTTTTAGATTCTGAATATTAGCCCTTTTTCAGATGGATAGATTGCAAACATTTTTTCCCATTCTGTAGGTTGCCTGCTCACTCTAATGGTAGTTTCTTTTGCTGTGCAGAAGTTCTTTAGTTTAATTAGATCCCATTTGTCAGTTTTGGCTTTTGTTGCCATTGCTTTTGGTATTTCAGTCATGAAGTCTTTGTCCATGCCTATGTCCTGAATGGTATTGCCTAGGTTTTCTTCTAGGGTTTTTATCGTTTTAGGTCTTACGTTTAAGTCTTTAATCCATCTTGAGTTAATTTTTGTATAAGGCGTAAGGAAGGGGTCCAATTTCAGTTTTCTGCATATAGCTAGCCAGTTTTCCCAGCACTATTTATTAAACAGGGAATCTTTTCCCCATTCCTTGTATTTGTCAGGTTTGTCAAAGATCAGATGGTTGTAGATGTGTGGTGCTATTTCTGAGGCCTCTGTTCTGTTCCATTGGTCTATATATCTGTTTTGATATCAGTACATTGCTGTTTCGGTTACCATAGCCTTGTAGTGTAGTTTGAAGTAAGGTAGTGTGATGCTTCCAGCTTTGTTCTTTTTGTTTAGGATTGTCTTGGCTATGCGGTCTCTTTTTTGGTTCCGTATGAAATTTAAAGTAGTTTTTTTCTAATTCTGTGAAGAAAGTCAATGGCAGCTTGATGGGGACAGCATTGAATCTATAAATTACTTTGGGCAGTATGGGCAAAATGGCATAAGAGGTCAAGAATAACTGCATTACATGGAAATAATGTATTCTCAAATTTGGAGATTTTATTTTTATAAAGCAGAGTTGTTACTGAATATAGATTTGGATATTTGTTTTGCAAGGCAGTAATATTTTTTGTGTGCACGTTTTGGTTTGAGTTGGGTTTTCTGTTTTTAGAATTCTTCGGGGAGCACTCATATTTGGTTCTTGTTTTTGCAGTGGCTGTGGAACCATTCTGAACTTTGAAATATTTCATTGTAAAAATGTTTGCCCTTGGAGATTTAATCAACTAGAATTCATTTTTCCAAACACTGCAAATTTTGATTGTTTTTAAATGGCTGAAGTTTTTAGCCAAAAATCTGCTAACAATCTATCAGGTTCTCACTTAAGATATGGGATTGGACCAGTAATCTTGGAAGGTCTCTATAATTTGGTGCTTTTCAATGGGATCAGCCCATGTTTTGGGAAGACATGCTAGAGAGAGATGAAAAGACTGCCTGCTCTTGTACAATGTATTTGACTACCAAGGAGTTAGTAAGTGGAGCTATCATTTTTATGATATTGGTTTCGTTTTGCAGCTGGGAGTTAAAAAAAATTCTGCCGTAGCCTACCGCCTCATGACTTTGAGTCTGTCTGTATTACACCAAGACAACATAGAAGTTATGAGGTAAGTTACCTATATGACATCAAGTACCTGAATATTTGTAAACCTTTTGATAGCTTTGCATATTTTTCCAGTTTTCAGTCTATACATGTAGTACAGTGACTGAACCCAATGTGTGAATTCTGCTTCATGACGGTGATTCATTGCATAGTACAGACAGGTCATCAGACATCTAATTTCACGCCACTGCAATCCTAGACCCCGTATTTTCCTTACACCTTACCAATAATTATGTCATCATTACATAATGGCCACAGGGTTGTAAATATATACGTGGAGAAAGTTTCAAAATGACCAGAAGGCAGTTAAGTAAATTAATCAATTACAACCGAATTGTAGGTGCATTTTGCCATGAAGTTCCCTTTATACCATACCAGGTGCCTATTTTTCTGCCTAAGATGACTAACGAAACGTCAGGGGAGACAGCCACCATTTTCTGAAGGCTCCAAAGGCCTTTGGACCATCTGTCTACATCTCCACTGCCTAATGAAGGTTTCCCTTCTTTGGGGCACCTAAAGGAAATTTAAAATTCAAGCTAATAATAGGAAATACGTGTGATGGCATCCTTTGCACTTTCCCACAAGCTGCTCTTTCATTCAAATCCCTATTTAATTATGTTCGTGATCAGTCGTTTAGAGGAAGTGAGTAACTTGTTCCAAGGGTCTTGCATGGAGACTCTGTTGGCATGTCGCCCAGAAGCCATAGAGCAGAGACTAGTGAGGAAAATTTAAAATGGGTAGAATTAGGGCTTGGAGATCAGGGAGGCACAAACTTGGGACTCTTTACGTGCATTTTCTTAGCACATACGTTTCATGTTGGAAGCACAGCCAATTTGTCTCTCAGAAAAGTCTAAGCAACATAGCACACCCCATCTCTAAAAAAAAGGGTTTTTTTTAAATTAGCCAGTTGTGGTGGTGCATGCACAGCCACTGTCCCCCAAGTGAGCAGGAAGCCGTTTAGTGGTGCAGACACCCATCCCTCACTCTCCTCTTGCACTGGCATTTGAATTCCTCTTTAGAATTCAAAGAACATTCCATGTGCATCCTGTTTGCTCTCACAATAGCCTTAAGAGGTAGATAGGGCAAGAAATAGTATCTTCATGTTATTTTATTTATTTATTTAGAGACAGAGTCTCGCTCTGTCACCCAGGCTGGAGTGCAGTGCTGCAATCTCGATTTGCTGTAACCTCTTCTTCCTGGGTTCAAGTGATTCTTATGCCTCAGCCTCTCCTGAGTAGCTGGGACTACAGAGCTGCGCCACCACGCCCAGCTAATTTTTGTATTTTCAGTAGAGGCAGGGTTTCGCCATGTTGGCCAGGCTGGTCTTGAACTGCTGGCCTCAAGTGATCTGTCTGCCTCAGCCTCCTGAAGTGCTGTGATTACAGGCGTGAGCCACCGCGCCCAGCCAGTACCTTCATTTTGCATGTAAGGTAAGTGAAGCTCACTGATGCTCAGGACTTGCTTAAAGGCATGCTGGGAACCAGGTGTAGTGGTTCACACCTATAGCCCAGTGCTTCAGGAGGCCAAGGCAGGAGGATCCCTTGATACCAGGGATTTGAGACCAGCCTGGGCAGCAGAACAAAAGATAAGAATTAGTCAGGTGTGGAGGCACACGCCTGTTGTCCCAGCTACTCTAGAGACTGAGGTGAAACGATTGCTTGAGCCCAGAAGTTCAAGGGTGTAGTGGACTATGATCATGCCACTACACTCCATCCATTCTGGGCAACAGAGCAAGATCTTGTTTCTAAAGCAAAAACTAAAATAAAATAAAAGGCATGCTGGGTGGCTAAACTCCATCTCCTCTTTCCCTGGGGCTCCCCTGTGGGATGCCCTCTTCCAAAGTCCTGCTAGAATTTGAATCAGGACTCTCAGAGGGCACCCACCAGAGGACCCCAATGAGGGGATGGAAACAAATTAACCTCCACCATCACCAGCCCTATGCCCTGGGATTTGTGTGCATGCTCTCATTTAGTCCCTTCCACCTAAGAGGAACCATCATCCACATTTAACTCTGAGGAAAGTAGGGCTTAGAAAAGTTTAGTGACTTTTCCAAATTCACACAGCTAGTACGTAGTGAAGCTTATTCATTACACACGTCCCTGGTGTTTGAATTATGCCATCCTGACATCACCACAACTCAGAGGGCCAGAGGGGCTCTTGATCTTATCTGCTCCCGCTCTCCCATTTCACACATCTGGAAACTGAGGCCCTGGTGTTTGACGCATACTTGCCCAAGTAATGGCTGTGTTGTGCTGAAGCTCCAGCCTCCTGATCCTCATCCTATTACTCTTTTCACTGTCCCATAGTGGGCTGCAGAGGAACTGTTGAGGTCCTGGTGCTGTCTGTGACCAAGGAAAACGGTGGCTTCCCATTCCAAGGTCTGGCCTGGAGCCCTGAACTGTGGTGGTCCCCCTGCGATGGCGGGACACAGGCGTTCCAGCCCTTTTACCTGGCCTAGCTTCCAATTACTACTCCTACTTTTGCAGCTAACTCCACATAACCTGTCCCCAACACTTTCCTCCCCTTCTCCTTTCCCCTTACACATTTCTACTCCACATGTTTGTAAAGGTCTGAGTGTGTGGTGAATGTTACGAGAACTTGACATGCTGGAGGAAAATAAAAATCAGTTTCATCTTCCTTTCAGCATGCCCCATTTTCAGCAAGTGGTTTTTGTTTTTTGTTTTGTTTTTAGAGACAGAGTCTCGCTCTGTCATACAGTGCAATGGCATGATCATAGCTCACTGCAGCCTCGAAATCCTGGGATCAAGCAATCCTCCCACCTCAGCTTCCTGAGTAGCTTGGACTACAGGCATGTAACACCATGCTGGGCAATTTTTTTTTTTTTTTTTTTTTGGCAGAGATGGGATCTTGCTATGTTCCACAAGCTGGTCTCAAATCCCTGAGCTCAAGCGGTCCTCCTGCCTCAACCTCCCAAAGTGCTGGTAGGCCTCAGCAACTGTTTTGATTCTGGTATTTACATCTCAACTAAATCTTGTGTGGAAAGCTGTGGGTGGAGAGGAGCTGGAGGGTCTTGACCTGAACTTTGGTTCAGGTGACCTTTCAAGTTTCACATGAAATGTAAAAATACCCTGGCTGCACTTAAATCATTGCCTCCCTTACATAACATGTTTATAGTCATAAATCCAATTCTGTAGCCATTTTACACATAGAAGTCACAGTTAGGACTCCAGGGGCCACTACAAGCAGGAAGCAAAGCCACGGCTTCATACAGGAGGCTTTGGAAACCCAGTTCCCTTTTCTCACTTTTGACATTTGAGCTAGGCCCACCATTCCCATCTCCTTTAAATAAATGCGATTGCCCATTGATATGGTTGGGCTGTGTCCCCACACAGATCTCCTCTCGAATTGTAATCCCTATAATCCCCACACGTCGAGGGCGGGGCCTGGTGGGAAATTACTGGGTCATGGGGATGGTTTCCCCCATGCTGTTCTCATGAGAATGAGTTCTCACTAGATCTGTTGGTTTTATAAGGGGCCCTTCCCTCTTCACTCACTCCACTTCTTTCCTCCAGCCTTGTGAAGGAGGTGCCTGCTTCGCCTTCCTCCATGATTGTAAATTTCCTGAGGCCTCATCAGCCATGTGGAACTGTGAGTCAATTAAACCTCTTTCCTTTATAAATTACCCAGTCTCGGGTATTTCTTTATAGTAGTGAGAGAATGGACTAATAAACCCATTTAGGATTTTCTAGTTCACAAGACACCTTTCTGTTTTTTCTCTGTCCTCTTCTAGACTACAGAATCCTGGCGAGGAACCTATTCCTATATTTACCTCCATCTCTCTGGTACCTGGCCTAAGTCTACACAGTAGGTATGTAAACATTGTTGAACAAATATATGCTGTTCTTATCACAAGTGTTGGTAGTAGGATTACCAGTGTCTATGTTTTACGTAAGAGAAAGCAGCTTCCAAAAAAGGTTGGGATCTGTTCAGGCCTCAGCTTCGAAGTGCAGGCCTTCTAATAATAGAGACTGAATTTTTCCACTTATGTCTGGCTACATGCAACAGACGCAGCTTTGAATTTGGAGCTTCTGTGTTCCTTCTTGCTAGATCCAGGAATGGAAGTGGGTTAGGTGCCTGTTTGCTGGCCTTGTGATTAACACAGCATCACTTGACCTCTAGGACATTCTTGTTGATTTCTGTGGGCCATTCCCATTGGCAGCTGGGGTGGGAGGCAGGGGCAGGTGTCTAAATAGAATAAGGCTACTCTAACTACCTTAGAGTTTTACAGAGCCTCAAATAAGAGAATGGGTGTGAAAACTTTTTTTTTTTAATTTGTAAGAACACTATACCAAAAGGCATACTGTTAATAATGATTGCTGGGCACAGTGGTTCACCCTTGTAATTCCAGCATATTGGGTGGCCAAGGCAGGAGGATGGTTGAGCCCAGGAGTTCAAGACCAGCCTGGGCAACACGGCAAAACTCTCTCTACAAAAAATAACAAAAATTAGCCAGGCATGCTGTCATGCACCTGTAGTTCCAGCTACTCAGGAGACTGTGGTGGGAGGATCACCTGAGCCTGGTGAGATCGAGACTGCAATGAGCCATAATTGCACCCCTGTACTCCAGCCTAGGTGACAGAGTGAAACCTTGTCTCAAAATTAATAGTAAAAATGATGATAAATAAATTATTAGGTTCATTTACCGTTAGGCTCTTGTATTCACTTTTCATAGTGTGAATAAGTTTGTGCTGTCAAATCTTGCTCACACTGGCCTAGGCAATTCTCTGACTTCCTGGATTCCTCTAGAATTTACTTTGTATTTTCACATGTTTTGTAGTGGTTTGCTCCAGTGGATGTCTACTTCTGGACTTTTTCATTTTAGGACTTCCTGGTTTTAGAGTACTGCCTTGTGTGCCTGCCACTTTCAGGTTTTGGAGGAGAGTACATATTAGGCAATTTTTCCCTTTTATTTAACCTTTTCTACCACAATTGAGCAACTTAAGAAACTGTTCTCTGATATTTCTCAGTCTTAACAGTGACACAAGTTCTATGGGGCAATATTATTCTATTTTAAAATGTCTTTATCTTACTCAATTCACTTGGCTTGCTGTTTGCCTGATTGGCTAGACATTGGAAACTGTGGAAGACATTTTCACAATGGTTTGACATTTCAAACTCCATGCAAATGTTGAAAACTAGGAAACTTCCAGAAACCCTAATGTCAGACCAAAATTTAATTTAAAATGTTTAATACATGAGCTATTCAAATGTTTCCAGATTTATCCTGAAATCTGCTCCAGGAGTTCTGTACATCTCATGTTGCAGGTAAGAAATGGAAGCCGGACACACAGTGGGTTGTTTAGGGTCATGAACTCTGGTGGGAGGAGAATCTCAGACGCCTGGCTGAGTTTCCCTAAGTCGCACCACCTGCCTTGCAGTGGTCTGGGCACCTGTTGCTGCAGAGAGTTGCCAACCCCATATCCTGTGAGTCTCCGTCCTTGAGCACCAAGTATCTAATCACTCTTTCTCTCTCAGGGCTGCGGTGCTGTGAAGATTTCGGCATCCTGCACTCATGGCCATGTTTAGTCTATGGTCACATTGACACTAGAGAGTTTCAGGGACCAGTGCAGTATGCCCAGGTCTGACATGGGCTTCCAAAATGTATGTGAACAGAGTAAGAATGATACTTTTTTGCTTTTCAAAATATTTCACAGCTTAGGTGGCACTTACCCTTATCCCTTCTTTTCTGTCTTTACTGATAAATACTCATCACCTTAGATTATTTTAACATCTAACAACTTTCAGTTGCAATTAGAAAATATCTTTAGACATGTTAATTATAAAAATATTCTTCATTTATGAAATTGATTACGCCTAGTGACTTCATTCACCAATTGTCTCAAAATCTTGCCTTTAAACTACCCTCAGGAGGAATCTCCATGTTCACAAAAGAAAAGAGGGCAAAGGCCAGGCACAGTGGCTCACACCTATAATCCCAGCACTTTGAGAGGCTGAGGTGGGAGGATTGCTTGAACCTAGGAGTTCCAGACCAGCGTGGGCAACATGATGAAACCCCGTCTCTACTAAAAATACAAAAAAATTAGCTGGGCGTGGAGGTGCCCCTGTGGTCCCAGTTACTTGGGAGGATGTAGTGGAAGGATTATCTGAGCTTAGGGGGTTGAGGCTGCAGTGAGTCACTGCACTCCAGCCTGGACAACAGACCCAGACTCTGTCTCAAAGAAAAGAAGAGAAAAGAAGGAAAGGGAGGAGGGAGGAGGGAAGAGGGAGAAGGGAGAAGGGAGAAAGGAGAAGGGAAGGGAAGGGAAAGGAAGGGAAGGGAAAGTGGGCACAGAAGGAAAGCCGAGTGGAAGGGAAAGTGGGCACAGAAGGAAAGCCGAGTGGGAATAGAAGCAAAGCCAGAGGTGTCCCTCTTATCTCTCAGAGTGTTCTATATTTATAAATCCATTGAGTCCATTTTCCCTATGCCTTTAGAGAAATCACTGAGTCTCTGGGGGCAGGGTGGGGACTTGGGTAAATTCAGTTAAAGGTGATTTTAGAAATACTCTGTTCTCTGACGTAAGCCACCCTTGCTCTGGTGGGCACCTGGTTCACCTCTGAGCAGCAGTGACCATCTGAAATGCTCCTTTATGCTGAATCCAAATCTCAGTTCCCCTCATGTTATTTATTGAAGAAAATAATCCCTGTGCCTGAAACAGGTACTATGAAAGATATTACCTTTCTATTTATAGAAATTATAATTATAGAAATTATAATCTATTTATAGAGATTATAATTATAGAGATAAAGAAAATGTCTCTTTGCTTTCCAGTTAATCTGAGTGTAGCCACGTTGGAAACCATGCCTTAAAAAGCGAATTACAAAGATGAATACAGTGACAAATACAGTACAATTTGATAAAGTTATTTGGACATGGAAATCCCCATGGAGTACTGGCCGCATAAACTGTGAACTTAGGCAAAGCACCACTGTCGCAAATGTGACACTTTACCCAAATTATAGGCCTTGGGCAAAAAGCAAGTAACTTCAGAATCCAAACTTGCAAATATGCTAACACACACAAGGGCTTTAAGTAGCTGTAGGATCAAAGGCAAGATTTTAAAACTCAGGTTGATTGGGATGTAATTTGCATAGTAAAATTTACCCATGTTAGTATGAGTTTTGATCAATGCATTCAGCCATCATGATATAGAACAGTTCCATCATCCAGAAAACTTCTCTGGTGTGCTTTTGTAATCAACCCCTCCCCTCACTGCCAAGCCTTGGCAACCACTGGTTCATAATCTGTATAATTTGAAGACAGGATTCTTAATCTTTGTAAGTCTTGGTTTTCTGATTCATCATATGAGAATACTAACACCATCATCTCTGTCATAGAGTTGTTGAAACGATTAAGTAAGATCATACATGTAAAATGCTTGGTACATGCGTGGTGCAACAAGCACTAAATAAGTCTTAGTGATTTATTATTATTATTAAAATGCTGAGTATTGAGAAGTTGTAACCCAGAAGACACAATAGCATAAGTAAGAGTAAGTTCGAGTTTGTAAAACACAATCTTCCATGTAATATAGAAGCTTTTTTTTTTGAAAAACAGAGTCTCATTCTGTCGCCCAGGCTGGAGTGTAGTGGCACAATCTCAGCTCAGTGCAAGCTCCACCTCCCAGGTTCAAGCAATTCTTCTGCCTCAGCTTCCCAAGTAGCTAGAATTACAGGCATGCACCACTAAACCCAGCTAATTTTTTTGTGTATTTTTAGTAGAGATGGGTTTCACTATGTTGGCCAGGCTGGTCTCAAACTCCTGACCTCAAGTGATCCACCTCAGCCTTCCAAAGTGCTGGGATTACAGGCGTGAGCCACCATGCCCGGCCAAGAAACATTTTATATGGTACTCTGACAATCGGTGGCCAAGCCTAAATTAGAATGCCTCCAATAGTGGGAAACTCAGGGTTTCTCCAGGCAGTTTATTACATGGTTGGACAGTAATGGTTATTTAAATGTTTCTTTTTGCCTTTCCATACCTTTTACTCAGAAATCACAAGTACAATTTCTCTATCAAATAATGTCTTGAAATATTGGAAGAGAGTAACCTCACCTCTCCTTAGTCCTATTCCTGAGATTTTTCCCCACTAAAGAAGACCAAAAAAAAAAAAGGTAAAACTAGGTGTTATTTTTAGGTGCTGAAAGGATATTGATTGTACCTCGGTATATAAACTAGTGTTCTAAGAGAATTACTCAAAGATGAATGCACTCTAAATAGAGGTAATTATTCCTCTACCCCTAAGCTGTTTAAATCTTGGTTGAAGAATAATTTATCAGGGATGCAGTAAGATCTGGAATATTATATTGGTAGTTGAACGAAGTAATTGCTAAGTTCCTTCTAGCCTGAGGGATATGATTCTACATACATTTGTTCTTACTGTCATATTCCTATGTGACAGTTAATTTCATGCGTATCTTGACTGGACCGTGGGGTTCCCAGATATTCGGTGTTTCTGTGAGCGTGCTTTTCATGAGATTGATGTTTAAGTGGGGAAACTGAGTAAAGCAGATTGCCCACTCTAATGTGGGTGGACCTCATCTAGTGGGTTGAAGGCCTGCATAGAACAAAAAGGCTGACCCTCCCTGAGAAGGAGAGAATGCTCTCCTTCTATGTGATCATCTTCACTCTGGTACATCAGCCTTTTTTCTGCCTTCAGACTTGAACTTGAACTGAAACATTGGTTCTTCCTGGGTCTCAAGCCTGCCATCCTTGAGACTAAAATTGCACCATCAGCTCTCCTGGTTCCCAGGCCTGTGGCCTCAGATTAGAAACAAAGCATCGGTTCTCCTGGGTCTCCAGCCAATTCACCCTGCAGATCTTGTGATTTATCAGCCTCCATAATTGCATGAACCAATTCCTCATAATATATCTCTTTCTCTACATATATACATCATATTGGCTCTGTTTTCTCTGGAAAACCCTAATGCACTCTAAAATATTTTATCCAAAATTTCACAGAGTCATATGAATCATCCTGACTTCTTCGAGGTGATTCCTTGCCTTGTGCTTAGAAATCCATGTATCTTCCTTGAGCTGTTTAATCAAACTCATCTCAAGTTTTTGCTAACCCATTTGGATAACAGAAAATGCACATGAGAACCTCTTTAACATTTTTAAGGTGCTGTCAAACTTTATGTAGTCAGAATCCTTAAATTGCACCTCAAAACATAATTTTAACTATTTCCAATGGAAATTTGTCTAAATTGCATTTATGCTATGGTCATACTTTTTTACAGTTTAACTATAATTTATGCTTACCTGTCTTTTTTTATTACTGCTGAAGATTTCACATTTGGGGCAAGACTCAGCATTATTGGGTGCAGTGGTTAATGCTTGTAATCCTAGTACTTTGGGAGGCTGAGGCAGGCGGCTCACTTGAGGTAAGGAGTTTGAGACCAGCCTGACCAACATGGCATCTGCTAAAAATACAAAAAAAAAAAAGAAAAATTAGCAGGATGTGGTGGCTCACGCCTGTAATCCCAGCTACTCAGGTGGCCGAGGCACAAGAATCACCTGAATCCAGGAGGCAGAGGTTGCAATGAGCCTAGATTGCACCACTGTACTCCAACCTGGACGACAGACTAAGACTATGTCTCGAAAAAATATATATTAATTGGAGGCTGGGTGTGGTGTCTCATACCTGTAATCCCAGCACTTTAGGAGGCTGAGGTGGGAGGATCACTTGAAGCCAGGAATTTGAGACCAGCCTAGGCAACATAGCAAGACCTCATCTCTGTTTTTTAAAAAAGTAAAAGAATATAAATTGAGATACTGAGTTGTAACAATAATATTCGCAGGGACAAGTATAGGAATGGATCTTTGTCCCTAAATAAAATGCTCCCAAACAACTGTTTGTGTGTGTGCACTTGCATATATAGGATTTCTGCTTTTTTTCCTGCATCCTTGATCTCAAATAGTAGTCACAGTGCACTTACCTGTAGTAAGTCTGTCTTTTTTAAAATTTATTATGGCTTCAAAATCACATATCTAAGCTTATTAGAACAAAGTATCAAACAAGAATACATAAGTTCTGAGTGAGGGACTAAGGTATAAAATTCATCAACCCTCATGCATGGTGCTTATATAATGTTTATTTCTGCAGTTCAGAGTAGTTTAAAAATAACTTCTGGTTCTCTCTTGTATTGTGGGAAGAGGGGGTTGAGGCTGTGAGTGACTTGAGATCAGGTGAAATCTGGAATTATTTCTCCAATAATAACCAAAGTGAGTTTCTCACCTTCACATCCAGGATTAGCAGGGGCGCTGCATCCACAGCAGCATCTGCCGTTGCTGTGGGGGGACCGGCAGGTGCACGGAAAGCAGCATTCTTTTGGTATCAAGAAAGAAGCCGGGCCAGAGTTTGATTTATATGCCAGATATCTTGGCCACCTTTACTCGTTTTTGATAATTATGTCATTCAGTGAATATTATTTCAAAGAAAACTGTTAAAAATGCTAGATTCAAACAAGTCAGAAAGGAAACTGATGGGAGAATTCACACCAGCAGTACTCCCCTTTGGAAAGATGAAGTGGAGAAATGGGAGTCCAGAGAAAGAACTGAAGGCTGTTTGTAGAAGACAAAATCTGCAAGAAGCAGGAAGGATGGGCTTATTTTTTCTTATGCTCATTTGTCACTGGCTTCTCCTTTATCCTGGGAGGTACATTTGGCTCTTTGTTCCTGGTAAAAGGTGTTCTTGGATCTTGCATGGTGGCATCATGCCAGGTGTGGCATCAGGAGGAAGCTGTGGGGTCACTGAGGTCAATGGTAAAAGCTGCAACCAGAAAAAAATGGGCTTCCTGGAATCTGCTGGACACCCTCCATCAGTGGCCCCGGCAGGACTTGTTCCCTTGGACTGCCAGGAACTGTGCTCCTGAGCTCTGCGCTTGGTGCCCAAACACCTCTCGAGAAGAGAATTTCTAGATTTCAGTGTGCATAGAGATCATTTGGGACCCCACTAAAGTACAGGTTCTGACTCAGTAGGTCTGGGCTGGGACTGGAATTTCTAACAAGCTTCCCGGTGATGCTCATATGAATCGCACAGGGGCCTCTCCTTGAGTAGCAATGTTTTTGATTATTTCAACTAACTGATTATTTGAATTAGCTAGGAATCTTGAGAGGAAAGGAAATGGTAGTTATAAAATAAACCAAGTGCTGAACTCCACAATGTTAGTGCTAAAGGGACAGAGAGAACATCCACAAAAGGGAGGCCCAGAGAACTGTGTTTCCCCAGCACTCATCCCTAGTGAGGGGTAACAGTGCTGAGAGCCAGAGGCCAGGCCTCTTGATTTCCCGAGCAAGACTTTCCAGGTCACTGTGTTGTTCCTTGTGATAGACGGGTCTGGAAAATACTGAAAGAGAGAGGACCCTAGAACTGAAGAGAGAGGTGGAATAAAAATATGAAGAGCCTCAAAAGAGGAGAAAAGCAACTGAGAGAAAAAGTGACAAGTGGCAGGAGTAAAAAAGTCTGGCTGCATGGGTGGGGTCAGTAGGAAGTCCTCTAATGATTGGAATCAAGGATATTGAAAGATCCTGACCCCAAACTTTCTTCCAGTTGATATTACAAGTCTGGAACCATTAAAAAATGGACTCTGTTGAATCTCCTGACACCTTCCCACAGCCTCCATTTACTCCTAACTTCCCATTGGCAATGTCTCTTCCTCGTTATGAATGGCTCTCTTATGGTGAGGTTCTTTTCAACTGAACATTCCTGTCTTAGTATTGGCTGCTGTAACCCAATAGCATAACTTGATGGCTTACACAACAAGCATCTATTTATCACAGTTCTGGAGTCTAAGATCAAGATCAAGATGCCAGCAGATTCGGTGTCTGATGAGGGTCCGCTTCATGGCTTGTAGGTGACCAGCTTCTCTCTGTATTCTCATGTGGCAGAAAGAGGATGAGTGAGCTCTCTGGGGGTTCCTTTTATAACGGTGCTGATCCCATTCATGAGGGCTACACCCTCATGACCTAAGCACCTTTCAAAGGCCCCACCTCCTAATATCATACCTTGAGGGGGTTAGCATTTCAGCATTTAAATTCTATGGGGACACAAACATTCAGGTCATCGCAACTACTGAGAAATTTAATACCTGTCTTTATCCTCTTGGCAAATACATGTAAAAGATGCTTATTTGGGAAAGACAGAAGCATCTTTGGCATGTTGGCAAGGGTAGGGGTGGAGGAGAGAAGCTGCAGAGCTGAGATGAGAAACAGGGAAGAACCTTGAAGGCAGCAGGACATTTTCACTAAAGAGCGAACTGCAATGCATTTGCCTCAGTGCCAGGAACCCCAGAGAAGAAAAGATGATACTCAAGAAGTGTCTGCTTAGCAGAAGAATTAGAGGCAAAGCCGTGTGCTCCCTGTGTTGGTTCCTGCTCTGCTCTTCATGTGAGCATTCCAGATCCTGAGCCTTGAGGCCCTAGAATATTCACCACGAAACTTACAGTCGAAGCTCAAATGGTGCCAACACTGTAAATATAGCGTTCACATTCTCCTTCACTGTGAAGACAAATGAGGGTAATGAATCTAGGCGTTCTCTTCTCTCAGAATATTTGGCATTTGAAAGCACTTCACATTTCTATCATTTACTTGTGTGTGTAGACACCTACTTCCAAAACAAAAACACAGTTGGCCCTTGAACAACATGCAGGTTAGGGGTACCAATCCCCCACCTAGTCAAAAATCCATGTATAACTTTTGACTCCCCCAAAACTTAAATACTAACAGCCTACTGTTGACCAGAAGCCTTACCAATAACATGTTCTGTATGTTACACGTATTATATACTGTATTCTTCCAGTAAGTGAGCTAGAGAAAAGAAAACGTTATTAAGAAAATCTTAAGGAAGAGAAAAAGTATTCACTATTTGTTAAGTGAAAGTGGATCATCATAAAGGCCTTCACCATCACTGGAGTAGGCTGAGGAGGAGGAGGAAGAGGAGGGGTTGATCTTGCTGTCTCAGGTGTGGCAAAAGTGGAAGAAAATTCACCTATAGGTGGAACCACATGGTTCAAACCAGTGTGGCTCTAGGGTTAACTGTAATGATGACATATTAAAGCCATCACAAATTTTAAAGTAAGTCATCCGTTATTGTGCTTTATTAATAAACAAGAATCTCCTCTTCAATTGTCCTTCCCTCCTTCCATCTCTCTTTACCTCTTTTTCTTTCTTCTTTCCTTCTTTTCTTCTTCCTACCTTTCTTTCTTCCTTTTTTTTTGAGATGGAGTCTCACTCTGTCACCCGGGCTGGAGTGCGGTGGCCCGATCTTGGCTCACTGTAAGCTCCACCACCCAGGTTCACGCCATTCTCCTGCCTCAGCCTCCCAAGTAGCTTGGACTACAGGAGCCAGCCACCACACCTGGCTAATTTTTTGTATTTTTAGTAGAGATGGGGTTTCACTGTGTTAGCCAGGATGGTCTCGATCTCCTGACCTCGTGATCCACCCGCCTGGGCCTCCCAGAGTGCTGGGATTACAGGCATAAGCCACAGCGCCCAGCCTACCTTCCTTTCTTTGTTTCATCCCTCCTTCTCCCCTCCCTTCCTTTCATTCTTTCTTCCTTTGATTTAGTTGGAGTTCAGAGAAAATCCTAGTCTTGTCAAAATTAACTTTGATTCTTGATAGGATAATAAGTCTCCTCTAGAAAATAAAAGTTTACTAAGCAGAAACAACTTTGAAAGCAACTACCCATTTTTCAATGCAATCTACTTTCTGTTTTAGAGAAGTTCTTTTTCAAAATTAAGTGTCCTGCTAACTAAGCTCTCAGGCTATTAGTTGAAGTGAATGAAATTCCAAAGATTTTACTTTGGCTTTTGTGTGGTTTATGCTTTCTAAATTTCCTTCACAAAGAATAGCCTGTAAAATTGTCTAGAAAGTGATCCCTTTGGGGAAATATTTACTCTTGAGTATTTTTATTCTAAAAACAAGAGCTTGATGTTTAATGAACAGTTTTGCTTAAGTGGAACCATAGAAACTCTTACAGGGCTGTGTTTATGTTCTCTGAGATTCGTTGAATTTTCTAGAAGAAGGAGGTCTTAGAGAAAAATCAGGATTATGGTATGTGATCAGTGCTATGCCCTATATTTCCTATAAAGCCAGTGTGCATTGCATGCCATTATTTTCTCTAACTGAACCACTTAATGTGTATTTCTATGTAGGGCCATGCAAACCTGCCTCTTCTCAGGTTACGTACTTAATTTTCTCAATTTTAGAAGCCAGCAAAGTGGAAGGAATAGGCATCTGGCATCAGACAGAACTGGATTGTCATCCAGTGTCTGCCATGACTGGCTATGTGACCTTGAGAAATATTTTGAAACTGGCTGAGACCCAGTTTCTGTCTATAAAATCAGGGTAATAAAATCCCTCAGGCTTCTTGGGAAGAGTAAGTGAGATAAATGCAGTCAATATTGAAAAAAGGAAGAATATAAAATATGAAGTGAGACGTACTATAAAATTAGAAGACCAAAAGAGAAGGAACTAACATTCTTAGATTCAAATAGCTCAGATGTTCTTAAGGAAGCTTGAGAAATTGTTTAATTATTATGCTTATTTCTCTTACAAGTTTTCAGAAATGAAAATGACAACAAAATTAGAAAACATCTCTAAAATCTTGAATTATGTTGGAATAGTCAAAAGCTTCAACCAGAATTTTAAAGAGTAGTCATTTGTTATTTATGGAATATCTTATTTTGGGTTCCCCTGAATGCAGAGCTTGAGGCAAGGGTTTGAGTACAAGTATGTTAGTTTGGAGGTGCGGTGGCAGAATTCTAAAGATTATCCTTCAAAATTTCCCATTCTAATTTCTGGAACAGTGAATATGGTTGAGATAGCATGATGGGGATTATGTTAACATTATATTGCCAAAGGGACTTTGCAGATGTGATTGAGTTGCTAATCAGCTGTCTTTGAGTTAATCAAAAAGGAGATTGTCTAGGTAGGCCTAATCTAAGAAATGAGCCCTTTAACAGCAGAAAGTTTTCTCCAGTTGATTGCAAAAGGGGAAGACAGATTCAAAACCCAGGAAGGAACTGACATGCCATGACAGGCTTTGGAAATGGAGGGAGACAGGCAGAAAGGAGCTGAGAATGACCCCCTGGCTGACAGTCAGGAAGCAGGCACCTCAGTCCCACCACTGCAAGAAACTGGATTCTGCTAACAAACTGAACAATCTTGGACGCAGATTCTTCCCCAAAGCCTCCAGAGAAGTGCCCAGCCTGGTGGAGACTTGATCTCAGCCTTGCACTATTCTAACCTGAGAACCCAGTCAATCCCAGTCAGACCTCTGACCTACAGAACAGGTAATGCATCTGATACAGGTAATAAATAGGTGGTAATCTGTAATGCAGCAATAAAACTCTGATACTGGAGGTGATCTCAGGAAGCAGGAGTAAGGGAGTGGAGAGTGAAGAGGGAAAGAGGAAAGCTAATATAAGTATGCCTGATGGGAGGTTGTGGTTGGGAGCAATGAGAGCTTGATGATCCTGTGATCTCCTAAGAAGCATGCAGAATGCCATCCAGAATTATCCATCGAAAGCCGTGAGATGACAGCATCTACCTGCTGGCTCCACCCAGCTCAGACCCCCACCCCTACTTAGGTTAGGGGGACTTAATTACCGGCACTCAAAAGCTATCCTTGCAGCACAGTGTGGAAGTATCCAGAGTGGAGCAGGGGAAAAATGCAGAAAGATTTTTTTTTTCTAGCTGAAGGCTGGACATACAAAATCAGTCTGAGTTTGCACAGAATGTTCTAGAAAGCTGTAGTTGAAAATAGAATTAGGTGAAAGTCTAATGAATAGACTGGTTAAAATAAAATAGCAATAAAAATAAATAAGAAATAAAAATTCTAAAGAGTCAGGTCTGAGCCTCAGAGAGGAGAGGGGTCTCACTGAAAGGAGGCAAGTATGTGGACGTCAGGGTCAGAGTGGCCACTCCAGCCCCGAGATGACAGTGCAGCCTCTCTCCACTGCCCCTGGAGCTTCAGCCTTGTAGGAAACACTGTGTTAAACCAATGAACTCAAGGTGGGAATGCAAATTAGTTCAGCCACTGTGGAAAGCAATTTGGCAATTTCTCAAAGAATGTGAAACAGAATTACCATTTGACCCAGCAAGCAATCCCATTACTGGCTGTATACCCAAAGGAATGTAAATCGTTCTACCATAAACACACAGGCATGCATATGTTCATTGCAGCACTATTCACAATGGCAAAGACATGGAATCAACCTAGATGCCCATCAATGGCGGACTGGATTAAGGCAATGTAGTACTTATACACCATGGAATAATACACAGCCATAAAAAAAGAATGAGGTCATGTTTTTTGCAGCAACATGGATGGAGCTGGGGGCAATTATCCTAAGCAAACTAACACCGGAACAAAAAAACAAATACCACATGTTCTCACTTATAAGTGGGAGCTAAACATTCAGTACATATGGACACAAATAAGAGAACAACAGACACCGGGGCCTACGTGAGGGTGAAAGGTGGGAGATGGTGAGGATTGAAAAGCTACCTATCAGGCACTATGCTTATTACCTGGGTGGCGAAATAAGCTGTACACCCAAAATGTTCCACCCACCTTTTGGGCCACATTATTCTATGTATTATACCAAACTAGAATACAAGGCTGTTTCTACCCTCTAAGTTCATTTCACACTTAAACATATAGTGCTTTCAACTAGAAATAGATTTCAGGGTTATGGTGTACTAGCAAACCAAAATCATACAAAGCTTAGCATTGTTCACAAAGAATTAAATACCAGGATAGCTGGGGAAAGGTGATATTGGGCTGATTACCTGTATTTTCAAGTTTGCGAACTCTCCACAATTCATTTTGAGTAATCTAGAAACTTGTTAGCTTTTCCTCACTTGTGGCATATCTCTCTGGCTTCTGAAGTTGGAAGGGAATAGGAAAAGAATGGACAAAACAATCTGATCCCCAAATTTCTTGCTGACAAGTCTAGCTTCTTGTTCCAGGTCAGTCATCCTAATCTACACCTATTTTTAAAGCAGTAAGTCTGTTACTTCTCTTAATACTAAGCATTTAGACATCTTATCTTGAGTAATTGAACTTACATAGCAACTAAGACTTAATAAAGTCTCTGATAAAGCTTTATCTTTGTACCCTAAAGTGAGGTTGGTAAGCTTTTCTGAGCATCTTATCTTAAATTTGATTTCAATTTCAGTTTCAGCAATTTAGACTTGGTTTTTTAGGTGCTCCAATTACTCTTAAAATAATCTATTCACCATGCTGGGCTAGCATTCTCATTATATTTGAGCTTCATTCTAAGTACCTGGATTTATAACAAAGGAAAACAAGAAAGTGATAGTTCACTTCACAAAAGGTTGAACAAAGACAGCTTAAAATAGAGTTCCATTAAAATGACTTCAAACATTCTGCAACAAAGAACTTCCTGCAATACATCTAAAGGAGTATATTTTATTAATTCAAAGGCATACTTTTTTTAAATGTTTTGGCAACTATGAAATTGGGATGTATCTTACATTGCTGTTGGCCAGAGAGCATTTGTAATGTACAGATCTTTGCCTGTGTATGCACAAACATAAAAAATGCCAGCATCAAAACTTGTGGAGTGACTAAGTCTGACACAGCCTGATTTCTCCCTCTTTCACCACTGCCCTCCCCTTTTGAGAGCTCGCTCCAGATATAGGGGCCTGACTGAGGGTCTAGGTTTGGTTGTGCATCTTTGTACCATCAATTCAGTATGCTTGGAATGCATCTTCCTCCAATATCATTATAATCATCATTCTTATTCCAGTTGTGAAACCTGAAAATTTGAGACCGGTCTCAGTTAATTTAGAAAGTTTCTCTTGCCAAGGCTGAGGACACACACACACCCATGACGCAGCCTCAGGAAGTCCTGACAACATGTACCCAAGGTGATCGGGGCACAGTTTGGTTTCACACATTTTAGCAAGACATGAAACATCAGTCAATATAAGTAAGAAGTACGTTGGTTCCATCCAGAAAGGCGGGGACAACTTGAAGCAGGGAAGGGACTTCCAGATCACCGGTAGGTTGCATTCTTTGAGTTTCTGAGAAGCCTTTCCAGATCAGCATATGCATCTGTCTCAGTGAGCAGAGTGACTTTGAATAGAAATGGGGGGCAGACTTGCCTTGAGCAGTTCCCAGCTTGAATTTTCCTGTTAGCTTAGTGATTTTGGGGGCCCAAGATATTCTCCTCTCACACAATCTCAGCCTAAAATGTCTACTTAAACACATAAAGTAGCTGTCCAGTCTAGTCATTACATATCTGTACTCACTCACCACTATCTGAAATTTTTCTTGCTAGTTACTGATTGATTGACTGACTGACTGAATGATAGATTGATTGATTATCTCCCCTTCCCAGAATGCAAGCTCCTGCTGAGTTATTCTGCCTGCCTGTATCACTGCTGTATCCCTAACACCGAGAGCAATGCCTTGCACATGTGGTGCTTCACAAGCACGTGTGGAAAGTAAGAATATATGTCAACTTTATTTTAGTCCACATAATACATAATACGGGTGTTACCAAGACCAGTTTTTTTTTTTTTAATACTTAATTTTATTGAGTCAAAGGGAAAAAAAGGAGAAAACACAATTGAGCAGACCTGGCTGGTGTGGCAACTTGTGTTGTGTTAGATGTCAAGGAGAGAAACCCCTTGATATGGTTTGGCTGTGTCCCCACCCAAATCTCATCTCGAATTGTAATCCAAATTGTAATCCCCACGTGTGGAGGGAAGGACCTGGTGGGAGGTGATTGGATCATGGGGCAGTTTCTTTCATGCTGTTCTCATGATAGTGAGTGAGTTCTCATGAGATCTGGCTGTTTGATAAGTGTCTGGCACTTCCCCCTTCTCTCTGTCTCCTGCCGCCATGCAAGACTTGCCTTGCTTTCCCTTCACCTTTCGCCATGATTGTAAGTTTCCTGAGGCCTCTTCAGCCATGTGGAGTGTGAGTCAATTAAACCTCTTTTATTTATAAATTACCCAGTCTTGGGTAGTATACAGCAGTGTGAAAATGGACTAATATATCTTTCCCCATTTCCAGTTTTTAAGCCTCTTAATGCCAGTTTCTAAAGCTCCTCTCTGCTCTCTCTGCTTCATGGAAAGCAAGTCCATGTCTCTTTGTTCCATGTCTCAAGAAATAACCAGAAGTGAGCAAAATTCCTGCACACACATTTATTCATGAGTACAAGTGTTTTCGAGTGAATAAACATACACACATTAAGGGAGAGATTTCATAATCCCACCCAGTGACTGTGGAAGAAATGGAATGATTCCAAACAGCTCTATGGACCAGACCCACTTTTGGAAACAGGTGAGTTCTATGTGCAGATCTGAGTCAATGCCTGGGTCATTGTCTCAGAAAGCACAAAGTTCTATTTCTTATCACCATATCATGGAGCCAAATTCCCCCAATTTCCTCTACTGGGACAAAGGATATCCTTATATTTATATATAATGATCCTTTAATCACTGAGTAAATAAGTTCCCTTTTTTTCCAGAAGCTCTTTATTGTGTGCCAATTTAAGGGAATTGTAAAAGCCACATGTTAAAATTACAAATCTTAAAAACAGACAGGAAATCAATATTTCCCCTGGTCCAAGGAATGTGGCTTCAGAAATGTATATTACCATGTCTCTTTTGAGTCCTGAGAAGCCGAGGTTAAAAGAGCCTTGGGGTCACCCATCTGTGAGGAGTAGAGCTGGCAGCGAGGTCACCTGTCTCATACTTCCCTGTTCGTTCTAATTCTAATCCCAGCTGGTCCATATTTAGCCCAGATCTCGTCATTTACACATCTCATTTTTAAAACAGAGGCAAAAATACCTCTGCCATTAACCAATACCAAGTTACTCAGTATCAGCTATTTTTTTTAAGTTATGTTTGTTTGTTTGTTTATTTTGAGACAGGGTCTCACTCTGTCATGCAGAGTCGTGATCATGGCTCACTGCAGCCTCAACCTCCTAGGCTCAGCTGATCCTCCCGCCTCAGCCTCTTGAGTAGCTGGGACTTCATGCGCTCACCACTATGCCCAGCTAATTTTTTTTTTTTTTTTTTGTATTTTTTGTAGAGATGGGATCTTGTTATGTTGCCCAGGCTGGTCTCAAACTCCTGGGCTCAAGCAGTCCTCCTGCCTCAGCTTCCCAAAGTGCTGGGATTACAGGCGTGAGCCACCCTGCCTGGCCTTCTTTAGTTTCTATACTCACCAAATGCTTATTGTAAGCACCATGGTGATTTTCCTTTGTCTAGGTGGTTCACTGTTTTCACAGTATTGACAGCTGAAATGTCACTGAATCCATGAGAATGCCCCAGGCAATGAAAGAAAGAATGCAAAGTATGGCTGAGAGGGGTGGCCACCGGAAAGAAATATGGAAAACTCTGCCTCTGACCCTGACCCTGACCCTAACCCACAGAAAGAGACCAAGACACACAATTACCAATGCAGAGAAAAAAAAAAAATGGACTGGAAGAAAAAGCATCAGATAGTTCAAAGCAGAAATAGACAATGTTGGAAAAAATGTTGTTTGCTAAATGGAGCAAAGAGTAGGTGAGGCAGAGAGAGTGATGTGAGTGGGTGCATTAGAGGAAAGGAGAGACAGCTGTCAGGGAGTGGATGACAGGTGAGCTGAACATGAAGTCCAGGTGGCAGAGCAAGTTGGCAGAGGGAGCCGGGTGAGGAAGTGAGCAAATTGCAGGGGTCAGAAAGGACAGGCATTGATAAGGCAAGTATAGATGAGAGGCATTCAGAAACCACTGCTCAGTTGATCAGTCTTTTTTATTGCTTCAAGATCTAGCTTCAGTATCATGTAGAGCTAGTGGGGATGAAATTAGGTAAAACCGATTCAGTCCTCATAATCGTACTCCTTATAATCAGCATCAACTTAGAGTCCAAATTGTGTTGTCATAACCAATAGCATTTCTGTCTTCCAACATTGGTACTTTGTAATGAAGTCAGGTTAAGTCGGTAAGTAAACAGGGTGTGTCTGTACAAATGTGCTGGTTTTCCTTGAAGGCAAGTATTTATGAAAGCAGGAAGAGCTTACTGAATTCATCTCTGCTTTACAAAAGCAAAATATCAGTGAAAATGTACTGTAGCGGATAATTTGATTATTTCAGTTCAGCGTAGTCAGTATAGAAAGTTTATGGTTGCCTAAAATCTAGAGAAACAAATAATTTTCTCAGTAAAGATTGATCAGTTAGAGCTTCTCTTTCTTGTGAGGAAAGGCTACACAATTCAATGTAATCAGTCAGGTGAGTTTGGAAAAAGAAGAGGAAGCATTTTCCCTCTGAGAGGTAGAAAATGGTGCCACCTGCTGGTGTTCACATAAAACTTCATTTCTTTCCTTAGAGCGCGTAAGGAATAATTTAAAATATATATAAATGTATTTAATTTAAACTTTAAAAAGTAAAGCATAGAGCATATTTTAAAATCAAGTATAACTAAGTAACACATGGCCAAAAAACGTGGGCTATACCGTATCACAGTCTTTTCCTCCCCTTCCCATCTCCTGCTCTCCAGAGATTATCTCTTTTAACGTTTTTAACTGTGTTTTGTTACATTTAGCTTTATACATCATTTTGGTAATAAACTTAGACTGCTGCTTTTGAACTATAAATTGTAGACATTATCTCTTGATTTCATGTTATTATAAATGACTATATAGTTTTCCTTTTCCCCTACTCCCATCAAATTAAATATTCACTTTAACTTGTATTTAAAGCCAGCCAGGGCTTATATGACCACGTTGTGACATTACAGAATTTATTTATTACCTTTCTTTTACCCTTTGCTTTTCCTGAATTGCCTCTTTCTTCTCCCTTGTGTAATTTCCTGTTAACGTCATATTAATGTTTCCCATTGGCTGTATCATAGTCCTGTTAGTAGTTTTTCTCCAAATACATATATTTGGAGAAAAGATATTTTAGCATTGATAGAAAAAGATATTCTATCAATGATAGAAGATATTATGTTATTTCCATTATTGCCTGGAGACCTCTCTCCTTCTGGAACCTTCCCTCTACCTGCTCAAATCGGGACCTGTTGCTCTTGGGCCAACTCAGTTATCTGTCATCTTGGGACCCCTCTTGACCACCTTCCTGCAGTTCCCTCCTGAACCACGTTTTTGTCTTCTTTGAAGTATATCCTCTCACAACTTCTAAAAAAGTGAGACATGAGATGTGAGTTTCTTTGAGTCCTTGTAAGAATGAATATGTAATTATTCCACCATTACAATTGATTGACATTTTGCTGGCCGTACGATCACTAGTTGAAAAAAATCTCCCCAGGATTTTGAAGAAACGCTACCATTTTTCTTCTATTCGTGATACTATAGTCAATGGCTTTCTGTTTCCTGTTGCTTCAAAAGGATTTTTTTCTTCTTCTTTGGATGTGCTTAGCACCTCTCTTCTCATGTTCTGAAATGTCAGTTTGATTTTCTTTGTGTTGGGTCTATTCTGTTGAGCACTTGGTGGGTTCTTTTGATCCGAGGACTCACGCTATTCCATCCTGGGAAATGTTCTTGTATTCTTTTATTAATTTTCTCCCTACATTTCCCGTGTACTTTCTTTTCATAATTCCCATGGATGTTATGTTAGACCTCTTATATTGATCTTCTAATGTTCTCTTTTTCTAATTCCTGTTTTCCATTTTTTATCCTTTTGTTTGTTTGTCTGGGAATGTGCTATGTCTTTATCTTTTAATTCTTCTACCTTTTTTAAAACTTTGGCTACCATATACATTTTTAATTTCCAGGAGCTCTATTTATTCTCCTCAAGTTTCTATTTAATTGCATGCTATTCATAATATATAGATGCAATATCTTCACACATTTATTTGAGGATGTCATAGTAGTTTTTTAAAATGTTTTCTTCTGAGTCTTGCATTCGTCAGGCTTACTAACTTTTGAATTTCACTTCAAGGTCACTAGGCAGTGAGAGTCAGTTTCTTTGGAGAATTCCTAAATGTTTAATGTTTAACCTTTTCTCTTGGTCATTCAATTTCTCTGGATGCAAACTCATCAGTTTCTGACATGTGGTAGGCAGCTGTCATTTGTGGATAAGGACAGGAAAAGAGGTTTGGAAACTCTCACCAGTGCAATATGAAAATTTTCATTGGCTCCTATTATTTTGAGATTTTGCCCCACCTTTTTCCTTACCGTATCTGGTTTTTCCTTATTTGAGAGCCTCGCTAGTGATCTTTACAAAGTCTTCCTGCCTCCTGCAAGGTAGAGGTGGGTTTGGACGGTATCTAGGATGTAACTATTCATAAACAAACTTTCAATCAGCCCTTCATTTTTGGTCAGAACCTCACCTTACCTTCTTGGTACCTGGGTCTCAAATCCTAAGATTTTCACGGGTCTATAAAACACATAAGCTAACTACTCTCTGCATACTTATTTATAGATCAAGTTGTAGCCCTTTTTATTCATCTAAGAGAATTCCCACCACGTTTCTATCCACACCTATCTTCAGTAGATCTATTTAAATCTCATGTCCATTGCTATGCGCTCTTGCCCTTTTTCTTTGCTCTTGTGGGATTATATCTCTAAATCTATCTCTGTCTCTATCTCTATCTCTATCTGTACCTCAGCCTAGTTCTATGTCTGTATCTACCTATTCTTTGCCAATTTACAGGCAGGCCAGTAATGAAGGATTTATGCATATATCCACCCATCAAGTTTAACTAGAACCATTTCCTAAAACTAAATCAGATTAGTCATCTCCCTGATTCGAACCTTTTAGTGGCTTTGCATTCAATTGACCCACAGCCCTTTCCCTGCCTACCTCTCTGGCCTCATCTTTTGCCACTCCCTTTAAAAAATCTGCTACTAGCTTGAGCCCAGGAGTTTGAGACCAACGTAAGCAACATAGGGAGACCCCATCTCTACAAAAAATAAAAAATTAGCCAGGCATGGTGATGTACACCCATAGTCCCAGCTACTCAGAGAGCTGAGGCAGGAGGATTGATTGAGCCCAGGAATTCGAGGCTGCTGCAGTAAGCCATGATTACACCGCTACACTCCAGCATGAGCGACAGAGCAAGACCCTGTCTCAAAAAAAGAAAAAGAAAAAAAAATCTGCTACTGGAATCTTAAAACTGGAAGTCGCCTTAAAGATTAGCCAGTTGAGTTGTTTTTAAACTCTGCCTTGCAGATACCCAGAGATTTCGTAGAGATGCCAGACTCACTGCTGAAGGTTGTAGGTTGTAGGGGGTTGTGGTGGGGTGGTTACAGAAGTAGACAAAGAGTCATACTCTGGTGTCTTCCCTCAGTTGAGTCTGAACAGCTCCACTTTTATCAGTTTTATGAGCCAAATCTCTGCATAAAAAAGCTGCAGGCTGCAGTAAAATTAAAAACACAAAAACCATCCATCCAAACCACTTATTTTAAACATGAGCAATCTGGAGCCCAGGGAGGTGGTCAGATGACTTCCACATTCATGGTCAGTGGGGACAGAGCCAGGGCACTCAGTATGTCATTTGCTCTGTGATGCTGCCCACGAAAGAATCTAGCGGATGATGTGGGCTGCCCAAGCCTGCACTGGAACAGAAGAGGCACATTTATATCTTGATATGTTCACATAAGAGAAGATTTATCCATCACCTGCCATGCCAGCCACTGTTCTAGAATGCAGGGGTGGAGCAGTGAACACAGCACACATGGTGATCCACCCACCTTAGGCTCCCAAAGTGCTGGGATTACAGGCATGAACCACCGTGCCAGGCCAGAATTTTTTTTTTTTTTTTTTTTTTTTAGAAAAGCAGGCTGGGCATGGAGGCTCACACCTGCAATCCCAGCACTTTGGGAGGCCAAGGAGGGCAGATCACCTGACATCAGGAGTTCAAGACCAGCTTGGCCAACATGGCGAAACCCCATGTCTACTAAAACTACAAAAATTAGCCAGATGCGGTGGCACGTGCATATAGAATTGATTATGGTATAGGGCTTATCAGTGGACCAAACCTGGACCACTACTGCTTTTTGTAAATAAAGTTCTAATGGAACACAGCCATGCTCATTTATTAATGGATTGTCTATGGCTGCTTTTGCAACTATAAGTCATTGCACCAAAAATTGAAATTTAGGCTGGTTGTAGTGGCCCCTGCCAGTAATCCCAGCACTTTGGGAGGCTGAGGCAGGTAGTAGATTGCTTGAACTCAGGAGTTCGAGAAATTTGGCAAAATTGTGAAACCCCATCTTTACCTAAAATAAAAAAATAAAATAATAGAATATTAACCAGGTGTGGTGCCCTGCACCTGTGGTCCCAGCAACTCAGGAGGCTGAGGTGGGAGGATTGCCTGAGCCCAGGAGGCGGAGGTTGCAGTGAGCCAAGATTGTGCCCCTGTACTCCAGCCTGGGTGGCAGAGTGAGACCCCATCTCAAAAAACAAACAAACAAACGAAAAACCCAAAACACCATACATGCTGAAATGTAGACCCTCAAAGCCTAAAATATCTCATTATTTACAGGAGAAATTTGTTATATGCACAACATGAATGTATTCCACAAAACAAATGGTGGGTGGAAGAAGAGCACTCCCGTAAAATTCAGAAATAGTTAAAACTAATCTAGCAGTCAGAACAGTGAATACTTTTGGAGTAAGTTAGTGATTCTGCAGGGTGTGCCGAGGGCTTCTGAGGAGCTGAGAATGTTCTATTTTTTTATATGAATGCTGGTTACACAGTTGGGTTAAATTTGAAACTTTATTGGGTCATACGCTGCATAAGATTTGTGCAGTTTCAATATTATGTTTTAAGTTTACTTTTAAAACTCATTTGTTAAGGTGAGGCATAAAATCTCTTCTACTGTCTAAAAAACGGAAGGAGAGAAATTGCATTAAAGGCTAATTAAATATCAAGAATGTAGGTTTCCCAGAAGTATTTTATTTTCCTTATATGACTTCTTTCATGTCTTGTCCTGTCTTGTCCCTTCCTTCCTTCCTTCCTTTTCTTTCTTTCTTTTTCTTTCTTTCTTTCTTTCTCTTGCTTGCTTTCTTCCTTTCTTTCCTTCCTACCTTTCTTTCCTCTTCCCTCCCTCCCTCTTTCTTTCCTCTTTTCTTTTCTTTCCTTCCTTCCTTTCTCTTTCCTTTCTTCCCTTTTTTCCTTCCTTCCTCCCTTCCTTATCTCTCTTTCCCTCTTTCTTTCTTTCTTGCCTGCTTGCTTTCTTTCCTTCCTTCTTTCCTTCCTTCCTTCCTCACTCCCTCCCTTCCTTCCTTCCTCCCTTCCTTCCTTATCTCTCTCTCTTGTTCTTTCTTTCTCTTTCTTTCCTTCCTCCCTTCTGTCCTTCCTTTTCTCTTTCCTTTCTTCTCTTTCTTTCCTTTCCTTCCTTCCTCCTTCCCTCTCTCCCTCCCTTCCTTCCATCCTTCCTTCTCTGTTTCCCTCCCTCCCTTCCTTCCTTCGTGCCTTCCTTCCCTCCCTCCCTCCCTCCCTCCCTTCTTTCTTTCTTTCTTTCTTTCTTTCTTTCTTTCTTTCTCTTTCTTTCTCTTTTCCTTCCTTCCTCCCTCCCTCCCTCCCTCCCTCCCTCCCTCCCTCCATCCCTTCCTTCCTTCCTTCCTTCCCTCCTTGTATTTGGGGTACTAGGTGTATAAATCGATTATGAGAAAGAAAAAATTAACATTTCATTTCAGAGAGCTGTATAATTCTTTGAGGCTATGAAAATAACATATAATAAATTAACGACCCGAGGCAGATGTATTGTAATATAAAGAGTATTTCAGCTTCTAAAGCTCCCTGAAGTTACTTTTATGGCAAATTTCAGCACTTCTATTAAAATGTAATCTTTCTTTCATGCAGAAGAACAGTGAGTTCATGAGCTGCCAAGCAAGCCTTTATGTTTATGCAAATGGATTTGATATACTCTGAGAGGTTACATTTATGTCAAATTAGGGATTAGATGTTTCCTGAGGTTATAGTATTAGGAAAGTGGTTTAACTCCTTAGGTAGGCTTGGTAAATGATTTCCCTAAATCATTAGCAAAAAGAAGAAAACATTCATGCTTTCAATTTTTTGTTGCTTTCTCCTCTTGCTTCCATTCAGTCTTTCCTAACTAATCTCTTTTCTTTAAAGTGCTTTTCTTCTTTTTATTAAATTTTCTTCTGAGGCTACCACTTAACTCTTTCACAGTTTTTACAGTGTGGTTTCACTTGTGTATGTAAGGCTTTCTTTTTTCTTTTTTAAGGAAAAGGGTCTTGCTCTGTTGCCCAGGCTGGAGTACAGTGGTTCAATTGCAGCTCACTGCAGCCCCAACTTCCTGGGCTCAAACAATCCTCCTGCTTCAGCCTCCTCAATAAGTGGGACAACAGGCATGCGCCACCATACCTGGCTAATTTTTTAATTTTTGTAGAGATGGGGTCTTGCTATGTTGCCCAGGCTGGTCTTGAACTCCTGGGCTAAAGTGGTCCCCCTGCCTTGGCCTCCCAAAGTGCTGGGATTATGGGCATGAGCCACGGCACCTGGCCAGAAGACGAAAATATTTTTCATGTTACATTAGCATGTATTTCCTGAATTCTAATTTAATCACTCATTCAAGGAGGAAGAGACCAAAGCTTGGGAAATGCCAGTCAGAAGCATGAGGCTGCTACTTGGCCTTGGGAAGAAGTTAGGTAACTCACCCTAATCACCCACCGAGACTTCAGTTGCTACTGTTTGCCTGAGCCAAGGACATAGCTCCTGTCTTCAGAGGTGTCCTAGCATAAGCTGGATGACCCCTAGGGGGAATGGCATAGACCAATGGACAGTCCAATAGAACTATAATGTGAACCACAAATATGAGCCACATATGTAACTTTACATTTTCTAGAAGCCACATTAAAAACACGGAAATAAATAGGTAAACTTAATTTTAATAATATATTTTAACTCAACATATCTAAAATGTTATTTCAGTCTATAATGAATATAAAATAATTGAGATCATTTGTATCATTTTCTCCATAATGAGACTATGAAACCTAATGCATATTTTATGCTTGGCTCCCATCTTAACTTTGACTAGACTCACTTCAAGTGCTCAGTAGTCACTTCTGGCTAGCAGATGCTGTGTTGGACAGCACAGTTGTAGATTACAACACTGGGAGAAAAAGTGAGACCGGCCACAGGACTTCTAAAATCCTTTCCAGACAAGATTATTTAACCCTATCTACTTTGAGTATGGGGCTATTGTTTTTGTGGTTCTAATTGTATTTTGTTGAGAGAACAGAGTTGTTATTTCCTTGGTCATATGGACTGTCATTGTTCATTTTGTGTTACTATCACAGAACACTACAGATAAAATAAATACTACAGATAAATAAAAAAAAATTTATTTTCTTTCTCATACTGGAAGCTGGCAAGTCCAATATCAAGGTGCAGGCATCTGGCAAGGGACTTCTTGCTGTGTCTTCCCAGGCATCTGGCAAGGGACTTCTTGCTGTGTCTGGTAGAATGGCCAGAGAGCATAAGACAGTAAAAAAGCAAGAGAGGGTTGAACTCACTTTAATAATAAACCTAATTCTGTGATAATGACATTAATTCATTCGTAAGGGCTCTTCCCTCTGCCCTCATGGCCTAATCACCTCTTAAAATTCCCACCTCTCAACACTGTTGCATTGGCGATTACGTTTTCAACACATAAACTTCGGGGAATGCATTCAAAACATAGCATTCCACCCCTAGCCCCACAAATTTGTCCTTCTCACAATGCAAAATGCATTCATTCTATCCCAATAGCCCCCAGAATCTTAATTCATTCGAACATCAATTCAAAAGCCTGAAGTCCAAAGTCTCATCTAGCTCCAAAATGGGTGAGACTTAAGGCACCATTCATCCTGAGGCAACTTCCCTCTAGCAGTGAGCCTGTGACATCAAAATATGTTATCTACAAAATGAGTTATCTCCACTGTAAAATACAGTGGTGAGATAGATGTAGGATAGACCTTCCCATTTCATAAGGGAAGAATAGTCAAGAAGAAAGGGGTAAGTGGCCCCAACTAAGTATGAAAACCCAAAAGAGAAAACAAGTCTTAAAACTCCAGAATGGTCTGCTTTGACTCCATGTCCCATGTTCTGGACACACTGGAGTAGAGGTTGGACCCATAAGGCTCATACCACGCAGCAGCATTCACAGGTTGGAGTCTCTTGCTGTGCCTGCAGGTCTCCAAGGCAGTTCTGGGGTTGTGGGAGTGGTCTCACTCCCATGGCTCCACTAGGGATTGTCCTGGGGGGGCTGTCTGTGGGGGCTCTGACCCCACAGTTTCACTGGGCATTGCCCTCATAGGGGCTTTCTGTGGTGACTCTGACCCTATGACAAGTCTTACCCTGGGTCACCAGGCTGTCTGTGACATCCTTTGAAATGTAGGCAGAGGAAACCATGCCCCCAAGGTTCTTGCATTCTGCACGCCTGCAGAATTAGCGCCATGTGGACACTGCCAAGATTTATGATTCGTACCTTCCAGAGTAGTAGGTTGAGCTACACTGGAATCTACTTGAGCCACAACCAGGGTGGCTGAGGAGCACTGCACTGGAATGTGGAAGCAAAGCTCCGAGGTGGCTGTGGGCAATGAACCCATGGAGGGTACCCTGGTCTGTCCCCAACATTCATTCTACCCTCCTAGAGCTCTGGGCCTGTGATGGCAGGGGCAGCCCTGAAAGTCTTTGAAATGCCTTTGGAGTCATCCTCCCATTGTCTTGGTGATCCCTTTTATCCATATGAATCGCCTTAGCACACACCTGGTTCGCTCTCCTGAGCACACCTTTTCATTCTTTACATGGCCAGGCTGAAAACTCCATGCTGCTGCCCTTCTAATTATGAAATCCATCTTTAAGTTATTTCTTTCCTCTTCTATCTTACTGTATGAGGTTAAAAATAGCAATGCATCCCATCCCCTTGGGAATGTTACGTCATACCTGATCAGGCCACTGACCTAAACTACTGGGCTTGCAATTACATATACACTTATGAGTTAGACAGACACTTTGAGAGCCGAGGTTGTGGCAGGTTTCGCTCTGTCAGCTACTTCTCTGATTGCCGAGAGCTCAGGCTGTGATGGGCCTTGGAGCTTTGAAACATCCCTCCTTCCCCTTCCCACCACCACACTGCTACTGCCCTCTAGCATCAAGGGACCTTACGTCCTTCACGGATTTCCCCCACTGTCTTGGTCAATCCAGCTTCTCTGGAGAACCGCTCCTATCAAAGTACATCTCAAAATTTTATAATTAGGCTTTACTTTTCTTAGAGCCCTGCTTCCATCCTAACTGAGCAATTGGGAACCCACTCAGTATGTGGTTAACATACCTGGTCTATCAAGTGTATTCTCTGGGAGATCTATTTGCTATTTTCCCCATCTTTAACCATTGTGAACCAAAAGAGAAAAAAATCTCTCTATGTCAGTAAACCATGTGATTCCTGATATTGTGCTCTGATATCTCCTTATTTTAATCTCATAGAACACAATTCTACTGCCTTTATAATCAGAGATTATAAAATAACATGTTACCAAAAATGACAGATGTTACCAAAAAATAAAGGTTGAAATGACACATTGCATGGGATATATATTTGAATACATTTTAAAAAACATTTGTGTTAAATAACCACACCCCATGAAATCTGCTATCTTAATCATTTCTAAGTGCACAGTTCAGTGGTGTTGAGTATATTCATATTGCTATGCATCCCATCTCCAGAACTCCTCATCTTGAAAAACTGAAAGTTTATACCCATTGAACTAACAGTTTCCCATTCCCTTCCTTACCTGCTCCACCCAGCCAGCCCCTGGCAACCACCATTCTACTTTCTGTTTCTAGTCATTTGGTGATTCTAGGTGCCTCATATGAGTGGGATTGTATAGTATTTGTCTTTCTGTGACTGGCTTATTTCACCCAAAATAATGTTTCAAAGGTTTATCCATGTCATAGCATATGTCAGTGTTCTTCATTTTTAAGGGTATTTTACCACAAATTAAAATTAGGGGGTGGGGCAGAAGGACTGGATAGCATGGGAAAACCAATGAATCAATCATTCCATCTTAATGGCTTACAATAGAAACTTATTAAGCCATATGAAGGGGGAGAAAAATAGTCTCCCATCTTCTCTACTTAGCTCTTAGCTGATGGATCCCTGTAGCAAAAGACAGATTAACAAGACAAAAACAAACAAGCTTATTAAAATGTATATATCATATACATATGAGAGATACTCAAAAAATGAGTGATTATCAAAGAGGTAGCTTAGAACTCCAGCTTACATAGCAACTTCAACAAAGAATAACAAATGTTTTAGAATTGTGACAAGATAAAGGAAAGGGATTTTGAGCCTCCAGGGGCAAATAAATGGTTGACAAAGGAGAATTAGTAAAGCTTGTTATGTAAATTTCACTGGGTAGTCTCCAGGCTGATAAGGGTTTAAAGGTGTCTCTGGTGCTTAACCTTTGTCATTGGTAGAACGGGAAGGAGGGATACCCTTGTAAATTTATGTCCTGCTTTTAGACAAATAGAAGGAGGGCAGAGAGTTTTTCCTGTGTCTGTTTCTTCTCAATGCCTTCAACTCAAAATAATCTTTATGCTAAAAAGATATATTTTGAAGTGGTATATTCTGGTCTTTTACACATAAAAAGGAATAGAACACTGATACATACAAAACCATGGGTGAGCTGCAAAAACATTCTGTTAAGTGAAAGAAGCCAAACATAAAAGGCCACATGCGGTATGATTCCATTT